>NC_000007.14:157457583-157770648 GCF_000001405.40 Homo sapiens | reverse complement strand
TTTCAGATCTGCTCTGTCATTGGGCAAAATAAGCTCCCCTATAGCGCTAATTTTTAACAAAGATTTCTCCCCAAAGGAGAGAGTAGGATCATGTATTTGGAAAAGCTCACATACCATTGAATGAAAATGAAAAGAAATTAGCTTCACGCATTCATAATTCCTACATTCTCTGGGTGCACAGGGCCTGACAACAGCAGAAAGCCTCCGGTTTAACGTAAAGAGGTGGGACCTGCTGAGACCCTCACCTCAGAAAGTGCTTAATTGAAAATCCAGTTTCTCCACATGATGCTGCTAAGAATATTTAATTAGCGTTATCATTAAGCAAGGGTAGTTGTTATACTGACATCATGCATTCTGTGACTGACACACTTAAACCAGCAGAAACCTCCAGTCATATTCTATCTACATAAACTCTGCTCTGAAGCTAAGCATGGTTCCAATATGTTCCTGAAATTAAATTCACTGGATTAAACAAATAGAATTAAGGGTGCCAGAATTTCATCTCTAAATTGCAGAGCAGTGTTCTAGAAGCAGAAGCAGCATTCACCGGGGCCGGTGGCAGCGGGAAGTGAAAGTGCTGGGGAGGCTCGGAGACCAAGGAAGCCACAGAGAACCCCAGGCCGGACGGGCTGCTGGGGCCAAGCGTGGATGCGGTAGCCGAGGTCGGGGTGTGTATCCTAAAGCCCAGTAAGCCATGATGCCTGCACCAGAGGCCACAGCCCCACATGTGCTTTCAGGCCATCTGCCGGGTCTTGGGAAGAATAAAGTGTGCAAAGGGGCGGGTGGCAGGGAGGGGCCCATGGCAGCCCCCAGGGAATCCAGGTGAGGAGCGCCTGGGATAGTGTTTTAGATGTGAAGCCTGCAGGTCTGGGAGGGAGCTGTGGTGGAGTGGGAGGCAGGAACGCGCTGAGCCACAGGGAGCTGCGGAAGAGAGTTCCGTGTGGAGGGGCTGGTGACATGTCTGCTGTGCTGTTACAAATCCTGGTGAAGATGTGTGGGTGTGTTTTATGCAGGACCAAGGGAGCCCGTGGCGTGGCTAAAGCCAAGCCCAACATCTTCTACCCAAGGCCTGCAGAAGGTCTGGGGTGTATCAGCAACCCATACTGTCTTCAGTGGAGTTGTGGTGGCTGAATTCCAAAATCCTATCTGTGTTCCATTTGCCTGTTGACATTGCTGTGATGTTTCCATAGGTGCTTAGTCAACCTGTCACACCTAGAAGTCAATACACCTTCCTTAACTGCCCCCCCGACAATGAGGGGAGTCATCCAGGGAAGGGGTGTGGAATTCCAGCAGGGCGAGCTGGTTGCCGGCAGCTCATTAGCTGTGGCCTCTCAGATTAGCAGTAATTAAACTGTGAAATCAGACCAGCGCCTTAAGCCTGGATGCCGTCGGGAGTGGCCTGGGGATAAATCACCGGCATGTGTTGGTCCTTGCTTGGCACGGGCAAAGCGTGTGGGGGGCGGAATAATGAGGACATTCAACCGCTGCCCTCGGTGGACACTGGGCTGGCCGCGGTGGAGGCGTTGTCATGACGATGGCTGGGTGCAGGCAAACGCTCCTCCCGTTCGCTGTGGTTAATGAAGATGATCATGAAAAATTATGCCAACATTACGGCCATATTTTTATGCTGACTGGCACGTGCAACCTGATGCCAGCGTCAGCACACAGCGGTGACAGTAATTATGTGTTGACAAATGAGGGGACAATGTGAGGAAATGTCTGACTCAGAGATGTGTGTGTCGACTTCGCCGAGTAACTTCTTCCGAGGGCATGTTTGTTCTTTAAAGCCTCCATAGGTGCCATGGCACTGTGGGTGCCAAAACACCCCAATCACTTGTCCTTATTTTCTAAAGAAAGACACTACAATTAAAGCAGAAACTGCTCCCCTAAGCAGAATGGATGAGATCGAGATAAATCAATGTTTTTTATATTTTAAGGAAATCAGTGTGATTTCCAAATGATTTTTCCAAATGACTTTTCTTGTGGGGTGATGTGTTTAGGTTTTTTTGTAACTGATTTTGTTTCTGAACAGAAACATCTGGGGTGGAGCTGGGGCTGGGCTGGGGCGTCGCAGCCCCCTTGGCCTCTCCAGGAGCTGGGGAGCCTCACGTCATCCCCATCATGGCTCCTTGAAGACAAGTGTTGCGGCCGCGTGCTCTCATGGCCGGGATATGGGAACGGGAGGCCAGCGTGGGGCGTCCGGCCCGGAGCCACACTCTGTCACTGTAGGGGGGTCGCTTCTTGGCCCCAAAGCAAAGCCTGAGGATGTAGCGTGCGGTTCTGCCCGTGTGCTGTGCTTCAGTGAACACACTCAGATCGCACAGCCGAACGCAGATGAGCTGCTCGGAGGAGCAGAGGACGATCCGTTGACTGTAAAACAGGCTTGCTGGGCCTCACTCTCTCTGCATCTCCTGTGCTCTGGATTTGATATTCCAGCAATCTGGGGAATTCATAGCCACAAATATAGGTTGCAGTCTTGTTAGTGAAATCTTTTTTTATTGATTTTGTTAAACAAAGATGCTTAAGTAGTTGCAATCTGAAGTAGAGTTTGTCTTTCCAGTTTGTTCTTGTTTTTACCGTTTGGAAGATCAATATTAGTCGCCACACTGCAGAGTGTGTGACTCACAGTGGCAATTCTCTTTTTACCGCTCGGTGTCAGCAATAAGCAGGAATCGTGTATGGAAGCGTCCCATGACTGTGCCTTCATGTCCTTAATGTCCCTCAAGCGGGCTTTCTTGCCTCCTAAGTCCTACCTGCCTTTTGAGTTTAAAAACAATAACAAAACAAACAAACAAAAAATAGCAAGGAGCACAGAGCTGGAAGTTTCTGCTTCAGCTGGGGCCTGGCTCTGCTCCAGGTCTGAGCCTGGCAGGCCTTGCCAGGACCACTGGTTCCCACCGCCTCCACACACACACAGCGTTTCTAAGAGGAGCAGGAGTATAGACAGTTCTCACCACACTGCAGAGGCACAGCACCAAACAGAACAGTGTTCGCCTGTGACCACGGAAGGCAGACTGGCCTGGCAGTGAAAGAGCGGTCGCCCTGGCCAGTTGCTGACTTGCACCCATGGGCACTCACTTCCCCAATGCAGTGTTTCCTGGGAGAGCAGGAGCATTCTTACTGCTGTATTCGTGAGCATTCTTACTGCAGGGTGTGACTGTGAGGACTTCCCAGCCATTTGTACGCAAAGGCAAACACCGTACAAAGTGTCAGGCATCATTATCAAGGTAGAAGGAGAGAGAAAGATTGGGTTATCCTAAGAACACAGATAACATGGCAGTCAGTCTCATTGTAAAACCAAGATGCCAGGAGGAACAGGGAAACCCCTCCTTCTTGTTCAGAAGCTTCCGTGGTCCCCTTAAATTGGTAGGGTCCAAGGATAAATCTGGTACAAGGCGTTCATAAGCCACAGATGGATGATGGACGTGGAGTGCTGTGTGCCCAGCACAGCCTGGCTACTTCATGTCAACCTCCCTGCAGCCAGGGAAGCTCAGTACCTTGCCCAGAGCTCCTCATCTACACTGCAAGTGCCAGGATTTGAATCAAGACGTGCCAAGGCCTGGCCCCTACCCTGCAGGGGGAGCTGTGGCAATGGCAGCCCCTGGAGTGACTATTGTATGGTGCTAGGTGGTGCCAGGAGGAGGGCTGGCAGTGTCCAGAGGGGGACAAGCCACTCCCAGCTGGGTCATCAGACAGGATTCCACCCACCCGGCAAGAGCCAGTGCTGAGAGCTGGCCAGGAAGACAGAGACATAAGCCCAGAAAAGACCATTTCTGGTGCCATCAACTACAAGTAGAGGGTGAAGGCCCCAACGGAGGTAGCCAAGGGGACGTGTTTCGAGAGCCACCTGCAAAGTGGCCCTGTGTCTCACCCAGCCTCTGAGATTTCAATGTCCTGTCCTCCAAGAAATGGTGTCTCAGCCAAATGCTATGGAGCATTGAGCAAGTTCTTGCAGTTCTGGGTACCTTAGTGTCTCCTCCATAAACTGGGGAAAAGAATAGGACCCGCAGCACAGGCATTTGTGAGGAACACCCAAGTCATCCAAACACACTCTGCAAGTGCCAGCAATTCTCTAGGATAGAAGCTCTGAGAATAGCTTTTTCTGATTCCTCCCGTGTCTCTTCAGTGAAAGTGTTTGTTTATGGGTGGATCAATGGATGGATGGAGGAAGGATGGGTGGATAGATGGATGGAGGAAAGAAGGATGGATGCATGGATGGATGGATGGATGGTTTGGTTGACAGATGAGGGATGGTGGTTGGATGGAAGAAGAGTGGATGATGGATGGGTAGATGGATGATGGATGGATGGATGAAGGAAGGATGGATGGGTGGATGGATGTAAGAAGAATGGATGATGGATGTGTGGGTGAATGGATGGAAGGATGGATGGATGGAGGAAGGATGGATGGTTGGATGGATGGATGGGTGTGTGGGTGGATGGATGGATGGATGGATGGATGGATTGGTGGACAGATGGGGGATGGTGGATGGATGGAAGAAGAGTGGATGATGGATAAGTAGATGGATGATGGATGGATGAATGGAAGAAGAATGGATGATGGATGGGTGGGCGGATAGATGGATGGATGGATGGAGGAAGGATGAATGGTTGGTTGGATGGATGGGTGGATGAAGGAAGGATGGATGGTTGGATGGATGGATGGGTGTGTGGGTGGATGAAAGAAGGATGGATGGATGGGTGAAGGGTGGATGGATGGAGGAAGAATGGATGATGGATGGATGGGTGGGTGGATGGATGGATGGATGGAGTAATGATGGATGGATGGATGGATGAGTGGATGAGTGGATGGATGGAGGAAGAATGGATGATGGATGGGTGAGTGAATGGATGGAGGAAGGATGGATGGATGAGTGGGAGTTTGGGTGGATGAAAGAAGGATGGATGGATGGGTGAAGGGTGAATGGATGAAGAATGGATGATGGATGGGTGGATGGGTATGTGGGTGGATGAAAGAAGGATGGATGGATGGGTGAAGGGTGGACGGATGGAGGAAGAATGGATGATGGATGGGTAGGTGGGTGGATGGATGGAGCAATGATGGATGGATGGATGAGTGGATGGGTGGATGGAGGAAAAATGGATGATGGATGATGGATGGGTGGGTGAATGGATGGAGGAAGGATGGATGGATGGGTGGGTGTGTGGGTGGATGAAAGAAGGATGGATGGATGGGTGAAGGGTGGACAGATGGAGGAAGAATGGATGATGGATGGGTTGTACGGATGAGGGATGGTGGATAGATGGAAGAAGAGTGGATGATGGATGGGTGAAAGGATGATGGATGGGTGGATGGATGATGGAGGGATGGATGAAGGAAAGATGGATGGATGGTTGGATGGGTGGATGAATGGAGGAAGAATGGATGATGAATGACAGGTGGGTGGGTGGATGAAAGAAGGATGGATGGATGGGTGAAGGATGGATGCATGGAGGAATGATGGATGGATGGTTGGATGGATAAAAGAAGGATGGATGGATGGATGAAGGATGGATGGGGAGTGAGTGGATGGATGGGGGAAGGATGGGTGGTTGGATGGATGGAGGTATGGATGCATGGATGATGGAGGAAGGATGGAGGGATGGATGAGTGCATGATGGATGGATGGATGGAAGAATGATGGATGGTTGGATGGATGAAAGTGGATGGGTAGATGGATGGGTGGGTGGGTGGATGGATGGATATGGATGGATGGATATGGATGGATCAATGGATGGATGGATGGGTAGATGGATGGGTGGATGAAGGATGGAAGGATGGATGAGTGCTTGATGGATGGATGGATGAATGGCAGGATGGATCATTTCCCAGCTGTAGGACAGACAATCGGCTCCTGTCCCCTGCTGTATGCCAGGCACGCAGTCTCTCACTCTTTTATTTTTTAATTTTTTATTGTGGTAAAATATATAACATTTGTGATTTTTAACCTTTAAATGTACAATTTAGTGGTAGTATTTACATTCAAAATACTGTGCAACCATCATCACTATCTGCTTCTAAAACTCTTTCCATCTTTCCACACTGGAAGTCTGTCCCCATTAAACACTAACTCCCCAGCCCCCAGGACCCACTGTCCTACATTCTGTCTCTATGGATCTGATGACTCTAAGGACCCCATACGAGTGGAATCACACAGTGTTTATCATATTGTGACTGGCTTATTTCACTTAGCATAACATCTTCAAGGTTCATCCATGTTGTAGCCTGCATCCAAAATCTCTGCCTTTTCAGTGCTGAGTAATATTCCCATGTGTGGGTGGACCACATGATGTTTATCTTTTCTTCCATTGGTGGACGCTTGGGTGGCCTCACCTCTTGGCTTCTGTGAGCGCTGCTGCTATGAACATGGGCGTGCGAATCTCTCTCTGAGTCACTGCATTCGGTGCTTTTGGGCATATGCCCCTGGTGGAACTGCTGGGTCCTGGGCTGATTCTGTGGTTAGTTTTTTGAGGACCCACTAACAGCGACTGCATCATGCTATATTCCTCCCTGCAGAGTGTGCCAGTTACGATTCCTCAGCATTCTCGCCAGCACGTTTTTGTTGTGTGTGTGTGTTTAGTTACGGCCATCCTAGAGGGTGCGTGCATGGCCTCTCCTAGCCTCCACATGCTCCACTCATGTGGCTGCGACTAAAGCTTCCCTGTGTTCACGGACATCATGAAGATCAAACGAACATGAGAGTGTTTGGAAAATGGTCACAGGTTAGACTGAATATGAGGTGTTGTTGCTTCTCTGAAAACAAAAGGTGGGCACCGTGGTGCTCTGGGGGATGGGGCAGCCACATGGGGCAGTGGCCACACAGCAGAGGCCCAGCAGCCCCTAACCCTGCCCGGTGCAGCCTCCTCCTACCACTGCCGGGGCTCTCCTGCCCTCAGGAGACTCCAGCAAGTGACTGCACTGCGAAGAGAGGACCAGCCACCAGCCCTCAGCATCCAAGGGAGGAATTAATTCCGAATGAAGAGGAAACCAAGCAGTGAGGCAGGCTAAGATTTCCAGAAGAATTTAATCTGCAGTCAGGTTAGGGGCGTGGCCTTCCCCCATGGCCAGGGGGGCAGCTGCTCCCAACTCTGAAAAGGAGGTGGAGGCTCAGTGTGCAGCTCCCCTGGGGACCCAGCCGAGAGGATCCCCAACTGTGCCGTGGGGTTTGGGGCTAGGAGAAGGGACTCGAGGCCACACCAGCCTGGCTCAGGGCCACCGCCAACCTGTGCCTCAGAGCGAAGGCCGCCCCATGGCCACAGTGACTGGGGCAGGCTGTCTTGGGCCTCTGGAGAGCTGGAGTCTGTGCTGTCATCACCAGGGCTGAGCTTTTGTTGGAAAAGGGAAGGGAGAGAAAAATGAGGAGGGCACATCACGCCAGAGGTCATGGTGTATGTGGCTGGAAATTTGAGTTGGACTGGACACCTCAGGGCATCTCCCTCTCCTTCCCACTGTGGCCTGGGATGGACTCTGTGCCTGTGAGTGGGCAGCCATGGGCTCTGATGGAGGGTTAACCCTGTGACCGACCATGAGTGGGCGGCCGTGGGCTCTGATGGTTAGCTCTGTGACCATGAGTGGGCGGCCGTGGGCTCTGATGGAGGGTTAGCCCTGTGACCGACTGTGAGTGGGCGGCTGTGGGCTCTGATGGAGGGTTAGCCCTGTGACCGACCGTGAGTGGGCGGCTGTGGGCTCTGATGGAGGGTTAGCCTCCGGCACCAGCACCTGGGCCTAACATGCTTTTCAGGGGCGGGGCTGGATTGTGGCTGCAGGGCCTTGGACACGCAGGGACACACTTCCCAAGGGGGGCCCTGATACCCCTCCCTGCATGCGGTGCCTGGGGCCACCATGCTCCCACCTCTCTCCTTTGGCTCTGAAAAGTTTTTTCTTTTTTCTCTTTTTTTTTTATTATTATACTTTAAGTTTTAGGGTACATGTGCACATTGTGCAGGTTAGTTACATATGTATACATGTGCCATGCTGGTGCGCTGCACCCACTAACTCGTCATCTAGCATTAGGTATATCTCCCATTGCTATCCCTCCCCCCTCCCCCCACCCCACAACAGTCCCCAGAGTGTGATATTCCCCTTCCTGTGTCCATGTGATCTCATTGTTCAATTCCCACCTATGAGTGAGAATATGCGGTGTTCGGTTTTTTGTTTTTGCGATAGTTTACTGAGAATGATGATTTCCAATTTCATCCATGTCCCTACAAAGGACATGAACTCATCATTTTTTATGGCTGCATAGTATTCCATGGTGTATATGTGCCACATTTTCTTAATCCAGTCTATTATTGTTGGACATTTGGGTTGGTTCCAAATCTTTGCTATCGTGAATAATGCTGCAATAAACATACGTGTGCATGTGTCTTTATAGCAGCATGATTTATAGTCCTTTGGGTATATACCCAGTAATGGGATGGCTGGGTCAAATGGTATTTCCAGTTCTAGATCCCTGAGGAATCGCCACACTGACTTCCACAATGGTTGAACTAGTTTGCAGTCCCACCAACAGTGTAAAAGTGTTCCTATTTCTCCACACCCTCTCCAGCACCTGTTGTTTCCTGACTTTTTAATGATTGCCATTCTAACTGGTGTGAGATGGTATCTCATTGTGGTTTTGATTTGCATTTCTCTGATGGCCAGTGATGATGAGCCTTTTTTCATGTGTTTTTTGGCTGCATAAATGTCTTCTTTTGAGAAGTGTCTGTTCATGTTCTTCGCCCACTTTTTGATGGGGTTTTTTTCTTGTAAATTTGTTTGAGTTCATTGTAGATTCTGGATATTAGCCCTTTGTCAGATGAGTAGGTTGCAAAAATTTTCTCCCATTCTGTAGGTTGCCTGTTCACTCTGATGGCGGTTTCTTTTGCTGTGCAGAAGCTCTTTAGTTTAATTAGATCCCATTGGTCAATTTTGTCTTCTGTTGCCATTGCTTTTGGCGTTTTAGACATGAAGTCCTTGCCCATGCCTATGTCCTGAATGGTAATGCCTAGGTTTTCTTCTAGGGTTTTTATGGTTTTAGGTCTAATGTTTAAGTCTTTAATCCATCTTGAATTGATTTTTGTATAAGGTGTAAGGAAGGGATCCAGTTTCAGCTTTCTACATATGGCTAGCCAGTTTTCCCAGCACCATTCATTAAATAGGGAATCCTTTCCCCATTGCTTGTTTTTCTCAGGTTTGTCAAAGATCAGATAGTTGTAGATATGAGGCATTATTTCTGAGGGCTCTGTTCTGTTCCATTGATCTATATCTCTGTTTTGGTACCAGTACCATGCTGTTTTGGTTACTGTAGCCTTGTAGTATAGTTTGAAGTCAGGTAGTGTGATGCCTCCAGCTTTGTTCTTTTGGCTTAGGATTGACTTGGCAATGTGGGCTCTTTTTTGATTCCATATGAACTTTAAAGTAGTTTTTTTCCAATTCTGTGAAGAAAGTCATTGGTAGCTTGATGGGGATGGCATTGAATCTATAAATTACCTTGGGCAGTATGGCCATTTTCACGATATTGATTCTTCCTACCCATGAGCATGGAATGTTCTTCCATTTGTTTGTATCCTCTTTTATTTCCTTGAGCAGTGGTTTGTAGTTCTCCTTGAAGAGGTCCTTCACATCCCTTGTAAGTTGGATTCCTAGGTATTTTATTCTCTTTGAAGCAATTGTGAATGGGAGTTCACTCATGATTTGGCTCTCTGTTTGTCTGTTGTTGGTGTATAAGAATGCTTGGCCAGGGCAATTAGGCAGGAGAAGGAAATAAAGGGTATTCAATTAATTAGGAAAAGAGGAAGTCAAATTGTCCCTGTTTGCAGACGACATGATTGTATATCTAGAAAACCCCATTGTCTCAGCCCAAAATCTCCTTAAGCTGATAAGCAACTTCAGCAAAGTCTCAGGATACAAAATCAATATACAAAAATCACAAGCATTCTGAAAAGTTTTTTCTTATTTTGGATGCCTTGTTAAAAGGCAAGTACCCCAGCAGGTGTCAGTGGAGACTGTGACCGCTGAATAGCAATGGTGATGGGGTGAGGCTGGATCTGGCCAGAAGAGGGCTGAGGGGCATGGAGAAGACTCGGGGAGCACAGGGAAGATGTGGGAGGTGGGGAGGATGGGAGGGAGGACAGGGAGAGGACAGGAAGGACTGGCTCTGCTCATTCTCCTTCGCACTTCTGTGGAGCAGCTGCTCTGGGCCCAGATAATGATCTCTCGAGGGCAGGACTTGTGGTTTTATTTGCGTCATGAGCCTTTAGGAAGTTTGGGGTCGTGCATGTAGAGCTGAACGTGGGGACACCGAGAACGTGCACCCTGCATCCCGACTGCTGAGTTCACTTCTCTGCAAAGCACAAATCGCTGTCCCATCCTGGGTCACACTCCTGGGAGCCAAACCTGGGTGGGATTCTGTCTCTACCCCACATCAGCTGTAAGATTTGGGGCAGGGCGCAGAACCCCCTGAGCACGTGGGAAACTGATCACCACGTGGGGGATGTTTGTTAGAGAGATTCAGTGGGTGATGTGGGGGCAGAAGGAGGCCCCTAGAGCAGAGTATGGCATCTGTTCTGAATGCCGATATGGCGTTGGGGGGACAGCACCCTGGCGGCCTGCAGCACCCTCTGTGAACAGGGAAGGCTGGAAGGAAGGGGTGGGTCCCCCTGACAGGTAGGGGCTGCTGGATGGTCCCACTTTGCCCGCCCGGTCTCTTCCTACACTATGGTTCTCACTGATGTTCCCTGGGCAGACAACTCAGGATGAGCCTCTGTGAGTGCTGGACTTGTGTTCCATCCAGCTCCTCCCCAAGAGAGGGGCAGGGGCTGGTGCCCCAAAGCACCAGCACCCCACATGGACTGGCACATTTTGAAAGATATAACACAAAGAACTTCCATTATAATCGCTGCCCAGGCGACCATTCTCAACGCGTACATTATTTGTTAAAGTAATTTTTAAAGCCTCAAAGTCATGAGTCCAGAACTTGCAGATCTGAACACCAACATCATTGACCAATAACAGCAACCGCTGAAGATAAAAAGCCAGGCCGCCCCGGACAGTGAGCCCCACATGTCTGAGTCACACGTGTCCGTCTTCCATTTGAAGGAGGCCTTTGAAAAGACAGCAGTTCATTCTTTAAAGTCTGGCTTTAAATTCAACTTTAATGAAGCGGCCCTGATGGGCTTACAAGGAGCTGACACTGGACACGCCAGGCTCCTGGGCCAAGCGGCTGACACTAGCAGACCTCTGTCCACCTCGGGTTCTCCCACCTGCCGGAGTTCCCGCAGGAGCCAGTCCATCCAGGAAGCAGGGCCTCCCAGCTCCTCAGGAACATCGCTCCCCGATGCTGCCTAAACAGGTGCATCTCAGCCCAGCAGGCTCCCTTGGCGCATGGTGGACACGGTGCTGCATTGACAGGATTTGGGCAGAGGAGACGTAACTTAGCTCGGACCTAAGTAACAATGCCGACCGCCTGCGCCCACGGCGCCCAGGCACCGATGCTCCCAGGAGAGGGAAGGGGGGAGCGGCAGATCCAGGGACTCGAACCCCAGGCAGGTCTGAAGGGCTTCACAGGACATGATTTTTCAGACCCAAGAGAAACGAGGAATAATAGAGTCACTTGCCTTTTTCTTGAAACGTCGGAATTATTTGATGTGACTTGTGTAACTTGGAAAGTATGACATAAACCTAGGTATGAAAGTTAAGGAGCGATGTCACTCCTCCAGTTGAGCAATGGCCTGACGTGGCTGGAGGGGCGTACCGTGGCAGGGAAACCAGGAGCACGCTGTTTGTTAGCCACAGAGCAGCCACGCAGGCAGGGCTCCATCCGGGAGGCAGAGCCACTAGGAGTCCCGTGAAATCAGGGATTTTCTGAGCAGGGCCTTCTGCTGTGCAGCAAGGGTTGGGGGGTAGCGTGGGGAGCTGGGGAAGGGACCACTGCCTCCACGTCTCTGAGCCAGTAGGGTGGATGGGCGGGGGTCAGGAGGGACCTGGACACAAAGCAAGGACACCGCGGGATGCAGGAGACATGCCAGTCCCGTCCTCCAGGGACCCCTGCGTCCGCCCACCCGGGCCAAGAGAGGATGCCCCGCGCACGCAGCCTTCCCAGCACAGCAGCTGCCACCTGCCTCGGCTCCCTTTAGCCTCCCAAACCTTGTGCAAAGTCCACCTTGGCCAGCTGGACCCAGAGCTGCACGGGGGCCACGGTCTGGGGCCCGCGTCCCAGCCCGGCTGAGCTGACCAGCTGTGTGGCCTCGTGCCACCTACCTCGCCTCTGAGCCGGTCTTGCCCTTTGGGGACATGGAGGTTACCCTGACTGCTGTGCAACTTCACTGAAGGAGCCGCCTGAGCGGAGCATGACCCAGGAGCGTGCAGGCCACGGGGAATGGCGCCTGGACAGGCCTGGACTGTGGGCAACACCACGCTCGTCATCATCCATATTTGGATGTGGTCGGCATTAGTACCTGTCCAGTCAATTACGACACCGGCCCTTTTCTTCCCCGCAACCGGCCCACTGCAGCCACGCCGGGAGCTACGGGGAGCACATCCCATCCCGCGACCGCATCTCCCGCTCCGTCAATCCCGCGCGTCCCCTGCGCCGTCAGTCCCGAGACCGCGTCCCCCGCACCGGCAAGGCTGTCCCTCCCGCAAACCCCTGGCTTCACCACGTTTGCCCTGGGGCTGCCCCGTGGATGATCCACCACGTGGTGCTGCCTTTTCAGTGCACCAGAGAGCTGCTTCAGGGCCCTGCGGGAGATCCAGCACTGCCTTCTTGTGCGCGGTGTCTCGGGCGTCAGGGGCGGAGCCTGGTTCATTCGCGGGGCCCCAGGTTAAGTTCAGCAGCTGGGGCTCTTTTCAAAGGTCTCTGAAATCACCTGTTTGTAGAGCAAGTGGGCTTTGAGCAATTATTTCCCTTGTTCTTCAAAAGCTGTTTTGCAAGGCTAGGTTTTTAAATTGCAATAATAATTTATTTAGGGGGTGGGGGAGGTTTAAAAAAAAAAACTTGTATCTTGTGAGCCACAGAGCATACCAGTCGAACAACAGGTGAAAGACGCACGGCTTCGAGATAGAAAAGATCCTCATAGCCCGCTAACTGCCAAGTGCTTGCATCTTAACACCTCCCGCCTTCCCCGACTGGAAGACCTTCCTCTGCCCGTATCCAAAGTTCCCTGGGGTCCTGCCCAGTTGCCCCGGCCCTGCCCGCGCCTGCCGGGGTCCTCCTTGTCCCCACCGGCCGCCGAGAGCTCCAGCACTCCTGCCTCAGTCGGAGGGTGAGCTGGGCCTGCGGCGTGGAGCATGTCTCTCTGCTCTCCCGCTCTGCCTTCCAGGCCTGGCTTCTGTGTCGCTGCCATAGGAGGCGGCTCAGTGCTCCTCCTCCGTGGGCCACTTCTGCTGTGGGTTCCTCGACGGTCTCTGCCTGCACGGTGCAGACTCAGCCTTCACCCATGGCCAATTCTGCTGTGGGTTCCTCGACGGTCTCTGCCTGCACGGTGCAGCCTCAGCTGCAAGGCTAGGTTTTTCTATGTCGTAACAATAATGATCTCTTTAGGGGGTGGGGGAGGTTTTAAAAAAAAACTTTTATCTTGTGAGCCGCATAGCATACCATAGTCCATCCACTGCCCGTTTGCTTTTCTGGCAGGGGTCCACCCCACACGGCGGCTCCTGGCCCCACATCCCTGACTTCGGCCCGTCCCTCACGCGTGGCCCTGCATGTTCCAGGCTCCGTCCATGTTTCGCAGAAAGACTTTTTCTTCTTCATGTGCTTAAGTGACCAGCGCTCCCATCCGCACAACCCTGGCTGAGGAATAATGACATGGAAAGCGACGTCCTCTTTCCCCTGAGCAGTTTCTCGTCTATCAGGAACAGGGTTTTTTTTTTTTTTTCCTCCCTTCTCCTGACATAGTCACCCATAAATGGTTTGGCCTTAATTCCTATGAAGGTAAGGACACTGCTGATGTTCCTTGAGTCCCCACGCTAGCAGCTTCTCATGCCTTTCCCTGCTAAGCTCCGTGCTGTATTGCTTCCATTGCGCAGTGAGAGCAGCGCAGGCGCAGATACTGCTACTCCACAAAACAGGAGGCTGAGCTTTAGAAGGTTAAAGGCTGGGCGCAGTGGCTCACACCTGTAATCCCAGCACTTTGGGAGGCTGAGGTGGGCAGCTGAGACCAACCTGGCCAACATGGTGCAACCCGTCTCTATTAAAAATACAAAAATTAGCTGGGCGTGGTGACGGACACCTGTAATCCCAGGTACTTCGGGAGGCTGAGGCAGGAGAATCACTTCAACCTGAGAGGCAGAGGCTGCAGTGAGCCGAGATCGCGCCACTGCACTCCAGCCTGGGCGACAGATCCTGTCTCAAAAAAAAAAAAAATTAATTAAAAGATTAAAAAATTTGCCCTGGTTTACCCAGATAATAAATTACAGAGCCGAGATCCTAACCTAGAACTTCATTATTCACTCATTCATGGAAACTCTTTTGGAAGTGCCACTCTTCCAGATAATTCCACTTAAAAACACATACACGTAATTCTTTGATTGTAAAGAAGTCTGGTCTTTCTGGCATTTCCTACTGTTTTTCACAAGTATATTTTTGGTTAAAACTATTTTTGTGCAGTGGTACAAATCCTACCCATAAAATGTCAGGGTAGTCAGATGCCAAGTAAACCACTGCAGCATTTACCTACACAATGCCAGCCCCGCCCAGCCCTGGCTGGGAACCTGGGTGCTGGACGCTGCCGTGGGAAGGGCCTGTGACCAATGGGAAATGCTCGCATTCTTCTTTTTTTCAAATTTATTTTAGAATCGGGGGTACGTGTGCAGGTTTGCTTCCTGGGTGTATTGCATGATGCTGAGGTTTGGAGTAAGAATGGATCCGTCTCCAGGCAGTGAGCATAGTAGCCAAGGGGTGGTTTTTTTTCACTCCTTCCCTCTCCCCTTCCTACCCCCTCCCTCTGGGGGTCCCCAGTGTCTGTCATTCCCATCTTTGTGTCCATGGGTACCCAGTGCTTACCTCCCACTCATAAGTGAGAACATGTGGCATTTGGTTTTCTGTTTCTGCATTAGCTTGCTTAGGATCATGGCCTCCAGCTGCACCCATGTTGCTGCAAAAGACATGATTTCATTCTTTTTATGGTTGCATAGTATTCCACGGTGTATATGGACCACATTTTCTTATAATCAAATGAGGATGACTCAACTTCTCAAACCCCCCCGTGAAGACACAGCTGTAAACATGAACCTGCCCTAGAAGTTCGATGAACTTCTCAAGAAAGGCTGAAATACTCCCATTCGTACCCAGGACTAAATTGTAATTTTTAAAATAACAAACATCATCAGAAGCTACTGTTTGGAATTACAGATTTTCTCAACATTTGGCACAGTACTGGGTTTCTGGGTAGTTTTTGTCTTTGACAGCTTGAATAGTCTAAACATCTCAATATTTACATATTTACATCTTTCATAAAGATTTTTAAGAGTAAAATTATAATATTGTCTGGGTGTGGTGGCTCACGCCTGTAATCCCAGCGCTTTGGGAGGCCAAGGCAGGCAGATTGCTGAGCCCAGGAGTTTGAGACCAGCCTGGGCAACATGGAGAAACCCTGTCTCTACAAAAATTATAAAAATTAGCCGGGCGTGGCAGCGCACACCCATAGTCCCAGCTCCTCAGGAGGCTGAGGTGGGAGGATGGCTTGAGCCCAGGGAAGGTGAGGCTTCAGTGATCCCAGACTGCACCACTGCACTCCAGCCTGGGCGACAGAGTGAGACTCTGTCTCAAACAACAACAACAAAAGCATTATAATCTAAGTTCTTCCTCCCCTTGAAGCACACCCCGCTGCAGAGTGTTCATGAAGCACCTTCCTTTCTCTGCAGCTCCAGTGTTTACGCCACCTTTTACCTGAAATGACCAACTTGACGTGGCATCCCAATAACTACAAAGAAAACTAACTACAAAGAAAACACGCATGCCAAGTAGGGCTGGGGGCACCCCGTGAACTTCAGTAAAACACAAAGATCCCTTGAGAAGGGCCCCCCCAGACTGGGCACCTTTCCAGCCGGAGCCTCGGCCTCCTCCAAAGGTGGTGATGAAGCCACCCTGGCAGAGTTGCAGAGGGAGTCCCGTGAGTGCAGTGGGTGCAGAGAATGGAAGGCCACTGTCACTGTCACCTCTGACACAGCCAAGGGGGGACAGGGGCTGGTCTAGGTTGATGTCTGCCCACGGTCCCACACCGCCTCCTCCCGGTTTTCTTTCTAGAACTCAGTGCTTGGACCACCCTGTTTGGTGGAAGCCGAGTGTCGGGGCATGTCCGCCTGCCCCCAGCTCAGAGCACTGCCACTGCTTTGCTAGACAGGCCCATGCTGGAGAAGCACCAGGTAACGTGGCTCAGTGTCCTGACGGCTCGTGAGTCCACAGGAGCAGCAGCACAGGCCACATTCCCCACACGGACTCAGCCTCCAGGCCTGAGTTTGCTTCTCCCAGGACTCAGGCCCCACAGGCTTCCTCGGGAAGGGCCCGCACCAGGCCCTGCTCTTCCTGAGCCCACAGTGGACGATTGTTTTCACACCCCAACTCCTCGGAGTTGCAGCTCCTTCCTGGGTTGCCACAGATCCCAGCCACAACGCCTGGTCCTCCCAGCCTCTCACCAGCACCCACTTCAGATAGGGGAGCGGGGAACCAGAGACCAAGGCCTCCCAAGGATGGGGTCAGCTGGTGCCAGGATGAGGAGGGAGCAAGATGCTGGGCCTGGTGGCAGGTGTGGGCGTGATGCCTGGACAGCAGCCATGGCCGCGGATGGGGGTGCTGTGCTAGGTGGCTTTGGTTCTTGCCTGGCAAGGAACCGGTGGGGGATGGGGAGGTGGGCAGGGCACGGTTGCAGATGCCAGGAGAGCAGGGACCTGCAGCCATGCACGCATGCCACGATCTGGGAAGCGTTAGGGCAGGTGTGGGGCCTGGCACATGGTAGAGAACGGAGGGGAGGCGTTAAGGCAGGTGTGGGGCCTGGCACATGGTAGAGAACGGAGGGGAGGCGTTAAGGCAGGTGTGGGGCCTGGCACGTGGTAGAGAACGGAGCTTCGACTAGAAACATGGACATTTTCAGAGGTGGGGGTGTTGGAGGAAGGGTCACTGCCATGCTGTGAGCTGCGGCCCAGACGGAGGCCACTAGGGCTGGAGTGAGGCCCAGACGGGAGGAGAAGCAGTGGTGGCTGGTGCCTGTGCTGGTCACTTTGTAATGGGCTTTGTGTCTGGGGCTGTGTTCTGATAGCACAGGAGGCTGGCAGGAAGGGAAAAGCTTGCACCAAACTGCACTTCCTATTGTAAGTTCTCAACTTTCCCGATGAAGGGTCTGTGGGAACCACACCCCACAGCACAGTTCCTCTGTGGGGTCCAGTGGGCATCGGCCAGGGAACAGCACCGTCTCCTCCCACAGCACAGCAGACATGCCTGGCACATGGCACTGCCCGGGGGACAGAAGCCCACTGCGCGGGGTGTGGGTTCCGACGTCAGCAGAGGGAGGCGTTTAGGATTTGAGCAGAGACATAAGTGTCAGTAGCTTCACTGTCCTTGCCCCCTGCACGCAGGCCTGGAGAGGGTGCCTGTGCCGACACCCCGCCTTTCCTCCCAGTTAGTTCCTGCCCCTTGGAGAACAGCCACACCACAGAAATCCATCTCCTGACCGTCTGTTATCAGCACTGCCGGCCATGGCAAAACCATCTGGTCACTGACTGTCTGGGCTTCCAGCAGGAGTGGGTGCTGCCAGATGTTTGTCATAAGCCCTGAACCCTTCTGAAAGGCGGCGTGGCTGCTGCGAGGGTCTGTCCCACGGCTGTTCCTTGTCTTGGCGGCCCTCGCCATCCCTGAGATGGAGCTGGCCATCTCTAATCACAGATTTCCAGAGTCAGTGGTTTGCTGCCTTTGATGGGTGTCCTCTGTTCTAAAAGATGAAAATATGGATGCTGGACTCCAGGTAGGAGAGGAAGCTGCAATCAGGGCAGGAAGACGGAAACAGAGAGGGTGGCCTCTGTACCTGGAGGTGGGCTGTAGGTTAGGTGGGAGCTTGTGGCTGGGGAGAGGATCAGATTTGATAAGACGAGGATGGGCTTTCGGGTGAAGAAGCCAGCTGGAAACAGGGAAGCAGAAGAGAGAGTGCGCGTTGACCCTGAGGCCAGCACAAAAGGGCGACAGCCACACCGCGCACCAGTCGCCCAGCTCGACCCCAGGGGAGCTCTGGCCTGGGCTGCCCAGGAAGGGAGACTGGACGAGGGCACGTGCTCGCCCAGAGCACAGCTGCAGACCCATCCTGAAGCCTGCCCCCTCTGGGGCTCTCAGAGGATGGGAAGCTGTGGCTGTGCCTTCCCTGGGATGCAAAGTCAGGTCATGTTCGGACAAGTCACCATGTTGTTGAGGCAGCACTTACGACGTTCCCCGCTACATCCGTGATGGCCGACCTGTCTTAGCCGCCCTGGCCACTCGGTGCCCCCACCCTGGAGAAAACCCAGCCGAGCCAGGCCAGAGCTGCAGACACAGCAGGCAGGTGGGCTCTGAAGAGCCCCTCGTGAGTGCGTGTGGAGGAGCCTGGGGTTTGGGGTGCAGGAGCTCGTGGATCCTGCTTGGGAGCTTGCAGCCTGAAGACCAGAGCTTTTCTGAGCATATCTACCCTCAGGGGTCAAGAAATCGGAATGGGAGTCTCGCAAGGCCGGGCTGTCCAGGGCAACTGCAAGTCCCACTTGGCTGCAAAGTCCCATGTCTATGGAAGCATCTGCCCATAGCGAAAAGCGGAGATGTGTTCACGGTGGTCTCTGTCCTTCCCCCTTTCCATCCCTCCCTCCCTCCCTCCTCTCTCTTTAGAAGGCCTGTGTTAGATGTGTTTCCTCATCCCGTAGGAATGGTCCCCTCGGTCTTGGTGAACATGAAACAAAGGGTGCGGGCAGTTGGGATTCTGTGCGCGCGGCTCCATCAGCCTTGATTAAGTTCTCCAAGTGATGTCGGGCTTTCCACCGCGTGTCAGCGGTGCAGAGTAACCTCAATTAAACAGTCATTTGAGGGAGAGAGAAGGGAAAACGCCTTCCAAACAATGATCTCGTGTGTCTTAGCAACAGCCAAGCTTCACCTTCTCAAAGACCCTCCCACGCCGAGGACAGAGACACCTCCCGAGCGAGCGCACTCCGTGGGCGCTGGAGAGCAGGCACTCAGCCACTCCTGCGAGCTGCCGGCTTTCCCTGCACACGCTCAGCCTCTTGATGCCTGGGTGCTAAATTACATCTGACATTTAATTTAAATGCATGGTGCCTTCATTCAAAAATAAACCCGCTGCCACAGCCAGGGCGTTCGCCGCATGGATTTTTTTCTTTCCACCTGCTCTCCCTCGCTGACCCCATCCTCACTTTGTCCAGTGCGCGCAAACTGGAATTGAGCCTGTCTCTCTCCTCGGGATATTGCCTTGTGCCCCCCATCCACGAGCTTCCCTTCACATGTCAGCATGTCTCCAGTTGCAATTTATAACCGAGAAAGAAATCAATCCCTTGGTCCTGCGGCTGCAGGTCCCCCCAGCCTACTACTGGGCGTCGGGAGCCTCCTCGGCCCCACAGCTCACAGCAGCTCCCCGCCAGGATCTGGGAGGTTTTCCCAGAGTTGGGCAGGACGCTCACTGGTGAGGAGGCTCTTTAGAGCCCACGGTCGAGTAGCCCTTTCTAGAGAAGCTAAAGATGCGGCCAGAAGGTTCCACGGCCTACCAGCGAGCCCTGGCTCGTCCAGGAAGATCGGCCGATGGTGCCGAGCTGGCCCACCCCAGAATGCAGCTGCACCCTGCTCCAATGCCACGGTGTCTCTGGGAGGCAAACCCTGAGGAAGCCATCTCAGGCGGGCTTTACACCCTTCCTTCCAGCTGTTTCCGAACCCACTGAGGAGCTGAACGCTGCGGTACATTTAAGAATTTCTCTCTCAACAGCTCACTGGGTACTCGACACTGGAGCCGGAGGGAGAGGACAACTGAAAGCCTCAGGAGTTTGACATTTTGAACTTTTGCCAAAACCTATTTCCAAAATAAACTGGAGACACTCCAAGAAATGCCAGATACAACTGCCATCCTCGGGCCAGCCTTCCTAGCTTGCAAGAACTGTTCACTCAGATATTGGCAGGGGGTCCCTGGGGCTGGGTCTCCAGCAGCTCCATGTTACCTGCCACTTCCTGCCTCTCATAGGTGCGGAGGAAGCAGCTCACCTGGGTGGCATCTTGCTGCTTCCCCAAGGAGCTGGCAGCAGGCTGGGACATTCCTGTGCAGTAGTAGCAGCTCATCCTCTACGCCTCACTCCCTACATCCGGCCAGCCTCATTGCCGTGGGGGAAGCCAAGACCCAGAGATTTGATTGTTTTGATCGTTTGGCCAAAACCACACAACAAGAAACAAGAGAAAGAACATTGGTAGGGCTGCTTCCAAAACTCATCCTTTTTTCTCTAAATCGAGCATTCTCTAAAAGATGATATAATAAAAATTATGAACAACAAGCAACCAACCAGTAAAATACACATTACGAAGAAGGATCAGGACCACGTGCTATGTTGCAGGCCTGAGTATGCATGCCAAGCAGAAGGGCCACAAGCAAAAGAGCCCTCAGAATCCCCTGGGGAGCCCACAGCACAGAGAAGCAGGCCTCAGAGTCACCCGAACAGTCTACAGCTCAGGGACACAGGCCTCAGAATCACGTGAACAGCCCACAGCTCGGGGACACAGGCCTCAGAATCACCCGGACACCCCACAGCTCAGAGATGCAGGCCTCAGAATCACCCAGACACCCCACAGCGCAGGGACACAGGCCTCAGAATCACCTCAACAGCCCACAGCTCAGGGACGCAGGCCTCAAAATCACCCAGGCACCCCACAGCTGAGGGACGCAGGCCTCAGAATCACCCACACACCCCGCAGCTCAGGGACGCAGGCCTCAGAATCACCCGGGCAGCTCACAGCTCAGGGACACAGGCCTCAGAATCACCCTGACACCCCGCAGCTCAGGGACGCAGGCCTCAGAATCACCCGGACACCCCACAGCTCAGAGACACAGGCCGCAGAATCACTCAGACACCCCACAGCTCACAGCCGCAGGCTTCAGAATCACCCAGACACCCCGCAGCTCAGGGACACAGGCCTCAGAATCACCTCAACAGCCCGCAGCTCAGGGACGCAGGCCTCAGAATCACCCAGACAACCCACAGCTCAGGGACACAGGCCACAGAATCACCTCAACAGCCTGTAGCTCAGGGACGCAGGCCTCAGAATCACCCGGACACCCCACAGCTCAGGGACACAGGCCACAGAATCACCTCAACAGCCTGTAGCTCAGGGACGCAGGCCTCAGAATCACCCAGACACCCCGCACCTCAGGGACGCAGGCCTCAGAATCACCCGGGCAGTTCACAGCTCAGGGACGCACGCCTCAGAATCACCTCAACAGCCCACAGCTCAGGGACGCAGGCCTCAGAATCACCCGGACAGCCCAGAGCTCAGGGACACAGGCCTCAGAATCACCTCAACAGCCCACAGCTCAGGGACGCAGGCCTCAGAATCACCTCAACAGCCCACAGCTCAGGGACGCAGGCCTCAGAATCACCCGGACAGCCCACAGCTCAGGGACGCAGGCCTCAGAATCACCTCAACAGCCCACAGCTCAGGGACGCAGGCCTCAGAATCACCCGGACAGCCCAGAGCTCAGGGACACAGGCCTCAGAATCACCTCAACAGCCCACAGCTCAGGGACGCAGGCCTCAGAATCACCTCAACAGCCCACAGCTCAGGGACGCAGGCCTCAGAATCACCCGGACAGCCCACAGCTCAGGGACACAGGCCTCAGAATCACCTCAACAGCCCACAGCTCAGGGACGCAGGCCTCAGAATCACCTCAACAGCCCACAGCTCAGGGACGCAGGCCTCAGAATCACCCGGACAGCCCACAGCTCAGGGACGCAGGCCTCAGAATCACCTCAACAGCCCACAGCTCATAGACGCAGGCCTCACAATCACCTGAACAGCCCACAGCTCAGGGACGCAGGCATCAGAATCACGTCAACAGCCCACAGCTCAGGGACGCAGACCTCAGAATCACCCAGACACCCCAGAGCTCAGGGACGCAGGCCTCAGAATCACCCGGACACCCCACAGCTCAGAGACGCAGACCTAAGAATCACCCAGACACTCCGCAGCTCAGGGACGCAGGCCTCAGAATCACCCAGACACCCCACAGCTCAGGGACACAGGCCTCAGAATTACCGAGAAACCCCGCAGCTCAGGGACGCAGGCCTCAAAATCACCCAGGCAGCTCACAGCTCAGGGACGCAGGCCTCAGAATTGCCCGGACACCCCTCTGCTCAGAGATGCAGGCCTCAGAATCCCCCAGACACCCCACAGCTCAGGGACGCAGGCCTCAGAATCACCCGGGCAGCTCCTACCTCAGGGACGCAGGCCTCAGAATTACCTCAACAGCTCACAGCTCAGGGACGCAGGCCTCAGAATCTCCCAGACACCCTACAGCTCAGAGACGCAGGGGTCAGAATCACCCAGACACCAGACAGCTCAGGGACGCAGGCCTCAGAATCACCTCAACAGCCCACAGCTGAGAGACGCAGGCCTCAGAATCACCCGGACAGCCCAGAGCTCAGGGACGCAGGCCTCAGAATCACCCGGACACCCCACAGCTCAGAGACGCAGGCCTCAGAATCACCTCAACAGCCTGCAGCTCAGGGACACAGGCCTCACAATCGCCCGGACACCCCACACCTCAGGGACGCAGGCCTCAGAATCACCCGGACACCCCACAGCTCAGGGACGCAGGCCTCAGAATCACCCGGACAGCCCAAAGCTCAGGGACGCAGGCCTCAGAATCACCTCAACAGCCCACAGCTCAGGGACGCAGGCCTCAGAATCACCCGGACAGCCCAGAGCTCAGAGATGCAGGCCTCAGAATCACCTCAACAGCCCACAGCTGAGAGACGCAGGCCTCAGAATCACCTCAACAGCCCACAGCTCAGGGACGCAGGCCTCAGAATCACCCGCACACCCCACAGCTCAGAGACGCAGGCCTCAGAATCACCCGGACACCCCACAGCTCAGAGACGCAGGCCTCAGAATCACCTCAACAGCCCACAGCTCAGGGACGCAGGCCTCAGAATCACCCGCACACCCCACAGCTCAGGGACGCAGGCCTCAGAATCACGCGGACACCCCACAGCTCAGGGACGCAGGCCTCAGAATCACCCGGACAGCCCAAAGCTCAGGGACGCAGGCCTCAGAATCACCTCAACAGCCCACAGCTCAGGGACGCAGGCCTCAGAATCACCCGGACACCCCACAGCTCAGGGACGCAGGCCTCAGAATCACCCGGACACCCCACAGCTCAGAGACGCAGGCCTCAGAATCACCCGGACACCCCACAGCTCAGAGACGCAGGCCTCAGAATCACCTCAACAGCCCACAGCTCAGGGACGCAGGCCTCAGAATCACCCGCACACCCCACAGCTCAGGGACGCAGGCCTCAGAATCACCTCAACAGCCCACAGCTCAGGGACACAGGCCTCAGAATCGCCTCAACAGCCCACAGCTCAGAGATGCAGGCCTCAGAATCACCCGGACACCCCACAGCTCAGGGACGCAGGCCTCAGAATCACCTCAACAGCCCACAGCTCAGGGACACAGGCCTCAGAATCGCCTCAACAGCCCACAGCTGAGAGACGCAGGCCTCAGAATCACCCGGACAGCCCAGAGCTCAGGGACGCAGGCCTCAGAATCACCTCAACAGCCCACAGCTCAGGGACACAGGCCTCAGAATCACCTCAACTGCCCGCAGCTCAGGGATGCAGGCCTCAACACATGCGGATTCCCACACTGCCTCACCATCCCCCTCAACTGCTCAGCAGACCAGGCAGCTGAACGGAAGAGATCTGCCTTTAATGGGCATCTTCTGCTCTAGAAACTGCTGAGGACTGTGGGTGCAGGGCAGTCCCGTGATCTCCATACTCAGGGCCCCGTGAAGACTGTGGGGTGTATAGAGGCCCGTGATCTCTATGCTGTTGGCACCGTGAGGACTGTGGGGTGTATGGAGGCCCGTGATCTCCACGCCCTTGGCCCCGTGAGGACTGTGGGGTGTAGGGAGTCCCGTGATCACACTCAGGGCCCCGTGTGGACTGTGGGGTGCAGGGAGTCCCGTGATCTCCTTGCTCAGGGCCCCGTGAGTACTGTAGGGTGTAGGGAGTCCCGTGATCTCCACACTCAGGGCTCCGTGTGGACTGTGGGGTGCGGGGAGTCCCGTGATCTCCTTGCTCAGGGCCCCGTGAGGACTGTGGGTTGTAGGGAATCCCATGATCTCCTTGCTCAGGGCCCCGTGAGGACTGTAGGGTCTAGGGGAGGCCCATGATCTCCATGCTCTTGGCCCCATGTGGACTGTGGAGTGTAGGGAGGCCCATGATCTCCATGCTCAGGGTCCCATGAGGACTGTGGGGTCTAGGGGAGGCCCGTGATCTTCATGCTCAGGGTCCCATGAGGACTGTGGGGTGTAGGGAGGCCCATGATCTCCATGCTCTTGGCCCTGTGAGGACTGTGGGGTGTAGGGAGGACTGTGGGGTGTAGGGAGTCCTGTGATCTCCACACTCAGGGCCCTGTGAGGACTGTGGGGTGCAGGGAGTCCTGTGATCTCCACACTCAGGGCCCTGTGAGGACTGTGGGGTGCAGGGGAGGCCTGTGATCTCCACACTCAAGGCCCTGTATGGACTATGGTGTGTAGGGAGTCCTGTGATCTCCATGTTTGTGGCGTGCGTGCTGAGTGCATCCTGCAGCCAGAGAAGGAGCTTTGTGATGGTCAAATCAGGGCGTGCGTCAAACATGTTAGGTTTCATTTACCGACTGCCTGGAAATGGGTAGGAACCAGATCGTTGGGTGGTCTTTGCTGCTGTATCAGCTTCCTCTTGGGTGAGCGTTTTGCTTTATCCACACGGTTCTGGAGCCTACAAAAGATGCTGACATTTGAGAGCAAAGCAGCGGCCTCCAGCCTGCCCTGCAGATGCTGGCACCCTCACTCAGCCTCTGCCCAGTGTCCCAGACGTTTTGGGGAGATAAATATCAGGACTGAGGTGCAAATGGAGGGGAGAAGAGAGGTGAGCATTGTCGGAGGAGCCCAGCATTGTGCAGCCTGCCCTCTCCCCCAGCCTGCCTCCCTGAGCCTGCCCTGTCCCTGAGCCTGCCTCCCACAGCCTGTCCTCTCCCCCAACCTGCCTCCCGCAGCCTGTCCTCTCCCCCATGCCTGCCTCCCGCAGACCACCCCCGGCTCTCAGCCTTGCGTTCGTCTGGAGCAATGTTTACAGTGAGAGGGTGGACGAGTCCGTGCAGAAGCTTCTCATCCAGCAGATCACTGGCTGGATCTGTGATGACCTGGGCTGAGACATACACAGAAGGACCTGGGCAGGGCCCCAGGAGCTCTAGGGTCTGCCCAGGGGCCACCGTTGCTGACTGTACGAGCTCCACCTCTTTCATCCTCATTTCTTCCCCTGAGAAATGCTGGGGTGGCCACTCCTGGAGCTGTCTCGGTCTATAAATCTTAGCTCCGTGCAAGGGGAGCATCGTGACCCAACCCAGATGCGGTGGCATAGGGACTCAGAGGCGCCTCTCAGACACCCGTAGTCCTCGTAAGGAAGGTGCCGCCTGGAAGGGGACCCACATTTCATGGAGGCAGAAGTGAGGGGTGGTGGGGAGTGAGGTGACACGCCTCAGGGCCCCTCAGAGATGCCGGGGGACTGGGGTGCGGCTGAAGTGAACACCCAGGGGCTGAGGGAAGCCCCGAGTCGTTTGGTAAGAGGCCTTTGAACCCATTCTGTTGCTTTTTCATCAGCCTGGATGTGCCTGAGTGATGAGGACAGTGGGGATCTGTGGCTTCCCCTCCACCTCACTCAGTGTCCACCAGGCAGACAGACCTGTCCTTGGGGGCCCTTCCACATCCTCCGTCTTCTGCACACGTTCTGATGGTACTGAAGTGCCTCACACATTTAAACATGAAAACAGCAGACTCTTACTACTTTCTAAAATTCAAAAGCAGACCCAATCTCATATCTTAAATTGAGGTTCTAGATGGCTACTATATTATACCTCTATTTGTGTTTTAAACCAAGAATTATTTTAAATTTTTTAATATTAAAATGGAATTCTGAGCATGCTCACCAGAGCCATTTATTCTTCCCAGAGCAGATTCCATCGTTGTGTAATGGACGGCACATCACGGCCCGATGCTGGGATGGGAGGCTTGGGTCTGTTGAACGGGCGCCAGGTCGGGTCCCCAGTTCCTATCACCTTAGGTGACGTTCCAGCCTCTTCCACTTGTTTGAGTTTCAGGCTCCTTGAATCTCCTTCGATGTCTGGGAGAGCTGCTGTGTTCACCCCGTTGAGGCCAGCTGACCCCCAGCCCACCCCAGCATCACGGCTTCTGTGCCCTCCATGCCTGGACCACCTCGCGCCCGCTTGTTTACGCTCTGATTCCTCCATGGTCTTGCTGTACCCAGTAACCTAGCACGTAGTAGCACCTCAGGAAACATGTGTTGAATTAGGACTTCCCATAAAAACAGAAAGCATGAAGGGGATCCAGATGGTGTCAAGCATTAGCTCTTCTAAGCTGCGTCAGAGTCGTGCCCCGGAGCACGTCTCCTGCAGCAGCATCGCCCCGTCACGGCACCGCCTCACAGCTCCCACCACGACACATGCAACGTGCAAAGAGGACACAGGGAGCTGCGACTTCCGTGGCTGGTGGCAAAGAAATGGGGCAGCACTTTCACAGCCATGCCAGGAACCTAATTCAGCCAACCTGGAAATAACTATCCCAGCCACGGCCTTGCCAGAAGCCCAGCTCAGCCAACCTGGAGATTGTTATCCCAGCCACAGCCTTGCCGAGAGCCCAACTCAGCCAACCCAGAGATAGCTATCCCAGCCACGGACTTGCCAGAAGCCCAGCTCAGCCAACCTGGAGATCGTTACCCCAGCCATGGCCTTGCCAGGAACCTAACTCAGCCAACCCGGAGATAGCTATCCCAGCCATGGCTTGCCAGGAGCCCAACTCAGCCAACCTGGAGATAGCTATCCCAGCCATGGCTTGCCAGGAGCCCAACTCAGCCAACCTGGAAATTGTTATCCCAGCCACAAGTGTGGGTCCCACTTAAATGGAGGAAGGATGAGTCACAAAAGCAGGGTAATGTGGCCTATCCCGTGCCTGTATCGCTGGCAGGTGGGAAGCCTAATTCTTAGGCCCTAAGCATAGCCCGCCGCACCGATTGCAGGCTGGTCCCACCGTGAGCAGACAGCACTCCTGGCTCCACTCCACAGCTTAGCCAGGAGGATTCAGGCAGGTCCAAGCCCATTACCAGACCTCGCTGTGGAAGGCGGCTGACATTCGAACCCACTGGATGGGCATCTAAGTCTCTGACCTTTGCTGATGGTCGGTTCCCAGAGCTGCCTCCCCTGCCCTCACCCCAAGAGACCTCCTGACCTGTGAGTATCTCTAGAACTCTCCAGAAGTCAGATGCAGGGAGCTGCCCAGGCTCAGTGAGTGGTCCGTTCATTACAAGGTTCTCTCCACCACAGATAACACAAGCACAGCCTGGCTCAGTGAGTGGTCCATTCATTACAAGGTTCTCTTCACCACAGATAACACAAGCACAGCCTTAGCACAGAGCATTGGGTTGGATCATGCATCACGTTCATGCAATACCGAAGCATTTTCAAGACAGATTAAACTGAGTAGTGGGATGGTCCTCTTCCTTGGCTACTTATGAGTATTTAATATCAATACTTTGGAATTACAAGCAAAAGGTATTAGGAAGAAGAAACTAAGCTCCAAGTTGGTATCATCTCACTGAGACTGTGTCTTTCTGCCCAATGTGTCAAGCTCATGAATAAAAGATCAAGAGGACAGTTAAGGGGTTATGTGAGGAGTTCAAAGCTCAAACAAAGAACAGCAACAGACAGCAGACACACATCTTGAGATGGAGTTGGTGCTGCTCAGGCGAACAGTCCCCCACCCTAGATTCTGGGTGTGCTTGGAGCTTCTCACCCTCGTGGGGTACACGCATCTGCAGATGGCTTCACCTCCAAAATGCTGCCCTGCCATCCACATTCATCGTTTACTCCAGCAATCAGCAAACCTAGATACCCACTTCTGGAAAAAAAAAAAAAAACAGAAGTCAGCTCATCAAGTAGTCTCTCTGTACCTCTAAAACTGTTCAATGAATAAATACCCTCACAATCTCAAAGGAATATTTTCTGTCCTACTTGTATCCAAGTAACTGAATTTACTTCCTTCTTCCTTTTCAAAAATCTCTGGAGACTGCCCCGTCTAAATACAGTTAAGTAGCTGGTTACCCCAGTCACCTGTTTAAAAACATCTGGAGACTGCCCATCTAAATACAGGTAAATAACGCGTTACCCCAGTCACCTGTTCTCCATCTACATATGCAAAAGCCCTCGATAACTTTGGCCCTTTTGATGCTCAAATCAGTGACCACATTCACATGAGTTACAGGTGATTGGAAAAAGCCTAGTTGTAAGCATTGAGCACACTCAGTCACCGTAGAGAGATACATCTAGAAGGGAATCGTGCTGGATTATTTAGGTGTTTGTCAACACAGGGCCAGACCATCCACACAGAAAGAGCGCTGGTCAGATTGTTGGTCCCTGCCACACCCGACTGCACACATTCATTTATTGGTTCGTCGTTGACACAACTTCTGCAATCTGATGGAGAATGCAAAGATGAACCAGACATAGAGCTGGCCCTCAAGGACCCCAAGTCTAAGAGGAAAGATGAGCAGAGAAGTAA
Source organism: Homo sapiens (assembly GCF_000001405.40). Classification (NCBI taxonomy): domain Eukaryota; kingdom Metazoa; phylum Chordata; class Mammalia; order Primates; family Hominidae; genus Homo; species Homo sapiens. The sequence continues at coordinate 157,741,843 of NC_000007.14, read as the reverse complement.
CTGAGCTAGGAGTTAAAAATGCCGGGGACATGAAGAGCAAAGCTGAGAGAGGACAGAAGCCCAGGAGATGCCAGGTGCAGTGTCCACAACATCCTTCTTCCCAAGGGCCACAGAGACTATGGTTTGGCCAAACAGTTGTCCCCTTCTTCCCTCATAGCTTAGAGGACTCCACGTACAACCAGTAAAACTGACCTCCCAGAGGGAGGAGAGCCACTGAATCGTGCATGGGTCATGTGGACGGGTCTTGCTTCTTCCTGCAAATGTCCAGAGAGAGGTGAGGAAGAGAGCGTCTCCGGGGAGGGTTCCAGGAGGGACTGATTCTTGAAGTGGTTTTGATGGAGGAGAAGCATCCTAGACAAGATGAACAGCGTTAGCAAACACACGGGGAAGGGATGATGGGGCTCTAGGTGCCGAAGAGCCTTCAGTGGGGGACTAAGAGCAGGCCGGGCACCCATGGGAGGGAGGTCCACAGGCAATGCCTTCCTTCACCAATTCTCAGTCTTGGGCTTGTTGGCCGGAAACAGCCAGCAGTAGTAAGACACACCTTTCATTTTACTTACTAAAGATATGTTGCAATCAGTAGTCATTATCAATTGATAATTGATTGGCAAGTCATTTTAAAAAGTGAGGAAATCAAGTCCCAGGAAAGGTGCTGGAGCCAGGCTCTTTTCCATAGGGCTGGTGGACAGGGCCTTTGCCGTCATGGAGCCTGTGGAAGGAGGCGTGGGGTGGCTCCGACTGTGAGTTAGAAGCACCTTTGGCCTCCAAATCACATGAGCATCATCTCCCCCCTTCCCTTGTTGCTCGTTTCAGTAGCATCTGAAATGGAGAGTTTATTTGATTATTTTTTCCTCTCTGACAAAGTAAATAGGGTTTTAACCTGTGGTACAGAGGGAACAAAGTGGCCCATGGGTTTTCCAATAATATTTTGGCCCTTGCTCAGGCTAATGGGAACTTTCAAAAAGGCGGGGAGAGAGAGCGGCTCTAATTATAATCTGAAGAACGAATCTGCTTACAAATCCATCAGAACTTGATTCCTGGGATCCCGTGGGCCAGGGGCACTGAGGTGATTCCGAGGCTTGCTGGAAAGAAGCCAGTGCCCATCGGGATGGGATTCTCCACCCTCTCATTAGCTCGTGGATTGTTTAAAAGAAAAAGCATTGATTAGGAGCCTCTGAGAAGCTCCCGCCACTCCTTGGAGCCCTCTCTGGGGAAAGACGACAATATTTCAGTTGCTCTGTGTGTTTCCCCTGCCCTGGGCACTACCCACCCCCAACCCAGGTGATGGCCATGGCAGCATGAAGTCACCCCGTGGACAGAGGGAGACAGGGTTCCGGAGCTGGTCAGGCTCCCGCGTTGCCGTGGACGGAGGGAGACGGGGTTCCGGAGCTGGTGAGGCTCCCCCTGCCTTGCCGTGGATGGAGGGAGACGATGTTCCGGAGCTGGTCAGGCTCCCGCGTTGCCGTGGACGGAGGGAGACGATGTTCCGGAGCTGAAGCCGAAGCAATTTGACCTTGCTGGTTCTCTGGTGGCTTTTCTGAGTCTGGGTCATTGATAGGTTAGTGTTCTGTGCCCTACAGGAACCTGATCCACCAAGGAAAGTGTTAAATTTAACAATGTATACATAATAACAAATCTGCATCTGGGCAATGGCATTAAGGTAGCTCACCATATACAAAGCAAAGTGGGTGTATGTGTACAACACGGTTAAATAAAGTGATAAAAGGCATATGGAGGAAGGGGTCCTGCTGGCCGAATCAGCAATAAAAAAGCACAATATAATGTACAGTTAAACCCATGTAGATATAAAAAAATTAATGAAAAGATCCAGCTGTGCTAAAAGTGGAAACTCCATACAGTCCCAGTGATTCCGCTCTCCCTGAACCCTGGCTGGCTCTGGCTTCTGGAAGAGGAAGAGGTCAGAGGAAAGCTGCTCTGTCTTGCTGGGGAGCCATGCGTGAGCACGCAGAGGGGGTGGAATGAGCGGCCCAGGAGCTCAGGCCTCCTTGCGGTCACCTTGGGAGGTGTCCTGTTCTCTGCCGTCAGAACCAAAGCACATCCATCTTGGAGTGTCCCAAAAACACAGTATGGTGACCCCAGGGCTGATCTGTGTGCAAGATGACTGAAATTAGCATCTGCCATAATTTGGTATTTGATTCCATAACAACCTTGTCTGGTCACACCTGGGGAGAAAGAGCTCTCCAAGAGTCCCAGATGGCAGTTGGCATTGAGTTGACCTCGGGGCAGCTGAAGGCACAGGTGTCACTCTGCCTGTATGGTGACCGTCAGAACTCAGGACGGCTCTTCTCACAACACTCCAAGATACTACCCTCAATTTCTTGCTGGCACTTTAACATTTTTTACAGGAGACCATCTTTTCCTCCCCTCATAGACGAATAAGCTACAACGAAGGTGCCCCTGGGCCGCAAACCCATCTCCAAAGGCTGCGAGACTCTGGAGGCAGATGCCGGGGTGAGAGAGTAGTCAGGAAGAAGAGGCATTTTACCAGTTTCCCTCGGCTGTCCCAGCCAACATCACATCTGCTGCTGCTTATATTTGTGTCCAGCTGCTGTTATGTGGGTAATTCAGGGGCAATTCAGAGGCATGAAGTTTCAGACGAGACTGAGAGCCATGGAGTTTGCTTTAATCTCCGGAACATGGAGGATTAACCGTGTGACCTTGGGTGAGTCCCCCCCGGCTGTGGCTCTTCATGTCTGCAGTGGGTTTTAGAGAAAGGCCTGTCTCCCTATGTCACAGAGATTTGGGAACAAGAAATGAAAACTGATGCAGAAACCACTCAAAGCTCCTTGGAATAAAGATACTATCTGAATTGCAGGAGCCTATGAAGAAAACCCCTAATGCGAAGTTAAATCTTAAAATCAAATCCTTCCAGGTGCTCTGTCTCCTGGGCTGCACCCCTCTCTCCTGACTCTTTTCCATCTTCCTCCAAACCAAAGTCGCTGGGGATGTGTGGGTGGCTGGTGGGACAGCCCTAATTTGACCTGTGAGCATCCTAAGGACATGATGCCCCTACCCCTTCATGGAACTAGAAATAATACATACAAAACCCTAAAACACGTGTCCAGAAACAGCACGGAGCTCTGAAATAATACATACAAAACCCTAAAACAAGCACGTATCCAGAAACAACAGCACAGAGCTCTGATTTCTCCTGTGATGAGCCGTGATGACGACTTCAATGCCTAAAATGTCAAATATCGAGTGATTTTATTCAAAATGAAAAAACATGGATTTTGTCCTAAGCGTCAGCTCAGTCTGCATGTGAGTGACCAGCCGCTGGCTGCACCACAAACAACCCGGGACCAGCACCGGCAGCCTGCGTCCCTCCCACCCACCTCTCGGATAAGGCTCCCATCAGAGAGGAGCCTCCAGAGGCTGAGAAACTTCACAGGATGCCAAATGCTTCCATGAGTCCCTGGTCTTGACCCTGCCCTCCTCCCTTCGCTCCTCTGCTGATGAACTTCACGCCAGTATCAGGCTCTCAATCCCGCTCCCCAGCACCTCCCTCCCCTCTGGGGCGCCTCCTTCCCGGTGGTGGGAGAGATGTCGAATTCAGACGCCAGGAATGTTGAAATGTCAGCCTTCCCAGAGCACACAGATACGTCCCCCTGGGTCACGTGGAGCTTATTGTGTACGGCCACATTCCTGTTGATTCTCAGCTGCCTGTGAGATCCTTATTCTAATAGATGTTTCAAAAGAAGTATAATACCGAGAGGCCTTAATAGTGTTTAAAAGTGAAACTTTCATGACAAGATATAATTTCAAAATAACAGCTCTCCACAGGAACAGTGAGGCCCTTTGGGGCACCAGGAGATGGATGAGAAGAGAGGAGGGGTGAGTGGCAGAGCCCTCTCTTCTGACCCAGGCATTCCCGGGAGCCTCTGTCCCTGCTGCTGCAGGTCTGGCCAAGGCAGCAAGAGCCCCTCGGAGCCTCCTCCCCCGCCCAGACACCAGGTCCTCCCCGCATCGGGGGTGGTATTTGCAGATTAACGCACAGCATCCTAATTCCTAGTCAGGCTCTTCCAGACCTTCTAAGCCGGCCTTGTGGCCTTGGTGGCTGGCGCCCCAGCCGGCACCCACGATGCTGTAAATGCTCCCGAGGACCAGGGCCCTTCCTCTGTGGAGGGGCTGCCACGCCCAGGCCCCATTCTGGGGAAAGCAAACCCCTCCCTGTAGGGGAACACTCTGGAGCTCAACTCAGGACCGTGAGTACGAATGGGAGCGCCTGGGCCCAGAGAAGCCAGGCCAGGGGATGGGAACTTGCTGCTGCGTCCTCGCCTCAGGGGATAACCAGGGAAGCTCAGCCCTCCTGCCTGCGCCCCCTGCCCGGGCACAACGCTTAGCTTCCACTGGAGGTGAGGCTGCCCGGCCAGAGAGCACCATGCTCCTGCATGTAGGGCTCACTCACAGCACACGTGCCCTCCAAGCCCAGCGCACTCAGACTCCCAGATCAGGTTGAGGTCGTGCTGAGGCTCAGCGAACAGAGCCTCCAAACCACGGACACAGGAACACTGCTGGGGGCCGCGTCCACACAGGCCCCAGTCTGGGGCGAGCTTGGGCTTCTCAGCCCTCAGACAGGAGAGTGAGCTCGCCAGGCCGTCTGGTGAAGGAAGACGCATGAAGATAAAATCGGGGAGCAACGTGGCGTGTGTACCGAAGCTTCATGAAATACATGTCAAATTAACTTTTTAAATGAATGTGTGAAATAAATACAGCTGCAACCAGGACGTAGTTCACTTCTGTTTATCCAAGACGCCTGGTGTGATTTCTTGCTGGGGTTTCTTCTTACTGAGAAGATGCATTGCCCCCGGGAGACTCGGGAAGCCTCTGCAAAGGGCACCTGAAGCAGGAGCACATTTACTCTACCCTTTAAAAATGTCATCCCCATCCCACCAGGACGGAGAGGAGCTTTTCATTTGTAGAGGGAAACTGTTACCCCTTGGCTCCAAAACCAATATGTGTCCAGCCGGGCACTGGTGGGATTGTACCTCCTCTGATTTTTTCACTCAACATGGAGGGACCTGCATGTAAGATGTAGGTGAGCGCCGTCCACGAAAGAGCAGGAGACACGAGACTCCGTGGCCAGGGGCGGACACCAAGCCTCCCACACTAAGACAAGCACTGGCCATGCTCCCCAAGCCGTCTGCGTGCATCTGTGTGTAAGTCATCACGGGTGGCCGTGCCCAGGACCACAGACTGGGTGCATTAAACTGCAGGACACGTCTGTTCTCACAGCTCTGACAGTCCCAGACCAAGCTGTGGGGGGCGGCGGGGGTGGGGGCGGTTCTTCCTGTGACCTCTCTCCCGGGCTTGTGGACAGCATCTTCTCCCCATGTCCTCACACGGCCTTTCCCTGGTGCAGGCACGGGGTGTCTCTCACTCTTCTTGTAAGGACACCAGTCCTGTAGGATCGGGGCCGCCCTTTTGGCCTCATTGAACCTTAATTAGCTCCTTGGAGGTCCTGTCTCCAAATATAGGCACATGGGGATCAGAGCTTCAATGGATGGATTTGGGGGGTCACAATTCAGCCTATAACAACCTCTAAAACTGCAAGGCCAGAGTTAAACCCTGAATCTCGCCCAGATTTAAGCCTGGAACACAGAGGCCTTCTGGCTAAGAGCAGCCTCCTTTGAATGGTGGTGGGAAAGGGAAGGTTCTCGGGCTGGTGTGATCGGGTGATGTATCCCCAGCCAGAGATGCTTGGGGCTACCAGTGGTGAAGCTAGGGCAGCGGGTGCCGGCCTCGCCCAGGCAGGACCAGGACACATGCTCTGCTCCAGGGCATGAGATCCAAGGTGGGTGTTTGGGAACGGGGCCCACCCACCGGCCGTCTCTGACCCTTCTTTGAAGCCTGTCTGTCACGTCACCTTCAGCTCAGAAAGGGCCTGGAGAATCTTGGGGCAGCTTCTCTTCCAGGTGGCTTGAGGCATGTGCCGATCGCTATCAACACACCGGGAATTCAGAGCCCACCCAGCCTCACGGGGGCCTCCTTTCCCGAGAAGGTACTCAGCCACTGCCTGCCAGGAGGACGGGGACCAAAGGCGCCCACCTGCTCCCCACATTTGCGGAGCGTCTCCCACAAACAACACTGAGAGTGTCACTAAAGAAAGCGCCTGCCCCGAGGAGTTTAGAATCCAGCCAAGGAGGCGAGTCATGTTCTGTCATTTAATGTGTTTTGATGCCATTCAACCCCTTCATATTTTTAACAATATGTTAAGTAGACTTCCATTTATTTTAGCCCCAGCTGCCTTTTGAGAAAGCTCAATTACTTTTGAACAACCTAATCATTTCCAAAGGGCAGCTTCAAACCCTCATTTTCTAAAGCAGCTCAGCAGCCCTCCACCTTCCTGGGCCGCTGCACACAGTTGAGTGTGGACGCAGATAAGATGCAGGTCACCAGCAAAGTCAGATGCACTCCTGGCCGCTCTCTGATGACTTGGAGCTCAGGATGGACACCATACAGTCAGAGATGGCTGCACCCAGCTGGGTCCACAGGCATAGTCAGTGGGACTGCTTTACCAAAGGGACTCATCAGGTTAGTCCAAAAACAATACATTCGATGGATCTTCCCACCAAATTCACGCAAGAGTTGCTTGAGTGTCTGTTGGGTCAAAATGGCCAATGTGGCTGTGCACATGAACACGGAGCTTCGCCGGCCGAACCACGGGAGCAACACAGGACTGTGGCCACAGGAGCCGTGTTCAGCTGAGCACACGGCGCTCCCCAGCAGGTCTGGGAGACAGGTCCACCAGGCCAGGTGCTCTCGGTGCCAGCGGCACCACTAACCGTCCTGCTGCAGTTGGCATCACAGCCAGAATTTGTTTGGGGAGATGGGACTCCTGCATCGAGGCAGTTAGCGGCTGCTATTTAATAATCTCAGATGTGTGTGCGCGTTTCCTCCATAGCAACTTGCCTCCCACGTCGACATCAATATTGGAAAACGCAGGCACATGGCCGAGCGCCAGGTCCTGGTGTGGGTTTGCCTCTGGCTGGCTGCCCTGCTGGTCCCGGGTTCATCCATGACACGGGTGGGACTGAATGTGGGATCCCCAGGACCCTTACAGTTCCAGGTTATTGTAACAGTTTTGTGTTATCATTTCGAAGCCAAATGAGAATGGCTTGACCCCAGATGTAAGTACAGCCTTGTAACGCTTCAGTAAGATGGGAGCAGAGTTAAGAATAGAGACTGTTTATTTGGGGCGTCTCGGCTGAATCACCATTTAGTCACTGGGATGTTGCTAAAATATTTGTACATCTCTGGGGCTGGAAGATGTTGAAATTGTTTCTTTGCCTGCCTTTTTCCATCCATTACAAACCCAAAGAGCTGAAATTTACCTTAAAGGTAGACTCATTATATTCAAGCATGCTTGCTCCTGAAGGTGTGTATAAATCTTGTTTGAAAAGCTGAATTGGGTTTTCCTGGAACAAACATTGACAGTACCTACCCTGGAAGCCTATGACTGTGCTGGGTGCATGGAATGGAAAAGAGTAACTGCGCTGGGTGCATGGGACGGAAGAGTAACTGCACTGGGCGCATGGGACGGAAGACTGCACTGGGCACATGGGACGGAAGAGTGTGCTGGGAGCATGGGGTGGAAGAGTAACTGTGCTGGGCGCATGGGACGGAAAAGAGTAACTGTGCTGGGTGCATGGGGTGGAAAAGAGTAACTGTGCTGGGCGCCTGGGACGGGAAAGGGTAACTGTGCTGGGCGCATGGGACGGGAAAGGGTAACTGTGCTGGGTGCATGGGACGGAAAAGGGTAACTGTGCTGGGCGCATGGGACGGGAAAGGGTAACTGTGCTGGGCGCATGGGACGGAAAAGGGTAACTGTGCTGGGCGCATGGGACGGGAAAGGGTAACTGTGCTGGGCGCATGGGACGGGAAAGGGTAACTGTGCTGGGCGCCTGGGACGGAAAAGGGTAACTGTGCTGGGCGCATGGGACGGAAAAGAGTAACTGTGCTGGGCGCATGGGACGGAAGAGTAACTGTGCTGGGCGCGTGGGACGGAAAAGAGTAACTGTGCTGGGCGCGTGGGACGGGAAAGGGTAACTGTGCTGGGCGCCTGGGACGGGAAAGGGTAACTGTGCTGGGCGCATGGGACGGGAAAGGGTAACTGTGCTGGGCGCATGGGACGGGAAAGGGTAACTGTGCTGGGCGCATGGGACGGGAAAGGGTAACTGTGCTGGGCGCATGGGACGGGAAAGGGTAACTGTGCTGGGCGCATGGGACGGGAAAGGGTAACTGTGCTGGGCGCATGGGACGGCAAAGAGTAACTGTGCTGGGCGCATGGGACGGCAAAGAGTAACTGTGCTGGGCGCATGGGACGGAAAAGAGTAACTGTGCTGGGCGCATGGGGCGGAAAAGAGTAACTGTGCTGGGCGCATGGGACGGAAAAGAGTAACTGTGCTGGGCGCATGGGGTGGAAGGGTAACTGTGCTGGGCGCATGGGACGGAAAAGAGTAACTGTGCTGGGCGCATGGGACGGAAAAGAGTAACTGTGCTGGGCGCGTGGGACGGGAAAGGGTAACTGTGCTGGGCGCATGGGACGGAAGAGTAACTGTGCTGGGCGCGTGGGACGGAAAAGAGTAACTGTGCTGGGCGCGTGGGACGGGAAAGGGTAACTGTGCTGGGCGCATGGGACGGGAAAGGGTAACTGTGCTGGGCGCCTGGGACGGGAAAGAGTAACTGTGCTGGGCGCCTGGGACGGGAAAGAGTAACTGTGCTGGGCGCATGGGACGGAAGAGTAACTGTGCTGGGCGCGTGGGACGGAAAAGGGTAACTGTGCTGGGCGCGTGGGACGGGAAAGGGTAACTGTGCTGGGCGCCTGGGACGGGAAAGGGTAACTGTGCTGGGCGCATGGGACGGGAAAGGGTAACTGTGCTGGGCGCATGGGACGGGAAAGGGTAACTGTGCTGGGCGCATGGGACGGGAAAGAGTAACTGTGCTGGGCGCATGGGACGGAAAAGAGTAACTGTGCTGGGCGCGTGGGACGGGAAAGGGTAACTGTGCTGGGCGCGTGGGACGGAAGAGTAACTGTGCTGGGCGCGTGGGACGGAAAAGAGTAACTGTGCTGGGCGCGTGGGACGGGAAAGGGTAACTGTGCTGGGCGCGTGGGACGGGAAAGGGTAACTGTGCTGGGCGCGTGGGACGGGAAAGGGTAACTGTGCTGGGCGCGTGGGACGGGAAAGGGTAACTGTGCTGGGCGCGTGGGACGGGAAAGGGTAACTGTGCTGGGCGCGTGGGACGGGAAAGGGTAACTGTGCTGGGCGCGTGGGACGGGAAAGGGTAACTGTGCTGGGCGCATGGGACGGGAAAGGGTAACTGTGCTGGGCGCATGGGACGGAAAAGGGTAACTGTGCTGGGCGCATGGGGCGGAAAAGGGTAACTGTGCTGGGCGCATGGGGCGGAAAAGGGTAACTGTGCTGGGCGCGTGGGGTGGAAAAGGGTAACTGTGCTGGGCGTGTGGGACGGGAAAGGGTAACTGTGCTGGGCGCGTGGGACGGGAAAGGGTAACTGTGCTGGGCGCGTGGGACGGGAAAGGGTAACTGTGCTGGGCGCGTGGGACGGGAAAGGGTAACTGTGCTGGGCGCGTGGGACGGGAAAGAGTAACTGTGCTGGGCGCGTGGGGCGGAAAAGGGTAACTGTGCTGGGCGCATGGGACGGGAAAGGGTAACTGTGCTGGGCGCATGGGGCGGAAAAGAGTAACTGTGCTGGGCGCGTGGGACGGGAAAGGGTAACTGTGCTGGGCGCATGGGGTGGAAAAGAGTAACTGTGCTGGGCCATGGGGCGGAAAAGGGTAACTGTGCTGGGCCATGGGACGGGAAAGGGTAACTGTGCTGGGCGCATGGGACGGGAAAGGGTAACTGTGCTGGGCGCATGGGACGGGAAAGGGTAACTGTGCTGGGCGCATGGGACGGGAAAGAGTAACTGTGCTGGGCGCATGGGGCGGAAAAGAGTAACTGTGCTGGGCGCATGGGGCGGAAAAGGGTAACTGTGCTGGGCGCATGGGGCGGAAAAGGGTAACTGTGCTGGGCGCATGGGGTGGAAAAGAGTAACTGTGCTGGGCGCGTGGGACGGGAAAGGGTAACTGTGCTGGGCGCGTGGGACGGGAAAGGGTAACTGTGCTGGGCGCGTGGGACGGGAAAGGGTAACTGTGCTGGGCGCGTGGGACGGGAAAGGGTAACTGTGCTGGGCGCGTGGGACGGGAAAGGGTAACTGTGCTGGGCGCATGGGGTGGAAAAGAGTAACTGTGCTGGGCGCATGGGACGGGAAAGGGTAACTGTGCTGGGCGCATGGGACGGGAAAGGGTAACTGTGCTGGGCGCATGGGACGGGAAAGGGTAACTGTGCTGGGCGCGTGGGAAGGAAGAGTAACACAGGCCCTGTCCCCAGGGAGACCTCTGGACTTACTTATTTGTTCTGTCCATGGGTTTTGTACTGAATGTCTGCCATATGCCAGATACGGTTCTAGTCACCGCAGAGTTCACATTATGAGCAGGCAGTTGTCACACGATGCAACTAGGCTGTAACAGGGCTTTCTGCCTGGTGCAGACCTTCAGGAAGGCACCTCGATTACCTTCCTCGGAACTCAGGGTGGGCTTGGCAGAGCAGCTGATATGCGGGCAAGGTTTTGCATGCTAAGAAGTGATTTGACAACTGGACGAGGTTAGCAGGAGCTTCTCAGTGGGGGCAGCGCAGAGGTGAAGTCGTAAAGGAGCCTGCTGTCCTAAGGCTGCTGGGAACTGCAGGGGGTTTACTTGAATGAGACAGGACCCCCTCGTCCAGGGCTGGGAGTTCAGGAGACCACGTGTGGCACCTCCATTTTCTCTTCAGAGCAGGACGTGAGCTCACCTGCCACAAAAGAGGGGGCATTGGGTGGGGAGTTGGGGAGAAGGGGAAAGTCCTAGTGCAGTCCCCATGAGGAATGAGAGAGAGAACAAGCGGAAGAGCTGCCAGGTCCCTGGCGGGAGCCACGCCGAGGTCAGAGCCCTCCCCTGTGGCTTGCATGTCTCCGCCATGTGCCCAGGCGGGGAGCAGCCCCGGGGCCACAGAACGCCTCTGTAGCGGGGAAGTGTTGGGAGGGCCGGCTCTGTCCCCTAGGCGGGCCGTGCACTGTTTTAAAGACCCCACTGTGGTCATCATCACCTCCTAACTATACCGTGTACAATTCCACTTGGTCATACCCTTCATCGTGAAGCAATCTCACTGCATTTTAAGAGAGGTTGAAGCATTTTGACAACCTCAGTAATGGGATTTTGGCAGATGGAGGGGGAAATGGCCCAGCCTTTATTTTCAGTTGTGCCATACAGGAGGGCAACCGCTGTCACCCCTGGGGCACCACCTCGGCCAGGCGTGCGACCTCTTGCCCAGGAACCCCAGAAAGGGGGCTCAGGGGCTTAAGCTGCTTTCAAATGTCTGCCGCTTGCGACACCCTCCTCTGTTTTGGCTCCTCATCCTCGTTTTTCTAGAAGAGGAAAGGACAGTAGCCACATTTCAAAAAACAGTTCCAGGAAGTTTACTTTGTCTGGCGTAGAAGACGAGCCTTAAAGCCAGACACAGTTAAAGAGCAACTCTGATTCCAGGACATGTGTCCAGCCACAGTGACACAGCTTCACCCCGAGTGCCCGGGGGGGGGCAGGGGTGGTGGCCTGAGTGGGACTCAGGTGCCATCCCCAGGGGTCTCAGAACCCAGAATTGCCAGGCTCTGTCCCTACTTGGTTAAAATTTTATGCGAATGTGGACTTTACCCTATAAGCCCATATCGTTATTGTATAAAAATCATTTTCTCTAAATCTTCCAATGAAAGTGACCCTCGAGCACAATGGGCCATGTCTATCTTGTGGTTTCTGCTCCCTGGAGAGAAGAATGCCCTGTTCCTGGCCCACTGAATCCAATGCTGGACTCCTCCGAGTCACACTCACAGACACACGTGGATCAGGTTTAATCTAAACACCTGTGGCCCAGTCAAATGGACGGTCCTTCCCTCATCCGCCTGCCGCTCCCCGTCCTCCACGTGGCCAGCAGGTGGCCCTTATGGGTGTGGTGCAGTCACTACCTGGGCACCATCTCTGCCAGGCGTGAGACCTCAGCCCTCTTCCTGGGTCCTTTCCAGCACATGGGCTCTCAGCGTCCTCACCCTAGCGACCCTCCCAGGACCTCCCTGCAGGACTGGGTCAGGACCAGGAAGCCCTCGGACCCCAGGATGGCCCTTTGCAGGTCTCAGGCACTGCAGAGCTCCTTTTGCAAGCTCTGATGTTGTTTGATGGTGTCCGGCTCACCAGAGGCTCCACTCGGACAGCACCAGCACAGTGCCCACCTGCCTTCGGGGAACTTTGCATTTTAGCAGCGGAAACATTTCCTCAAAGAGAAGTCTTCCCAGGAGTCCCTATGCACGGAGCTGCTGAAGATGGAGCTGTCCACGGGAGCAGAGTGGGGGGTCCGGGACCTGAAGGCATCCAGCCCTCCAGAGCCCAGGGTTCCAGCCACCGCACAGACTCCAGCCACTGTGCTCAAGACAGCTCATGGGTTCCCACCTGCCTCCCAAAACAAATCTGGGCCAAGTGGATTAGAGTTTTAAATTCATTCTTTTTTAAAAATACATGAAGATTCAAAGATGGGCAGATGCAGAAAATGAAATACTCTATATTGTATTTAATAGGAATTCTGTCCAAAAAAAAAAACAGAGATGGGTATATCAAAGCAATTATCAACTTCTGCATCTTTTCTGTTTTCCTCCCCGACTATTTTCAAAGGCCCGGTATCAGCCCAGATTCCCATTGTCTGTGTCCAGACAACGACCGACCTCTGTGTGACTGGATCACGTGAGCCAAACTCCCCTGGCCCCGGGTCAGCGCCGTCTCCCTCGAGGCTGTTTCCTGGTCTCCTTGGGACATTTATGAGGAGAGCTGATTAAGGTGGTGCCACTCCTGGACCCAGAGAAAGAGTTCTTCATGCCTGGGCTCAGTGGGGCTCATGGAAGTCTCTTCTGGGGGATTTGAGGTTCTGGTCTGGGATTGGGAATTCATTCCTTTTTGTTCCAATTTCATTAACCTCATATAAGAAGCAGGTAAAAGCAATTTATGCAAATCCTTTTTTCAATAGTCTAAGACATTTTACCTTTTGATAATAGCAGCCAGGCAAAGGAAGGAGCCGCAGACAGGCAGGTTTTGAGGCCCCAATTTAAAATCTGAGCTACCTTTCCCCACCTCTTCAAAAGCCTTTCTGTGGATAAGTTAAGAGTGTAATCCCTTAGTCTGGTACAAATGTTTTAAGACTTTGTATTTCTAAAATCCAATTTGAGTTATCCTTGAACTTTAAAGCTGTTTTGTCCACTGAGCCAAGGGCCCCGGGATGCAGACAAGTGTGGCCCAGCCCCTCGCCCCCGTGAAACCCCAGCCGCCATGGGCGCCAGGAGCCCTGTCAGAGGCAGGAGGCACCGACGCAGATGCTGTGGGCTTGTCCTTTCTGAGAAAGATCTTCACGCGCCTTCTTCCCCTAGACGGAGAGGCTTGGGGTGCAACAGCAGCCCTTGCTGCTGGCCACATGGGGCTGAGGGTGGCCTGTCAGGAGGCTGTACAAGGCATGATTGCAGGAAGCACAGTGAGGAGACCGCGCGGCAGAGTCGGCCCCATCTGTGTTCTCCTGGCTTCGTGGGACCCGGACACCCCAGGCCTCCGGGCTGCATGTGTCTGCCCAGCTGAGCTGACCTCCTTGCCAGACCCTCGCTGGGTACCCACCGGGTACCAGGTGGCCCTCAGGAGCCCCTCTGGGCCTCCAGGTGTAGACGGGAGAGGCAGAGCCCACAGACGTCTGCAGGGTGGGAGCTGGGGGGCCCACAGATGCCCCATAGCAGAGGGGAGGGTGCTCAGCTGGGAGGAGGCTCTGAGTGTGGAAGGATGGAGGGTGGGTTTCTGGGCACAGGGCAGCCAGAGATGCAGCAGTGCAGGCCCCACAGACTCAGGGGTCCAAGGGCAGGGGCTGCTGCAGCTTCAGGCAGGGCCAGCAGCAGAGCTGGTCGCGGGGGTCTGGGCTCAATCACTGCTCACGGCTCACGCCTCACACTTTACGTGACACTTCTGGTTCTCTCAAGCCTTTTTCTCAGTAATACAGAATCTCATAGTTACGTAAACGACACAAAACAGAAAATGGATCGTCCTAACCGTTTTTAGGTGCACGCCTCTTAGCATTGTATGTGTTCACAACGTTGTGCGAGCATCTCCACCACCCATTTCCAGAACCTTCCATCATCCCAAACTGGAACTCTGTCCCCAGTAAACACTGACCCCTGTTCCTCCCCCCACCCCGGCAGCCCACTCTACCCTCTGTCTCTGAGTTTGATGACTCCAGGGACCTCACACAAGTGGAATCACACAGTCTGTGTCCTCTAGTGATGGCTTCTTTCACTGGGCAGTGTCCCCAGGGTTCCCTGTGTTGTGCTGTATGTGTCCTTTGGTGACTGGCTTATTTCACTGGGCACATGTCCTCAGGACTCCCCATGTTATGCCATATGTCTGCACCCCCTCCTCTTAGGGCTGGTGACATCTGTCAGTGTGGATGGACCACATTTTGCTCCTCTGTCCATCCGTCCACAGATGCTGGCCTTGCATCCACCCTTTGGCTGCTGTCATAAAGTTGCTGTGAACCTGGCGTGCAAATACCTCTTCAAGACCCTGCTTTCAGTTGTTCTCCATGGACACCCAGACATAGGGCTGCCGGCTCCTATGGGAATTCCATTTCTAACTCTGAGGAACCGCCACCCTGTTCTCCCTAGCTGCTGCAATAGCGCAGTGTTCCCATCTCTCTGCCTTCTCACCAGCACCTGTTACTTTCTGTTTTTTTCGGTAAGAGTCACGCACATGGCATGAGGTGGAATTGCACTGAGGAATCATGCTTCCCCAATGATTTTGGTGACGCCAAGCGCCTCTGCCTGTGCCTGAGGTCATTTGTGTGTCTTCTTTGGAGAAACATGTGTTCAAGTACTTTGTGTTTTCTGAACGAGATGGTTTTCCATCGTTATTGTAGTTGAGTTGTGGAAGTTTCCTACATGTTCTGGATATTAATCCCCCACTGCAATTTGATTCGCAAATCTTTTCCCCCTTTATATGGGTTGTCTTTTCGCTCTCTGGATGGTGCGCTTTGACGCACAAACGTTTTGAGTGTCATCAAACCCAATTTATCTATTTTTTTCTTTTGTGCCTGTGTTTTTGGTGTTATATCCAGGAAATCGTGGCCAAATCCAATGTCATAAAGGTCTTGCCCTGTATGTTTTAGGTCTCACATTTAGCTCTGAGTTCATGTATGTTCTGGCCAAGTGTGCGTCCAGCCACTCTGCTATTCGCTGTGAGTCAGCGCACGCTCGGGTGGGAGGTGACGGTCTGGCTCACTCCTCTGCGTGTGGATATCCAGTTTTCCTGGGAGGCGAGGGTCTGGCCACACTCCTCTGCGTGTGGATATCCAGTTCTCCTGGGAGGCGAGGGTATGGCCACACTCCTCTGCGTGTGGATATCCAGTTCTCCTGGGAGGCGAGGGTCTGGCTCATTCCTCTGCATGTGGATATCCAGTTTTCCTGGGAGGTGAGGGTCTGGCCACACTCCTCTGCGTGTGGATATCCAGTTCTCCTGGGAGGCGAGAGTCTGGCTCATTCCTCTGCATGTGGATATCCAGTTTTCCTGGGAGGCGAGAGTCTGGCTCATTCCTCTGCATGTGGATATCCAGTTTTCCTGGGAGGTGAGGGTCTGGCCACACTCCTCTGCGTGTGGATATCCAGTTCTCCTGGGAGGCGAGGGTCTGGCCACACTCCTCTGCGTGTGGATATCCAGTTCTCCTGGGAGGCGAGGGTCTGGCTCACTCCTCTGCATGTGGATATCCAGTTCTCCTGGGAGGCGAGGGTCTGGCTCACTCCTCTGCGTGTGGATATCCAGTTCTCCTGGGAGGCGAGGGTCTGGTTCACTCCTCTGCGTGTGGATATCCAGTTCTCCTGGGAGGCGAGGGTCTGGCTCACTCCTCTGCGTGTGGATATCCAGTTCTCCTGGGAGGTGAGGGTCTGGCCGCAGTCCTCTGCGTGTGGATATCCAGTTCTCCTGGGAGGTGAGGGTCTGGCTCACTCCTCTGCATGTGGATATCCAGTTCTCCTGGGAGGCGAGGGTCTGGCTCACTCCTCTGTGTGTAGATATCCAGTTCTCCTGGGAGGCGAGGGTATGGCCACACTCCTCTGGGTGTAGGTATCCAGTTCTCCTGGGAGGCGAGGGTCTGGCTCACTCCTCTGCGTGTGGATATCCAGTTCTCCTGGGAGGTGAGGGTCTGGCCGCCGTCCTCTGCGTGTGGATATCCAGTTCTCCTGGGAGGTGAGGGTCTGGCTCACTCCTCTGCATGTGGATATCCAGTTCTCCTGGGAGGCGAGGGTCTGGCTCACTCCTCTGTGTGTAGATATCCAGTTCTCCTGGGAGGCGAGGGTCTGGCCACACTCCTCTGTGTGTAGATATCCAGTTCTCCTGGGAGGCGAGGGTCTGGCCACACTCCTCTGGGTGTAGGTATCCAGTTCTCCTGGGAGGCCAGGGTCTGGCTCACTCCTCTGCATGTGGATATCCAGTTCTCCTGGGAGGCGAGGGTCTGGCCGCAGTCCTCTGCGTGTGGATATCCAGTTCTCCTGGGAGGCGAGGGTCTGGCTCACTCCTCTGCGTGTAGATATCCAGTTCTCCCAGAACCACCTGTTGAGGAAACCGTCCTTTCCCCCACAGGTTTTTTAAAAGTCAGTTTATTTTTGTTTAGTATGGGAAAAAGCAGGTTATTTTTAAGGACACGAGAATTTTATTTCAGATCAGTACATTTTTAAGGTTATAAAATTTAGTTAATATTATCTTTAAAATATTGATAATATTTCAAGCCAGATATTGACTCTGTCCCATTTAACATGTAATGCATGCCTTTTAATTTACTTTAAATTTATCATGTAAGAAGAAGCATGATTCATGGAAAGCAGACTCAACAATACACAGATGGTCCCCGCCTCAGGATGGTTGGACTTAGTATTTCTCACTTTACAGTGGTGTGAAACTGTACTCTGAGTGCTCACCCAACTACGCTGTTATTCACTTTCAGGGCAGTAGTCAAGAAATGGCCTGATATCTTCAGCACTTTATCATAAACAGGCTTTGTGAGAGATGGTTTCGCCCAGCTGCAGGCTTGCATGAGTGTTCTGAGCACACGTAAGGCAGGCTGGGCTGAGCTGTGATGCTCAGCAGGTTATATGGATCCAGTACGTCTCTAACCTAGCACATTTCGACTTGCACCGGGTTCATTGGGATGTAACCCCATGATGTAACCCCATCATACACTGAGGAACCTCCATAGTGTGTTTATCTGAGAACTGAATACATATCAAAATGTAAAGTAAATTTAACCAGGAAATTGGCTCCAATAATAGACAAACAAAGCTTTCAGTGACCTGATGGCTAATATCCTTACCCGTTTGATTATAGAAGTTTTATGTTCGTAATTCCTGTTTTATTTGTGAATTACAAGAGAAAATGAACAGTTTCAGGCTGCTATTTGTAAGCAAGCGTCTGCAAATAAATGTGTTTCAGGTGGGGGTAGCCTAAATGTCACGTAAACCAGCGCAATTCAGACGGGGGAAGCCTAAATTCCACCCACACCAGCACAATTCAGACGAGGGAAGCCTAAATTCCAGATACACCAGCGCGATTCAGATGGGGGAAGCCTAAATTCCACCCACACCAGCACACTTCAGACGGGGGAAGCCTAAATTCCAGATACACCAGCACAATTCAGACGGGGGAAGCCTAAATTCCAGATACACCAGCGCGATTCAGACGGGGGAAGCCTAAATTCTACATAAATCAACAGGTCTCAGGTCTCTAAATTCCACATAAATTAAATCAAATTTGGATAGATTGATTCCCAGACGTTCTGCTCTGAGCGTTGTGTGCAGCGTGGAAGTCTTTCTGGCCTGCTGTGTATGAGCGGGAATTGGATGGTGGTGGATTCGCTTTGGGGCATGGCTTCATTGCTGGCTTACGTCTCTCACACTTGCTCAGGGTCCGTGTTCCTTCCAGAGCTTGCCTTTCATCAGACTCCATCTGAGCACCAATTTGACTGCACATCCCTGAGTAGGAAAAAGCCTCACGTTTAACATCTGCAGTGCATAGAACTTCCACAGTGGCTGGCAGGTCACTTGGGTGGGATGACAGCGTCTCCGGGGACAAGGATGGACAGGTGGATGGGTGAAGAGCATGAGGTGAGGAAGGCCTGGGCTGTGGTAGAGAAAGGAGAGGAGGGAGAAAGTGCTTGGGAACACAGCCGGCGAGCGCAGTGACATGCTGGTGTGGGGAGAGGGGCACGGGGCCGAGAGCCACAGTGTGGAGCTGGTTTGGGACTGGAGTAGAAGCTGGTTCAGGGAGAAGCCGTGAGCTCAGTGGGGGACAGGTGGCCAGCCGGGGAAAGGCCAGGGGACACCAGGGGAGGCATTCAGCCAGTGCTGTGACAGGAGAGCCTGCAGCTCAGGCCAGGCCAGACCAGAGCTGTCCCCGTGGACATTCTGGTGCCAGAGTGTGGGGGCAGAGGCCAGGAGAGGCGTCAGGGCAAGGGGACAGTCCGTCAGGGCCCCACATTCTATGTTCACCACAGAGCAGCTCCGCTATCCTCAGATGCTGGCTTTCTCAGCTTGACTGTGTGAGTTCCTCTTTGAAGGAGAATTTCTGAATGTGACTTAATTCAATTTTGTGCTTCCAACAAATCTTCCCTCATTAAAAATAGCTAGGAGACCATCTGCATTGGTGAGAGTCTGGGTTTCCGGGAAATGGTAACGAAACTCTGCAGTTGAGCCAGGGACGCAAAATGCATCGCCCTGCCCTGCTGGCGGTGGGCTGTTGATTCAGTGACCTACCAGGTGCCAGGAACAGGGGTGACCTCACAGGTGACACAGCCTGGCCCCACCACCAAGCATGGCCCCACATCGAACCCGTGGGAGCAGAGCCCCACCCTGCACCGCCTCGCTCACCCCTGCCTTCTCCCTTGCCTCTCTGGATGACAGACTGGGCCCCTGCTGCCCTCTACTCCTCTCTAGGCTGCTCTCCCAGGTGTGGGGAGGCTGGCACTCATGCCTCCTTCCCTCCTCACCCCTGTCCCCCCCGGCTGCACCTGGATGCTGCGATAGGCAGTGCCCTGCCGAGGAATGGAGGGCCGCCCAGGCCCACACTCGGGCCACGCAGGAGTTGCTTCTGGCGTCAAGTCCACACATTTCAGTGCAAACGCAAAGCCTCCAGGATCTGGGCCAAGCTGCCACTCCAGCTTCATCTTCATTCACTGCTCGTCTGCACCACCCACGGGAGCCACGCACCTTTCCCAACTGCACCGACATGGGCGCTGGGTCCCAGGTTCTGCCTCGAGAGCCCCTGCACCCCCGCCCTGCCCCTGGCCCTGGCTCCATCTGACATGACATCAGGACCCCCCCTGAGAGACCATGTCTTCTGTCAGGCCTCCCCTCCCTGGCGGGATCACTCCCTTCCCAATGCCAGGCTGCAGTCAGCATTCGTGAGCACCCAAAATATGCCAGGCAGCATATGAGGCACATGGCACACGTGGTCTCACCCGTCTTCCCACCAGCCGTGAAGTGGGTGCCACGAGCCTCCTCGCAGGTGGGGAGGACCAGGGCGTGGGGAGCTGACCTCACAGACACGTGAGGGTGGGGGCCAGGGGCTCACTGTAACCTCATGACAGGGACCAAATGCTGCCAGATACAGACAATGTTTCTTGGTTGGTGGCTGCTCCGGGGGTGGGGGGCGAGACTGAAGCGCTTTTGCGGCCGAGCACCACATGTCAGGCTGCGCACAGCACGTGGTCTTCGGGAAAAGTCTGTTGAATGAAGTGTTCTCGTTTGAAGACACATATCCCTTAACCCCTGAGCCTCTACTCTAGAAGGAAGGAGGTTTAGAATGCTCTGTAACACGATGAATAAAATGGAAGGGTCTGCAAAGCCACCATCCTCCAGCGGGAGCCCCAGGCCCCTGGGGTGGGAGCAGGAGCACAGGAGGAGCCCTAGGCAGAAACCCGGCTCTCCAGGGCAGGCAGGTCCTCTCAGCCTCTCCCCAAACATCTGTGAGGAAACCGTGCTGCAGCCACAGTGTCGAGACACACACCCTTGCCATCAGCCACCTTCCTCCCATGCAGCAAGCTCGGGCACACCCAGTGTAGAGGGGAGCTGCGACTCAGTGGACGCTGACACTGGGCATCGGTGGGAACAGACAGCGGTGCTGTGGCTCCTGCTGGTGGGACGCTGGGCTCGGCTGACAGTCAGGAGGCAACGCAGCTGTGCACATCCGAAGCTCTCGACGTGTGGAGATGCTTTGGCATGGACACTCGTCCCCTGACACTTCATCCTAAGGACACAATTCTTTGAGATGTGCAAAGAATGAAGTGCGTGGCTGTTCATTACAACATTGCTCATGATGCGAACATGGCACATGAAGGGATGTGGATGGGAGACTTTCCGACGAGGGAAGCCCCTTGCAGACCAGGCACCCCTGACATTTCTGAAGAAGCAAATCTCCCTTGTGGATGCAGCACCCAGAGCAACACTAATGGGCCTACACCGTGCCCGTTGTGTGTTCTTAGCAGGAATTTTCTGTGCCGGGGAACAGCTGTTTCTTTCTATTCCTTTATATTTTTCTAAGACTTCCTTTTGCCCCGAAGTCTTCTGTTTTATATCTGTACCTAAAATAGGCCAGAGCACACACACCACGGCTGCATCCTGAGCGGCTGTGATAGTCAGCTCTGTGGACCCACGTCCATCCCGCTGTCCTGACACCTCCCCGAGCCCCCACACCTACCTCCCCAACATGGGGCCTCTGTCAGAAGTAATGAGACCTTCCTCAACTCGCGAGGGGCTTTCACCTTGTCACACTTAAGAAACACTCCTGCGTCCCGTGTTTTAGGAGAGCTAGAGCCAGTCACACGGTGTCCCCTGCCCAGGGCTCCGCTGTCCCAGAAAGACTGGAAATGAGGGTCTCGGCTTTGCCACAGGAATGGGTGGGATTCTGCCTGTTTCTCCATCTTTTTGTAATTTCTATTATAAAGAGTGAGGCACGCTCACCATTTGCCGTTATCCTTGAAGGAGTTTCTCCCCAGAAAGCGCTTGATGGAGACGAGGGCACCTGCTCCTGGTGTGGGAAGAGGTAGCTCGTGGAAGCCACATGATTCACGTGACTCCCTCGGTCCCCGCGTGCACACCCATGCATCGGTGCAGCCGGGGCCGCAGTGTCCTTGGCTCAGGCCTCCTACGCAGGGAAGCAGGGTCGGCCGCTGGATCACCCGGCTGTGCAGCTGGGATTTGCCCTTGACCCGGGTGTGCAACAAGGCTTTGTCCTGTGGGCCGCACGCGTTCCCAAACACAGAGCAGGAGCTGCAGGAGGCGGAGAAGCCAGAGTGACAAGGTGGGTTTGGGGGTCTGAGGGCCCCAGAGGTCGGACATTGGAATGACCGATTGCGGCAGCCGAGAAACCAAGAGTGGCTGCAGTGTCACCGCGGCATGATGGGGCGAGGGTAGCTACCAACTGAACCTAAGGAAATTCAGTTCCATGATAAGCCAAGAAGGGTCAACAGCGTCTCTCGCTAACACTGCAGATATCTGGACTGGCCCCGGGGCCTGGTCCCTGGTGGTGCCATGCAGCTGAGAAGAAATTGCTCCTATAAGCGAATATCTGACACCCCAGCCAAAAGTCTTATTCTTTCCCCTAAATTCCAAAGGAATTTCCTCTCTATTTTCCAGTCGATTGGAGTCGTTTCCATCGGTGGCTGTCTTACCAGTGGGTGATGAGTCTGAGAAATAGGAACCATGTCTTATTTATCTGTATGACCCCACAGCAGTAACTATTATAATGCCTCAGACTTAAGGACTCAATAAATATTGGATGACTAGACAGAAATTAATTAATGAACATGCTAGCTTCCTGGTAACATATGTAACATCTCTCTTGGTCCACTTAGACTGTAAATTAATGAGACCTTTGAGGAATGAAGAAAGTACGCGGGCAACTGCGGGAAGGCCGGAGATTGCAGAGGCTGTCTTCAGAGAGGGGTCTGGGGAGCTCTTTCAGCCTTGTCCCGCGGGCCGAGCCCACTCCCCCGGCATACAGAGCTCCTCTTGGAGGGGCCCTGCTGATGGTCTGGCCCTGCTCTCCGGGGGCGCTCATGCCTTCCACTGCCACTGGCTGTTATTCTTTCTGCCTTCATGCCAGCTGGAGCTCCCGGATGCCAAGAACTGGACAGCAGGCACGAAGTTCTCCGCGTTCCCAGGAGGCCGGGATGTGCAAAGGGCATGGCCGGAGCCGGGCTGTCCTGACAGACATGTAAGCACACAGAAGGGTGGCAGGTGACCTTTCTCTGGAGCGCATGACGGCAGTGCTGTGGCCTTGGCCTTCCACTCCCAATGGGGGACTTCCCACTTCTCAGACCTAGAGAGAAGGCCTCAGGGTCCCTTGGGAAGCACGATCTCCGCTCCCCCTTTAATGGGTCGAGAATGGAGACGTGAGTCAGGCACAACCTTCAGAAGTCCTGGCACGAGGGGCCTGGAAGCTCAGGTGGGGCTTCCGTGACCACCTGCGGCCACACAGGGCCCAGGGCCAGCCTGGACGAATTGTAAAGGGACCCTCTCATGGGGCTTCCTGCTCAGGAGAGGCAGGAATGGGAGATGTGGGTTTGGCTGCAGGCCTGAGCAGGTGTTGGAGGACAGGGGCCATGCACTGGGGAACACGCTCCTGGGGAGACCCCCTCCTGGAGCCCCCAGGGCCAGAGACGCCTGCAGGAGGGAGAGGTCCAGAAGATGGCTGCCCAAGAAACAGGGCAATGTGTGGGGATGGAGGCAAGGGGTGGGGCATGGCAGGCTACAGTAGCGCTGCCACCTGCAGGAGGCGGAGAGGCCACAGCGACAAGGTGGGTTTGGGGGTCTGAGGGCCCCAGAGGTCGGACACTGGAAGGACCGATTGCGGCAGCTGAGAAACCAAGAGTGGCTGCAGTGTCACCGCGGACGCCTGGACGTGCTGAGACTCACCCCGGGGCCATGGAGAGTGGCTGCAGTGTCACCGCGGACGCCTGGACGTGCTGAGACTCACCCTGGGGCCATGGAGAGTGGCTGCAGTGTCACCGCGGATGCCTGGACATGCTGAGACTCACCACGGGGCCACCGAGAGAGGCTGCAGTGTCACCTCAGATGCCTGGACATGCTGAGACTCACCACAGGGCCACGGAGAGAGGCTGCAGTGTCACCTCAGACGCCTGGACATGCTGAGACTCACCTCAGGGCTGCGGGGCAGACCTGGAGCCAGGCCGGGGACTGCAGGGTTGGGAGGAGGAAGGCGCTCTCCAAACACGCCCTGTGAAGCCACCGTAGAATCAGACTGTGCCTCCAGCCTGACCTGTGCTGGCCCCTTCCTGTGAGCTCCAGGAAAGTCCGTGCTTGAAGAGCTCATTCATGAGTGCCTTGTTTTATTTCCTTCACATGAAAGCAGAGAACATGAATTGTTTTAAAAATAGCCTCTCCTTCTACAAGTCATTATTTGCAGAAATAGCTGATAGTTCAAAAACTCTAAATTCATTTGCCACGTTCATTCAAATTGTTCTGATCTTATCATCTTTCCCAAATCCCACATTTATTACAGATGTATTTATTCTTTGTCTCCCCTCCCTCCTCTATATAATGGTTTAGGAGAGATTACAAAAGGTAATTTATAACAGGTTAAAAGAGAGACCTCACCACTCACAGAAAAACGAAGCATTCCCCTCCCCAGAGTGGAGACGTGGCTTTCTGGGGAATGTGGCCCAGGGCCCTGGCCGCCTGCCCACACGCGTAGAAATACATGAAATGGCTGCGCATGTTTCAGTCACTTAGAGAAATACCGAAAAATGGCTTCATATAAACCTCTGAAAGGTACGCGGGGTAGCAATTAATCTCCTTCCGTAGTAAAGAGCCCAGCTGCTTTGGCCATGATGAACATCAGTCTTTGCTCTTGAAGGCTTCAGAACAGGTGTAACAGGGATGGGGCGCAGGTGCTGGCCCGCAGGTCGGGATGTGCCTGCTGCGTGCCCCGGCCACCCCAGCCAGCGGTCCTGCAGCAAGGAGCAGCCGGTGCCCATACCTGGTGAAGAGGCTGGGTTGGCCGCTGCCTGGCCTGAGAGGTGAGGCGTGGAGCTGTGTCCACATGAGGAGACGCAAGGGAGCGATTTCCATGAAGGAGTCCATAGACCTCCGAGCTCTTTCTCTGTAGCTCAGCTGAACAACGTTGCCAACTAGGGAGGGCACTGGCTTCCGCGGTCAATTGCAGGCTCGGACACTCACTGCAGGCTTAGCCTTTGACTAAGTCAGCTGACCCTGCAGCACCCAGGTGCCCACCTGTGACCTTGTGGCGATGCATGTCCCATGCAGGTGCTGAGTGTCCAAGCTGATGTTTGCAGGATACCCACCCGTGGCTCCCACGGCACCATCAGGCTGTTGCCCCAGATGTGCAGTTGTTCCCTCACTGGGTCACCGACATGCCTCTTGCCTCCATGCACTGAGTTCAGGACCGTGAATAAGTGAGGCTTGTTGGACCCACCAAATGTGCTTTTTTTAGAGATGCATTTTCTCAAAGCCTCGTGGATCGATTTTGGTGATGCTGTGAATGACCATCTTTGTGTCTGTGAGTCCCCGTGCAGTGAGAGGTAACAGCAGTGTTCCTGCAGAGTCTAAGTGGCCAGGCAGTGTTCCTGCAGAGTCTACGTGGCCAGGCAGTGTTCCCGCAGAGTCTACGTGGCCAGGCAGTGTTCCCGCAGAGTCTACGTGGCCAGGCAGTGTTCCCTCAGAGTCTACGTGGCCAGGCAGTGTTCCCGCAGAGTCTACGTGGCCAGGCAGTGTTCCCGCAGAGTCTACGTGGCCAGGCAGTGTTCCCGCAGAGTCTACGTGGCCAGGCAGTGTTCCCGCAGAGTCTACGTGGCCAGGCAGTGTTCCCGCAGAGTCTACGTGGCCAGGCAGTGTTCCTGCAGAGTCTACGTGGCCAGGCAGTGTTCCCGCAGAGTCTGTGTGACCAGGCAGTGTTCCCGCAGAGTCTACGTGGCCAGGCAGTGTTCCCGCAGAGTCTGTGTGACCAGGCAGTGTTCCCGCAGAGTCTACGTGGCCAGGCAGTGTTCCCTCAGAGTCTACGTGGCCAGGCAGTGTTCCTGCAGAGTCTGTGTGACCAGGCAGTGTTCCCGCAGAGTCTACGTGGCCAGGCAGTGTTCCTGCAGAGTCTACGTGGCCAGGCAGTGTTCCTGCAGAGTCTGTGTGACCAGGCAGTGTTCCCGCAGAGTCTACGTGGCCAGGCAGTGTTCCTGCAGAGTCTACGTGGCCAGGCAGTGTTCCTGCAGAGTCTACGTGGCCAGGCAGTGTTCCTGCAGAGTCTGTGTGGCCAGGCAGTGTTCCTGCAGAGTCTGTGTGACCAGGCAGTGTTCCTGCAGAGTCTATGTGGCCAGGCAGTGTTCCTGCAGAGTCTACGTGGCCAGGCAGTGTTCCTGCAGAGTCTGTGTGACCAGGCAGTGTTCCCGCAGAGTCTTCGTGGCCATGGCCCACCCAACAACTGCGACTTCTTAGGACGAGGACTCAGGTGTATGAGTTCCTCACAGCCCCCTTTTTCAGCCCAAGGCGATGCCCACAGTGTCCTGGCACCACCTCCCACCCCCAGCCTGTGGCTGAACCCAAAGGGATGGCCCGGGAGCTGATGGGTCACAGGCCATCCCATGTCCCACGTGGGCTTCTCAAAGGTTTTGGTTCCCATCCCTAGTTTTGGGGCAGTGGCTGTCTCACATGGGGTTAGGGTGGAAAACAGCTAAGTCAGATCAGAGCGTGGAACCCCAGAGCTGGTGTAGCTGTACCTCCAGGCCGCCCGCTGCCCTGCTCCTTGCCATCTGTGTCTCCCCGGAGCATGCAGCCTGCCTGGAGTGCTGCCCTGGGTGTCTTTTCAGAGTGCAACCCTGCAACCTCAGCACAGGAGTCTGTCTCCATCTTGACAGGCATTGCTGAAGATGTAAGTGCTCCCCCAGAACATCGGGGTGTGTAGGCCCTCCACGATGTGCTGCTTGGACGGCGGAGACCGCCGTTTTCTCTTGGCAGTCTGGCGCTGAGTGGATTTGCCCAAAGTCACAGATCAACTTGCTGTTGCAGCAGGGGCCGGCCTGTTTCTGGAGTGGTTTAGATTTGGGATGATGGAGCTATGATCAGCTTACACCAGCGCAGTGCCTGGCAGCTTTAGCAGAAGGGTCATTCACTGAGGTCCAGCCAGCAGTCAACAGCACTTAGAAAACAACAACCAAGAAGAGTAGCCAGCGCCAAGCAGAACCGGGGGCCTCCCCTCCTCTGCGAGCACACAGCAGCCTCCTCATGCCCTTCATCCCCTATCACTTTGCCTCATTCTGTTTTCCTCTTCTTCCTTTATGGTAGCGGGGGGACTGGCACCCCAGTGTCCTTGCATCTGTGCTGGTAGGTTGCTGAGGGGTTTCCCGCGGCCGCCGGCCTGTCTCCCAACACTCCCTGGGCCTCATTCATTCCCACCACGACCCTCCTCTTGGGCGCACGGCCTGGACTCCCGCCTCCAGCCCTCCCCACCTGTCGGTATTTCTCTCCCACCCTGCAGGGGGTGCTTTTCTCAAGGCCATTTTAAGCACACATTTCACTCATTCAGAGTGAAGATGACACAGAAGCCACCAGATTCAAGTGCTCAGAAAGCAGGACAAGCGCGTCGGGCTCAGAGCTCTTCCCCAGGAAGCTGGCCTCCAAAAGCAGGAGACGGAGAATCCATTCAGGAAAAGCACATGGGGCTGGGCGCCGTTCCCTGGGGAGCTGGCCTCGGAAAGCGGGAGACCCAGAATACATTCAGGAGAAGTGATCGGGCTTGGAGCCATTCCCTGGGGAAATGGCCTCAGAAAGCGGGAGACCTAGAATCTGCTCAGGAGAAGCGCCTCAAGCTCAGTGCCGTTCCCCAGGGAGTTGGCTTCAGAAAGCGGGAGACCTAGAATCCTTTCAGAAGCATGTCGGACTGGGCGCCGTTCCCTGGGGAGCTGGCTTTAGAAAACGGGAAACCCAAAATCGGCTCAGGAGAAGCACGTCGGACTGGGCATCGTTCCCCAGGGATCCCTGACTTCAGGGCCTTTTGTGCCACCTCTGTTAGTGAGTGTCGGGATTCCTGCAAATACCAGATTTCTGGAGGGTTTGGAATATTGATTTTCTGTTGAAGAAATTAGGGTGAGCATTTTACTCAATAAAAATCAGGAATCACAATTCCTAAACTCATAGATTTTTCTACAGATCTTAAGCCTCCATTGTTATTCCTATAGTAGCTCGCCCTGGATAAAATGGAGACATCCCTCAATTCTGCCAAGCAGAGCTGCCGGGAAAGACTGAGGTCGCAAGCCCAGCCCTGCACAGGGCGAAAGGAAGGACCACTCAGACTGTCCTGGCCTGGGTCAGGTGCCACCCCACAGGTAGTAACTCATCAAAGATGCGCAGTTTAACGGACTGTACTATACTGACAGTAAAACGAACTAATCTGGCATCCATACACTGTGTCTGTCAAACTCAGTGATGCACACAGGTTTAAACATTGTTTTTTATGTGTTTTAATTTTTCATAGCCTTCTAACGTGACCTGTGAGACGTCTCTGCAGAGTTGATGCCATGAGGTAGTGAGCTCACCTAAGAATGTCATCGTCATATAGTCAGCAAGAATAAGATATAGAAGACGATGCCTTCGTGGCTTTACACACCTCAAAATGTGGAGCTGTATCATTTATGTGATTCTTTTAAGACATAATCACTCAATTGAAAGCTTGGAGCAGATAATGCATCTTAGTAGCCAGAGCTTCGCGGCTGCCATTGTATTTCCGCTCCTTCGTGAAGGGGAGCGAGGCGTGCTCTGCAGAGCAGCAGGTGTGTGCCATGTGAGGGCTGGAGGGCACAGCCCACGAGAGCTGCTTCGTGGGGCTCTCACCAGTTCTGTGGCTCCATGTCCAGACCAGTTCTGTGGCTCCGTGTCCGTAGCAAAGCTGGATCTGGCCACAGCTGTCGGGAATGTCTGAGGGATTGGCAGAGTTGGGAAAGACGCCGGAATAAGAGAGTTGGACAAACATTCAGAAAGGGTTACAGGTAGATTGTGGGAACCGCAGACCAGTGTGCTTGCCTTGGTCCCTGGTGAGATCCTAGGCCGTATCAGTGACGGGGAGGGAGCCGGGCGTCACACCGTCTCTTTGCTGATGGCATTTCTTGCTGAGAGATGGAGGAACGGCTGTTGACATCACAAGTATAGATTTTAATGATTTTTTTTTTTACAAAGTATCCAAAAGAAAAGATAGAGACTTGGAACGATCATGCCGTTAGATAAATTTCTACCTACGTACACTATTCTTACAGGCTATTAATTAAATAATTACTTAATGAGGAGAAAATAGATTAAGTGCAAAGGGGTTCTCTAGAAACGTGCCGTGGGGCTATTCCTCAATTCTGTTATATTCCACGATGTTGTCAATAATAGAATTAAAGATGCGTCATTGGGTTGAGTAAACTTTTGGACCATGCAGTGCTAGGAGGAGGAGGGGTGGATGGAGATGAGGGTCTGAGTAAGGTCTCCCGCTGGCACCAGAAGAGCCCTGCCCAAGTGCGACCATCAGATGGAAACGACCTCAGGGGTTTTAGAGCCAGTGTGAGTCCACTGTGTTGCTGATAGCAGGGGATGCGCATGGCTCACCCAGAACAATCCCGCCCACAGCCACGTTCTGTGTGGCCCATGTGTGAGCTGCCCGAGGCCGCCCTCACCAAGTACCATGAACCTAGGGGCCTTCAAACAACAGGCGTTTATTCTCCCACAGTGCTGGGAGCCAGAAGTCTGAGAGCATGTCTGAAGCTGTGCTCCCTCCTCCTCCAGCCTCTGCCAGCACCTGACAGCTCCCAGTGTCCCTCGGCTTGTGGCTGCCCCACTCCAGTCCCTGCCTCTGTGTGTGACCCGCTCCCTGTGCACGTCTGTCTGTGTCTGAATTTCCCTTTTTTTTTTTTTTTTTTTTTTTGAGATGGAGTTTCACTCTCACAGCCCAGGCTGGAGTGCAATGGCGCAATCTTGGGTAGCCGCAACCTCCACCTCCTCCGTTCAAGCAATTCTCCTGCCTCAGCCTCCCAAGTAGCTGAGATTACAGGTGCCCACCACCACGCCTGGCTAATTTTTACATTTTAAGTAGAGACGGGGTTTCACTATGTTGGTCAGGCTGGTCTTAAACTCCTGACCTCAGGTGATCCGCCCGCCTCAGCCTCCCAAAGTGCTGGGATTACAGGCGTGAGCCACCCTGCCCAGCCTCAAATTTCCGTTTTTGATCAGGACACCAGTCCTACTGGATTCATGGCCTACCCCAGAGACTTCGTGGTCACTTGATTACATCTGTGAAGGTCCTTTTTCCAAGTTACATAACATGCTGAGGTCCTGGGGTTAAGACTCAACATATCCTCTTGAGGGGACACAGTTTGTACTCTAAGAGCTCAATGAGGGTTTTCAAAATTGAGAAATTTTACATAAATAATACAAATGCCTGATTTCTATTTTCTTAATCAAAGATCTGAGCAACCCCAGACCCGCATTCCCAGCCAGCAGTACCTGTGTGCTCTCCCCTTGGGGTAGGACTGGCCGCCCCCAGCCACCCAGCCCCCCTTCCACGACGCAGCCCCTCCCCCCACTCATGGTGCCCCCAGCTGCCCGGCCCCCCTTCCACCACGCAGCCCCTCCCCCCACTCATGTGGCCTGCCCGGCCCCCCTTCCACCACGCAGCCCCTCCCCCCACTCATGGTGCCCCCAGCTGCCCGGCCCCCCTTCCACCACGCAGCCCCTCCCCCCACTCATGTGGCCTGCATGGCCCCCCAGACACTGGAGGCTACAGCCCCTGATGTCTACCCTGTTGTGGCCCACGAAGGATTTAGACACCTCTTAAAAGGAATATATGCACTAAATGAATGCTGAAATAACAAAGTCGGTAGAAAATGACGGCCATGGGAGAGACACATATGCCCCCTGAGGTTAACCCGGCAGAACTGCTGCGTCCCAGTGACGGAGACCAGGGTCCCAGGGATGCAGCCAGCTTGGCCACCCCGGGGGCTTGTCCTCAGGCCTAGGCCCTGCATTAGACAGCTGCCTGCAAGGCCAGAAGACAAAGAGGAGAGCAGGAGGTCTGCCGGGGTCAGGTGGGCCTGAGGAAGGGAAGGAGGGCATGGAGTGTGGGCGGAGTCCTCAGGTCCCAGGACAGCCTCCCACGTGGTGAAGGGCCAGGACTCCCCCGGGCTGCAGGGGAGCACAGACAGGACCCGTGTGCAGGTGCACAAACCGGACCTCCGGCGCGTGGGGCTCTCGCGTGTAACCCGGCTGCCCCGGAACCTCCGGCGCGTGGGGCTCTCGCGTGTAACCCGGCTGCCCCGGAACCTCTGGCGCGTGGGGCTCTCGCGTGTAACCCGGCTGCCCCGGAACCTCCGGCGCGTGGGGCTCTCGCGTGTAACCCGGCTGCCCCGGAACCTCCGGCGCGTGGGGCTCTGCGTGTAACCCGGCTGCCCCGGAACCTCCGGCGCGTGGGGCTCTCGCGTGTAACCCGGCTGCCCCGGAACCTCCGGCGCGTGGGGCTCTCGCGTGTAACCCGGCTGCCCCGGAACCTCCGGCGCGTGGGGCTCTCGCGTGTAACCGGGCTGCCCCGGAACCTCCGGCGCGTGGGGCTCTCGCGTGTAACCCGGCTGCCCCGGAACCTCCGGCGCGTGGGGCTCTCGCGTGTAACCCGGCTGCCCCGGAACCTCCGGCGCGTGGGGCTCTCGCGTGTAACCCGGCTGCCCCGGAACCTCCGGCGCGTGGGGCTCTCGCGTGTAACCCGGCTGCCCCGGAACCTCCGGCGCGTGGGGCTCTCGCGTGTAACCCGGCTGCCCCGGAACCTCCGGCGCGTGGGGCTCTCGCGTGTAACCCGGCTGCCCCGGAACCTCCGGCGCGTGGGGCTCTCGCGTGTAACCCGGCTGCCCCGGAACCCCTCCTGCACATGGGCGGGCTGAGGGCCAGGCGCAAGGGCACCTGTGCCCAGGCGGCAGGCAGTAGGCACCAGTCCATGGTGGGCGTACAGATGGCAGGGCTGAAAGGGACCCTAAAGATCCTCCGGAAGAGATGTCCCCCCAGGGGACATCTGGGAGCTGTGCACGGTCCTGAGCGGCTTGGGGTCCCAGGCCTGTGGCCCTCACTGCACAGGGTTCTTCTGCAGCGGGACCCCGCAGCCATGTCACTCTCTGCCCTGGGAAACATCCTGTGCCACGGGGCGGGGGGGTGGGGGCGGTTAGGCAGCTTGGGTGATTTTTTTATTGTTTGTAGAGATGGGGTCTCACTGTGTTGGCCACCTGGTCTGAAACTCTAGGCCCAAGTAATCCTCCCGCCTCGGCCTCCCAAAGTGCTGAGATTACAGACATGAGCCACCACACCTGGCCAAGAGTGAGTTTTAATGAGCACACAGTCACTGTCTTCTCACATCAGAAGTCCGTGTGCTGAGAAATGAGGATTCTCTTTATTCTGGACGTTCCAGAAAGCCTCGTCCAAGGGGATCGAATGGACGCAGGAGGGAGAGAGCTCAGATTTTAGCTCTTTGTTAGGTTCGTATAACCCAAGTGCCCTGTGGGTTCCCCTTGTGTGGATGCTTCCTGAAACTGTGTCCTCACGGCCGACCCTGTGTCTCAGGCGAGCACCCTTCTGTGGGTGGTGGGGACACACCCATGCGTCCGACCCCCACAGAGCCACCTGGGCCTCTGTATGCCTCACGCTCCTCTCTCCAGCATCCACGGTTTGCCCCCAGCTGAGGGCTAAGTGAGGGAAACTCCTTCAGGCTCACGTTGTAAGGAACCACTGCTCCCCCAAAACATCCCTGCCAGAGCCTTGTCTGCTCACTGATGAGGATTCTGTCTCTGGGCTTTCATTGTCCATCCTTGAATTCCAGCTCCCCAGAATATCCGACTTGTATGTGTAAATCTCTGTCCCAGCCATCCGTGGATGGGCCGGGCTGAGTGCTCTGGGACTTCAGAAGCCCAGGCACGCCGGGCTGAATCTGAAGGCGGGTGTGTGGCGCAGCTCCTGGAGCAGGCGTGTTAAACCCTAAGCTCCTTCCCATGTAGCAGGACCGCCCATTCCTGTGGGCCATGTGGCTGCACAACGTGGAGCGAGGTCGAAGTCCCCATAGAAGACAGAGCTGGGGGGCTCGCAGGGAATTTCTCAGAGGGGTGCCCACTTGGGAGGGAAGGAGGGTCCCCGGCCTCTGTGTCACTCACTTCGTGCTCTAGATGTCCGAGTAACCCAGTGGTAAATGTCCACTGCCAGTAATTTCCCAGCACCTCATTCTGTCCCACACACCTCACTTAGGCTCTCAGCTACCCGCAGGAGGACCAGGACTGAAAGAATTGTCAGGGGTCAAAATCGTCTTTGTCATTTTCTTGGAAATAAAAGTAAGCAGCTCATTTCAGACACTATGCCCAGGAGGAGCTTTTGTCCAGAGCTGTGCATGGAAGGGCATCGTATTGATCTGTGGCACGTATGGCCTCCATCTCCCCTGATGGGAGTCAGCAGGGCCGCTCTGTGTGACCACCTGTGAGAGCCTAGATTAAAATCCCACCCAGCCATGGGCAGCACAGCCCCCGACCCAGGCCCTCTGACCAGGGGCCTCACTCCCACTGGGAGAGGCAGAAGCCACAGTTGTCTCTCTCGGCTCGCTCCTCTGCCGCCTGAGGGTCCAGACTGTAGTCTCCAGCCCCAGGTGGCTTCCCCTCCCCAGCAGGAGTGTCGGTTCCCAGGTGACAGTTATCTCTTTTCAAAGTCGGTGGGGTGCAGGCTCTAGTAGAGAAGAGTAGCTGGGAGAGCACGTTCAGCTCTCACTGGTGGCTTTCATGGAGCCATACGTGGCTTGTTATTGAATTGTGACTATGACCATCTCATGTTTGATGTAAAGGATAAAGAAATGATGGACCTGTGGGTGATTATAGCCATTCTTTGGTTTATGGACCCGTAAGTCTCACGGAGAGCATTATCAATCACACAGTGCCGTCACGGCTGCGTTTTCATGTGGAATGCTGAATTGCTTTAGAATGCATAAAGCAGGGAGCCGCTTGTGACTATGCATGTGTGGTTTTACGGAAGTTGGGGCACACATGAGGCCTGCCCTGGTTCTGGTCATCTCAGACAGGAACACGGAGCTCATGAACCTTCTCAGTCTCACCGAGAGCCCTGGGACGGCCCCTCCGTCCAACTCTGGAGTACCTTCTGCCACCTGCAGGTACTCCTGAATGGCCGAGAGCCACTCACACCACTGCCCAACCTTTAGGATGATCTGGACAGTCCCTGTGGAAGGAACGAGTCTCTGTGGCCAGCTCTGAGTGCTGCAGGTCCTGGCTGAAGGGTCGTGGGCAGATGGTGATGCTTGCACAAGCAGAGAGATAATCGTAAGGGGACACAGGGTGGCACCCCGCCTGGAAGGCAGGGAATGGAAGCAGGAGGGAACTGGCACCAGGGAGCTGGCAGCAGAGGAGAGGATGTGCCTGAGCTTCAGAAGGGAAGGCAACACTCAGAGGCACACGGCACGGGGCAGAATCAGAGCTAAAAGAAAGGGTGCCCATCCGAGGCAAAGCACCTTTCTCCAGCCTCAGCCCTGGAAGGCCACTGTCCTGCTTACAGGGACCCTTCCTTGCAGAGCAGCCAGCGGCTGGCCCCAGCGGCCCAAGGCAGATGCACACTGCTAAGGGATGATAGCATCTCCACTTTGCAGTGACATTTGCTGAAATGAGATCATAAAATCCACAAGGACTTTATTTTTGAGAGTTAAAACTAGAAATGTTAACTCTTGTGGCTACTTTTGTTTTAAAAGCAGCATAAGAAATCTTCCTCTGGCTGGGCGCAGTGGCTCACGCCTGTAATCCCAGCACTTTGGGGGCCAAGGCGAGTGGATCACAAGGTCAAGACCATCCTGGCTAACATGGTGAAACCCCGTCTCTACTAAAAATACAAAAATTAGCTGGGCGTAGTGGTGCGTGCCTGTAATCCCAACTGTAATCCCAATTGGGATTATGGGAGGCTGAGGCAGGAGAATCACTTGAACCCAGGAGGCGGAGGTTGCAGTGAGCAGAGATCGTGTCACTGCACTCCAGTCCAGCCTAGTGACAGAGTGAGACTCTGTCTCAAAAAAAAAGAAAAAAAAAGGAAAAAGAAATCTGCCTCTGCCTGTAATACCTGCCGAGACTGATCAAGTCTTCCCTGAAGCTTTTAAACTACAGCGGGTTAGCATTGCCATCCCTGAAGGGTACTTAGCGGGCACGTATGTTAACTGAGCTTATGACATCAATTCATGGGAAGCTAATATAGTGTCGACTCTATCTCCACGTGTGTGGGGGGGGTGTCCATGCACGTGTGATGTGTGCTTGAGTTGGTGTTTACTATATGCCTATGTGTGTGTGAATGTGGTTGTGTGTGTGCTGTGTGTGTAAGTATGCTGGGTATGTGTCTGTGTGTATGTGTGGTGTGTGTGTTTCTGTGTATGTGTGTGCGAGGTACTTGTCTATGTGAATGTGGTTGTGTGTGTGCGTGTATGCTGTATCTGTGTGTGTTTGTGGTATGTGTGCTGTGTATAAAAGGACAACCCACAGCACTAAACCTGAATCTATAGATTCCCAGGTACCTGCGTATCAGAAAATATGTTTTACTATTAAGTTTTCTGTGTCCTTCATCTGTCTGGCATTCTGGAGGGATGTGGTCCACCTTGATCCGGAAGGCACCGGGGTCAGATTCACTCAGTTCCCGGCATTCTGGAAGGATGTGTTCCACCTTGATCCAGAAGGCACCTGGGTCAGATTTGCTCAGTTCCCGGCATTCTGGAGGGATGTGGTCCACATTGATCTGGAAGATACTGGGGTCAGATTCGCTCATTTGCTGGCAATCAGGAGGGATGTGGTCACGTTGATCTGGAAGGCACTGGGGTCAGATTCACCCAGTTCCCAGCATTCTGGAAGGATGTGGTCCACGTTTATCCAGAAGGCACCTGGGTCAGATTCACTCAATTCCCAGCATTCTGGGGGATGTGATCCGCCTTTATCCAGAAGGCACCTGGGTCAGATTCACTCAATTCCCAGCATTCTGGAAGGATGTGGTCACGTTGATCTGGAAGGCACTGGGGTCAGATTCACCCAGTTCCCAGCATTCTGGAAGGATGTGGTCCACGTTTATCCAGAAGGCACCTGGGTCAGATTCGCTCAGTTCCCGGCATTCTAGAGGGATGTGGTCCCTGTTGATCCGGAAAGCACTGGCATGAGATTTGCTCAGTTCCTAACATTCTGGAGGGATGTGGTCCACATTGATCTGGAAGGCACTGGGGTCACATTCGCCCAGTTCCCACATCGTGGAGGGATGTAGTGCATGTTGATCCGGAAGGCACTGGGTCAGATTCACTCAGTTCCCGCCATCTGGAGGAATGGGGTTCACGCTAATCCAGACAGCACTGCGTCAGATTCACGCAGTTCCCACCATCTGGAGGAATGGGGTTCCCGCTAATCCAGAAGGCACTGGAGTCAGATTTGGTCAGTTCCTGGCATTGGGAGGGGTGTAGTGCACATTGATCTGGAAGGTGCTGGGGTCAGATTTGCTCAATTCCCAGCATTCTGGAGGAATGTGGTCCACGTTAATCCGGAAGGCACCTGGGACAGATTGGCTCAGTTCCCGGCATTCTAGGGGGATGTGGTCCACGTTGATTTGGAAGGCACTGGGGTGAGATTCACTCAGTTCCTGGCATTCTGGAGGGATGTGGTCACATTGATCTGGAAGGCACTGGCGTCAGATTCACCCAGTTCCCAGCATTCTGGAAGGATGTGGTCCGCCTTTATCCAGAAGGCACCTGGGTCAGATTCACTCAATTCCCAGCATTCTGGGGGATGTGATCCGCATTGATCTGGAAGGCACCTGGGTCAGATTCATTCAATTCCCAGCATTCTGGGGGATATGGTCCGCGTTTATCCGGAAGGCACCTGGGTCAGATTCACTGAATTCCCAGCATTCTGGGGGATGTGATCCGCGTTTATCCAGAAGGCACCTGGGTCAGATTCACTCAATTCCCAGCATTCTGGGGGATGTGATCCGCATTTATCTGGAAGGCACTGAGGTCAGATTCACTCAATTCCCAGCATTCTGGGGGATGTGATCCGCATTGATCCGGAAGGCACCTGGGTCAGATTCACTCAATTCCCAGCATTCTGGGGGATGTGATCCGCGTTGATCTGGAAGGCACTGGGGTCACATTCACTCAGTTCCTGGCATTCTGGGGGAATGTGGCCCATGTTGATCCAGAAGGCTCTGGCGTCAGATTCACTCAATTCATACCCTGCCTCGCCTCCTGCTGTGTGACCTTAAGCAGGTTACCTTGTCACTCTGGGCTTCATTTGCCTGTCTGGAAAATGGAGGGTTTTGTTTTGTTGTGTTTTGTTTTGTTTTGGAGTCTCACTCTGTCACCCAGGCTGGAGTGCAGTGGTACAATCTCGGCTCACTGCAACCTCCACCTCCTGGGTTCAAGCAATTCTTCTGCCTCAGCCTCCTGAGTAGCTGGGACTACAGGCGCATGCCACCATGCCCAGCTAATTTTTTTGTATTTTTAGTAGAGACGGGGTTTCACCATATTGGCCAGGCTGGTCTCGAACTCCTGACCTCGTGATCCGCCCCCTGGGCCTCCCAAAGTGCTGGATTACAGGCGTGAGCCACCACGCCCGGCCAAGTACAGGTTTTAATGGTGCTCACCTCACAGGATTATTGTCAGTTTCACAAAGAGCCTTCCTGCAAGCATGGAGGTTAGTGCTCGAGCACAGAGTTAGACATTTGATAACAGTCACTGTCATTTCATGAGGGTTTTTTAATTGTGAAAAAATTGTCCTTAGTTACAGACACACACTCTGGGGCTTATGAAGATTACTTTAAATATTTAGTATATGTCAATTCTAAGTTAAAAGTCTGCTTTGCAAGTTACGAGAGCAATAGAATGGCCGCCGTAAACTGCAGTGAATACAGATGCCCCTCATTCTGCTTCTGACTCCAGTGGTTCCTGTTCTGTCCTGGGGCTTCCTCAGGAGGTGCTGAGAAGGAAAGAAAGGGAACACCTGAGGGGCACCTGCCCTCCCTCCACGTGTGCCCAGAAGCGAATGTGGGGAGCCAGGAGGTGGTAGGGTGCCCAGGAGAGCGGGAGCAGCATGGGGCAGGGCGGGCCCAGCCGAGGGTGGGACCTTCAGGCCCTCCATTCCCAAGCACACACACGTGGTCTCTTGCACTCTTCATCGGTGATCATTTTTCCTCTTTATATTTGTGTTACTTAATCCTATTATCTTTAAGGATGCCTTCCACATTTGTCTGAAAACAGAATTTCCATTGGCATCCATGAAAACCAAGGTCGGAGCTCCTAGAGTCAAGATGGTAATAAAAAGTAGCAGGGCCCCTGAGGGTGTGGATGCCACCCTGTCCTGAGCACCTTACAGCCAAGAGCTCCCGGGATCAGTTCATTAAGCCCATGAGTCAAGTACATTTTATTCCCATTTTCAGGGAGAGAAACTGAGGCACAGGGCAGTGAAGCCACTTGCCTCAGTCACACAGTTAGTGGCAGAGCTTCCTCTAAACCATGGCAGTGTATACTGGGCACCCAATCGTGTGAGTAGAAACAGGAATCTTCTAACTCACAGCATCAGACAATCTAAGGAAAGGGATTCCTGGTGGCACCTCACCCCGCGGAGGATGGCACCCGGAGCTGCAGCTGGAAAAAACAGAGGCCGTCAGCTTTGGGCGAGTGAGAGCTTCAGAGGGCCCTGAGCCCCACGGTGATCACGCATTCAAAATGTTTGCTGCACTCAGCTACATAAATATTACAGGGAAAGAGAAAGTGGAGGGCAGGGGAGAGGCAGCCTCACCACAGCCCCGGAGAACCAGAGTGAGGCAAATGTAGTTTTCCGGGCCTCCTGACCTGCCAGTCTCGGAATCCCAAATCCAGAGCAGCGGCAGAGGACAAGCGGCCGCGGGGAGTGAGGGGAGCGTGCTGAGGTGGGGGTTGGACCGCAGGAACCCCACCAGGCTGGCCGGGAACTTGCCTTTCACCTCCTGCAGGTGCCTCTGCCTGGCTGAGAAGAAGTTCTTTTGTGGAAGACCCACGCTGGGTGTTCCCATCTGGTTCTCTCCTGGACGGCTTGACGTTGCTAGCTCCAGTAGTTACCCTCCACTGCACAGCGAGTTATCCCGAAACTTAGCTTAACACAACCATGTTTTATCTTACAGTTTCTGTGGGCCTGGGGTCCTGGTGTGGACCAGCTGGGGGTTCCAGCTGCGTCCCTATAGGCTGTGCTGAGGGTGTCCTCTCAGCTCAGCAGCGGCAGCCCCAGGCCCTCTGTGCTGTTAGCCCCTGTCCATGGGCCCTGTCCACCAGGTTTCCCCATCAGCCGCCACCACCTGGCAGCAGACATCCCTCGGAGCTCGAAAGTCGGTCGGGGACCCCAGTGTGCGTCCTTAGCAGCCATCTCTGCTGCCTTTGCTGTCCTCCAGGCATCGGAGTGGAGTCACCAGGTCCAGTGGCGCTCAGGAAAGAGAATTCCAGGAGGACGGAGGCCCTGGGCCGTCTCAGAGGCTGCCGGCCACACTGACATTTCAAGAATGAGCCCGTTCAATTTCAGGATACTCCCTTTGCCACAGGCTCAGTTTAGGAGCTCTTCTTATTTCTCTATTTTTCCAAACTTTCGATACTTCCTTTTCTCCCCTTCATCTTAATTTAAGGCTTTCCACAAAGAGCTCTATCACAGCCCCTTCCTAAGACCGGTCTCCAACAGCAGCAGCTTGAAAACAGCTATTTTGGCCCCTCAGGTATGAAGGTCCCCTAGTGTTTCCTGGAGACACCTCCTTCTGACCTCAGCTCCTTCTGAGGGACGCGGGGCCAGAGGAGAGAGGAGCAGATTCGGCAGCGCGGAGCAGCAGGACGGCGGGTGTTTGAAATGGCACACACGCACTTTTCTGGTGGCATATGTTGTGGTATTCATTTAGCAAAAATCCATTTTTAAAACCCTGGACCTGTAGACTGATCAACAGATGAAACAGTGAGCTGAGCTGCTGCCTGCCTTTTTGTGTTGCCAGAGATTATTATCCACCATATGCTGGAAGCCTGATGGTGAGCCTCCGCCCCGGGGCTCTCACCAACGCCGCAGCACGCCTGCCGGTGGACAGGAGCCTATGGAGGGCACTGAGCCAGCCAGTGAGCGTGGGCAGGCAGCCCTGTGCTCCCCACTGGGCTGTGAGAGGTGCACACACCTCAGCTTACTTCTCTGAGGGGAGACACCCATGTTCACCAGCACCGACCAGGCTTTCTCATAAACTCAGAGCCCGTGTCAGTTACACCAGCACCTACCAGGCTTTCTCATAGTTACACCAGCACCGACCGGGCTTTCTCACAAAGGCAGAGCCCGCAACAGTTACACCAGGACCGACCAGGCTTTCTTATAAATGCACAGCCCACGTCAGTTACACCAGGACCGACCAGGCTTTCTCATAAATGCACAGCCCACGTCAGTTACACCAGCACCTACCCGGCTCTCTTACAAACCCACAGCCCGTGTCAGTTACACCAGGACCGACCGGGCTTTCACACAAAGGCAGAGCCCGCAACAGTTACACCAGGACCGACCAGGCTTTCTTATAAATGCACAGCCCACGTCAGTTACACCAGCACCGACCGGGCTTTCTTATAAATGCACAGCCCGCGTCAGTTACACCAGCACCTACCCGGCTCTCTTACAAACCCACAGCCCGCGTCAGTTACACCAGCACCGACCGGGCTTTCTTATAAATGCACAGCCCGCGTCAGTTACACCAGCACCTACCCGGCTCTCTTACAAACCCACAGCCCGTGTCAGTTACACCAGCACCGACCGGGCTTTCTTATAAATGCACAGCCCGCGTCAGTTACACCAGCACCTACCCGGCTCTCTTACAAACCCACAGCCCGTGTCAGTTACACCAGCATTGACCCGGCTCTCTTATAAACGCACAGCCCACGTCAGTTAAGAGTGAGAAGCTTTCATACCTAGAACCGCAGTGCTTTGTGAGTGGGTCAGAGTGTAGGATAAAGTCTGCATGGCTGTGGCCACAGAACTTCGGGTAGGAAGGGTCTGGGGGCAGCGCTGAGTGACAGGAGGAGACGCCCCTGGAAGGTGCATCTGGAGCTGCCGGAGCAGACACCCCCTGGCCTCTTAGAGTGTGTGTGGTAGAAGCACAGAAATGGCAGTGCTCACACGATGCCTGTGACCACATTCTATGGAAAATAGAGAATAAAGACCACCATCTTTTTGAAAGACTGATACTATTATTGAATTACTATTCAAAGAATAGTAACTATTATTAATATTATTACTGGGGGGAGGCTTGGAGGCTCTGGCGGAGACCCGCGGAGCTCAGACTGCAGAGAGGAGTGACTCCAAGCCTGCCTGAGTCTGTAGCTAAGAACGGAGCTCTCCCCTGTGAAACATGCCCTCAGTGTGTGGGTTCGCATAGGAGCCTGTGTGTTGATTGAGATTCTGCCACTGACCAGCTTCGGATACTTCATTTACCTCTCAGTACTTTGGTTTTCTCATCTGTAAAACTGGAAAAAAAAATGCATGAATTCCACGGTTTCTCTGGGAGTGAAAGGAAATAAAATATGGGAAAGTAGCTTGACAGGATGGAGCCGCTGCTGTCATGCTGACTAGAAAGTACTCGCCTGTCTCCACGTGTGCGAAAGCGTGCGTGTGTGAGAGACAGTGCATGTGCACATGCGTGAAATGATGAGCAGTCCGTAGCACTCACATGTTCTGAAGGTGAGGGACTCAGCATTCGACCTCAAACAAATGAAAGGCCCCGAGCCCACCGCTGAGCCAGCCAGGGTTCCTCGATGGGGAGAGAGTGTGCAGGAGAGGGTGAGGGTGCCCTCGCGGCCGCTGACCAGGGGCTCCTGGTGTGGGGAAGGCATGCAGGGGAGGTCTGGAGGCGCCCCTGTGTGTCCTTGGTTGATCAGATGAAAGGGAGCCAGCCTCTGATGGGTGTGAGGAAGGGTTGGTGGAATTTTCAGGGAGGGACAGGAAGCTGTTCCAGTGGACAAGGTAGAGATGGCCGAGGCTGAGGGTGGTGGATGGAGGGGACCAGACCCCAGGACTGCAGGAGGCCAGCCGCCATCAGCATAGGGGGATGGGGAATAAGGTCAGATAAGGGATGACCCGAAAAAAGTAATGGGATCTGATTGTGGGGAGGACAAAAGACAAGGAAGCCTCAAGCCTCACCCCAAAGATGGACATTCAGGACAGGCTGTCGTCATGGAAACTGGGAAACCCAGTGGAGGAAAAGTAACTGACTCTGTTGCGAACGTGCTTGGACAAGTGAGCCTGGTTTTTCCGCAGTGTCACTCAGAGGTGCTGTCTGTCTTAGTGCTCACCATGTCTGGGGCACTACTCTTTTGAAATGGCCTTTTCAAATGCACTCTTAATGGTGGAAGTGATATTTCAGATTTGTTTCTTTTTTAATACTCTAAAGCCATTTGGAGACAAGGACAGTCAACTGGAGGAGTGATGAGGTTAAGGTGTGGAGAATCACAAGTGAAAAAGCTTAGAAAACGTAAGACTAGATTTCTGGTTTTCTTTGGGCATATTTCTGAAGACAATTCCAAATGGGAATTTCAGAAATGACTGAGCAAGGTCGAAGTAGGTATATCACTTCCTAAAGTGTGTGAATGGAAACATATTAGGGAGACATATAGTTACATGTGGCAGATTCATGAGGGTTTTAAAAGTGGTCTCAGTACCTGACAGCACCCTGTTGCAGATTATATGCTAATGTGCCAGACTTGCTAGAATGCCAGCGTGCATCCCACCGCACTGACCGAGGACATGCGGCGGCTCCATGCAGTTGGCCACTTGGCAGCTGAGGGTGAGTCACATGGAATCCTGCACCACCAATGCTCCGTCTCAGTGACAGCTTACCCTGAACCTGCTCCGCACTGTGTCAGAATGAAAAGCAACTGGGCAGGGTGCGGTGGCTCCCGCCTGTAATTCCAGCACTTTGGGAGGCTCAAGGTGGGCAGACCACCCGAGGTTGGGAGCTCAAGAACAGCCTGGCCAAGATGGCAAAACCCTGTCTTTACTAAAAATACAAAAAAAAATTCACTGGGCCTGGTGGCAGACACCTGTAATCCCAGCTACTGGCAGCAGAATCATTTGAACCTGGGTGTCGGCGGTTGGCAGTGAGCCAGGATCACGCCACTGCACTCCAGCCTGGGTGACAGAGCAAGACTCCGTCTCAGTAAAAAGAAAAAAAAGAAAAGAAAAGCAACTGGCTGCTTCCTGAATTTTTGTTCACATTAGATCTAAATATGTATAGACATATTTGCAATATAAAATCAAAAAATGTCACTTGATGGTGATCATTTGATTTTCCTTCTCAGTAGAATCCAGGTACAAAGGTGAGCTTTGTCAGGCTGTTGCTGTTCTTTCATTTAATTGGAGCCTATTTTCATACATTAAAATATACATAGGCACTTTTCTTAAAGAATATGTGAACAGGACATGGCTAAGTTATATAATTGTGAAACAAACATTTACCTGAATTACCTGAATTATTGTTCTACTTTTAATTCCAAAGCAACCCGAGGAAAAGTTTCCAAATATTGTAATGGATGTGTAGTATGTAACTGACAAAATATGTGAAAGAGATTTTAAACAAAAATAGAGATGACCTGGTTATTCTTCACAGAATTATCTTGTTTCCTTTCATCTGAACATAATGGCACTATTTAGCCATTTTCAAAAAAGTTAGATTCTTGTTCATGTGGTAATGAGTCTTTCTTACAAACATTCAATCTAAGGAATTTTAGCTCAGTTTTGAAAAGAATATAATCTAGTTATGAAAATACAATATATATACTATACTGAACATCAACTATTAAATACGTGCCTTATGGCATTATTCTGTAAATAATAAAATATTAGATCTTTACAAATACGTTGATTAAAAGTAATAGATCCTCTATACTAGAATCTAGACAGTGAAAACCGGATTCACCTCTAGGGAGACTGCACTGTTTATAAGTACCTGTGCTTATGAACAGTATTTTTTCAAAATGCTACTTTTAATGGACAAAACTAATAATAGTAATAATGAAGCCTTGAGGCTTTTTCTATTCTTTGAATTATAACTTTGAAGTTTGGGGAAGAAAAGTCTAAACATCCCGACATATTTGTCAGCCAATCCTTCAAGCAGAAATGTTTGCTGAAACACATACTTGGTTTATAAGCACGTGGTTTCATGTAAGCATGTCAAGCCATTGGTGGGATATCAAGTCTATCTCATCATTGAGTTCCTATTTTTGGATTTCAAAAGCTTCAGATTCATCGGCATATGAGCCAGCATGAGAATTAATAATAAAAGCTGAGTTGTGTTGGTGATTTATTTTTCAAAACAAAAAATGACTTGCATTGTTCTGCTTTAAGTAAAGAATTCATATTTTTCTTGAAATAAAGTGAAATAATTTGAAAAAATAATTTTAGCATTTCTCAATTTTAAAATAAGGGCATTGATTTTATAGCTATATCTTACATTTGCACTGCTTACATTTGCATTGCTTATGTTATATCTAACATAAGCAATGTGGCAAAATCTTATCTTAAAAATCTTCCCAGTTCATGAATTTGTCCTGTGGGATAAACTCTGCTTCCAGTATGCATGGGTAGATGGTGAGGGCTCTGCCAAGACCCAGTATGCATGGGTAGATGGTGAGGGCTCTGCTAAGATCCAGTATGCATGGGTAGATGGTGAGGGCTCTGCCAAGACCCAGTATGCATGAGTAGATGGTGAGGGCTCTGCCAAGACCCAGTATGCATGAGTAGATGGTGAGGGCTCTGCCAAGATCCAGTATGCATGGGTAGACAGTGAGGGCTCTGCGAAGACCCAGTATGCATGGGTAGATGGTGAGGGCTCTGCCAAGATCCAGTATGCATGGGTAGACGGTGAGGGCTCTGCCAAGATCCAGTATGCATGGGTAGACGGTGAGGGCTCTGCTAAGACCCAGTATGCATGGGTAGACGGTGAGGGCTCTGCCGAGATCCAGTATGCATGGGTAGACGGTGAGGGCTCTACTAAGACCCAGTATGCATGGGTAGATGGTGAGGGCTCTGCCAAGACCCAGTATGCATGGGTAGATGGTGAGGGCTCTGCCAAGATCCAGTATGCATGGGTAGATGGTGAGGGCTCTACTAAGATCCAGTATGCATGAGTAGATGGTGAGGGCTCTACTAAGACCCAGTATGCATGGGTAGATGGTGAGGGCTCTACTAAGATCCAGTATGCATGGGTAGATGGTGAGGGCTCTACTAAGACCCAGTATGCATGGGTAGATGGTGAGGGCTCTACTAAGATCCAGTATGCATGGGTAGATGGTGAGGGCTCTGCCAAGACCCAGTATGCATGGGTAGATGGTGAGGAATCTGCCAAGACACAGTATGCATGGGTAGATGGTGAGGGCTCTGCCAAGACCCAGTATGCATGGGTAGATGGTGAGGGCTCTGCCAAGACCCAGTATGCATGGGTAGATGGTGAGGGCTCTGCCAAGACCCAGTATGCATGGGTAGATGGTGAGGGCTCTGCCAAGACCCAGTATGCATGGGTAGATGGTGAGGGCTCTGCCAAGACCCAGTATGCATGGGTAGATGGTGA
Organism: Homo sapiens; assembly: GCF_000001405.40. Classification (NCBI taxonomy): domain Eukaryota; kingdom Metazoa; phylum Chordata; class Mammalia; order Primates; family Hominidae; genus Homo; species Homo sapiens. The sequence continues at coordinate 157,697,041 of NC_000007.14, read as the reverse complement.
GGGCTCTGCCAAGAACCAGTATGCATGGGTAGATGGTGAGGGCTCTGCCAAGACCCAGTATGCATGGGTAGACGGTGAGGGCTCTGCCAAGACCCAGTATGCATGAGTAGACGGTGAGGGCTCTGCCAAGACCCAGTATGCATGGGTAGACGGTGAGGGCTCTGCCAAGACCCAGTATGCATGTGTAGACGGTGAGGGCTCTGCCAAGACCCAGTATGCATGTGTAGATGGTGAGGGCTCTGCCAAGATCCAGTATGCATGGGTAGATGGTGAGGGCTCTGCCAAGATCCAGTATGCATGGGTAGACGGTGAGGGCTCTGCTAAGACCCAGTATGCATGGGTAGACGGTGAGGGCTCTGCCAAGATCCAGTATGCATAGGTAGATGGTGAGGGCTCTACTAAGACCCAGTATGCATGGGTAGATGGTGAGGGCTCTACTAAGATCCAGTATGCATGGGTAGATGGTGAGGGCTCTACTAAGATCCAGTATGCATGGGTAGATGGTGAGGGCTCTGCCAAGACCCAGTATGCATGGGTAGATGGTGAGGGCTCTGCCAAGATCCAGTATGCATGGGTAGATGGTGAGGGCTCTACTAAGATCCAGTATGCATGGGTAGATGGTGAGGGCTCTACTAAGACCCAGTATGCATGGGTAGATGGTGAGGGCTCTACTAAGATCCAGTATGCATGAGTAGATGGTGAGGGCTCTACTAAGACCCAGTATGCATGGGTAGATGGTGAGGGCTCTACTAAGATCCAGTATGCATGGGTAGATGGTGAGGGCTCTACTAAGATCCAGTATGCATGGGTAGATGGTGAGGGCTCTGCCAAGACCCAGTGTGCATGGGTAGATGGTGAGGGCTCTCCCAAGACCCAGTATGCATGGGTAGATGGTGAGGGCTCTGCCAAGACCCAGTATGCATGGGTAGATGGTGAGGGCTCTGCCAAGACCCAGTATGCATGGGTAGATGGTGAGGGCTCTTCCAAGACCCAGTATGCATGGGTAGATGGTGAGGGCTCTGCCAAGACCCAGTATGCATGGGTAGATGGTGAGGGCTCTGCCAAGACCCAGTATGCATGGGTAGATGGTGAGGGCTCTACTAAGATCCAGTATGCATGGGTAGATGGTGAGGGCTCTGCCAAGACCCAGTATGCATGGGTAGATGGTGAGGGCTCTACTAAGATCCAGTATGCACGGGTAGACGGTGAGGGCTCTACTAAGATGCAGTTGTTTCACTGCCCTATTGTTGCAATGGACTTACCTTCTTTTATGATGAATAAGGACTTCTCACTAGTGTCTGATGCTCTTCCAAATATTGTCCTTGAAAAAATAACTACTGGTGGTTAATACATTTCAACTCAGAGTCATCCATATTTGTCTGTGGAAGTGTCTTTGTTCTTAAATTATCTCAATGCCAACTACTATGCTTTACTAGGAGGCTGACCTCTCAAAACATCTTGTTTTCAAAATGCACTCATTGTTACTTTAAAATGTTGTTTTCTTTAAATATATGCATGAAGAAATGCCTTATACACATACCTACAATATTTTTAAGGATCTATTTTTATTTTTATATTATAATAGTAAATACTTTTTAAAAATGGATTTAGAAATCAAAAGTATTTTAAATACTATTTGTGTACTGTAAAATTATAAATTACTGTCTTAGTTTAAAAAACAAAATTGATTTAGACTTCTGAAATCAAGAGTCTCAGGTGTTTTTTAAATCATTTTCTACCTTACCATATTATTTTAAATTCCTGAAATATGTGTTTTGCTTTATAATAATCATGTTTCCCATAACAGTCTTTCTCTATTTTGTTTAAAAATACATTTTCTTTGATAATTTAGTGCATGGGATATTTATTCTAATCACTTAAATGTGTAATCTATAACAATTTGGTGTTCCTTAAATTGAAAATGAGATTCTTATCACAGAACATTAGGTTTTACACATAACAAATGTGAAATGCACTTTAAAAGAAGTATTGGCAGGATCAACAAATCATTTTTAAACTATTTATATTGTGTAGCTATTTTGTAGGTCTTGGAGAATTTTACATATATTATATTTTTTATTCATCAGCCAAACAACCCTAACTTCTATATGAATAATGTACTCATTTGTCATATATAAATGATTTCAATCAACATGTCTCTCAAAAATATTTTGTGTCATGTTTAAAAGTTTTCTCTGAAAATGTTATTGAAATCATGTAAATTGAAATTTATTATTAAATGAAGTCTAAGATCTCATGACCAAAAAAAAAAGAAAAAAGAAAAAATCCTCACATCATTATTCATTCTTCAAATTAGCTGAATCTAGTCTCACATTATTGCCGAGACACTTTTCTAAAGTATTTTCAAGAATTAGAAGATACATTTTCCTGCCCTGGAAATAAAAAGGGAATTTAAAATAAAGAAAAATAGAATGGAAATCTGGCGAGTAACTTACCAGTTTCTGAAGCAATAGACTAAAAGAACCAGCACCTCAAATACAAACGCGTTCTTCTCATGACCCCCCTAGACTCTAGGGCTTAGAGTGTGGGTCCGCCTTCAGCTTTGGCGAGGCCAGTTCTGCAGCCCCACTGAGGTCAGGCCGCACCTTAGAGGAGGGGTGGTGGGAGGAAGGGGAGTGAGTTGGAGGCTCTCAGACATAAATAACCGTCTGCCACCCAGAATATATTGCCGCAGGTGCACCAAGGCGTGGACGAGGAAGTGTGCTGTTCTGCTGGTGAACCCGCATGGAACCTTTCAGGCCCTCTCACGATTTTTAAAGTGACCCAAATTGAACTGAATTGGTGCCACCTCCCACCCATCTTTCCTCAAAGCACTAGAAAGACAGGTCATTAAATTAAGATCAAATCAGGAATGCGGTGCTTTGATGTTGGAAGTGAAACACTGAGACAACGGAAGAAGGGACTAACGAAAAGAATTGTATTTATTTGTGTATTCACTGTCAGGTCATGTCTGTGAAGAAAGCAAAACCAGCTCTCTGGCCTGTACTAGGCTCCGCCTTGCTCTGGGGTCGCCGGCCCCGTGGCCGCCCCAGGACCCCCAGACGGCAGGGTCTGCGTCCCCCTAGCCCTGTCCGAGGCCCAGGGTGGCCGCGTGCGGTCTGCGCCGCCGTGGAGACTGAGGGGCTGGACACGGCCTGGCCGAGGGAGACGGCTACCGGCCACTCCTGGCCACCTCGGAGAGCTCCCGGCCGCCTGCTGGAGACCCCAGCCTGGATGAGGCTCCGGCGATCCAGGGCGAGGAGAGCCGCGGGCTGGCGGGGAAGGTGGTGCGAGGTCGCCGCGGGCGGGGAGGGTGCGCCAGGGCCCCTCTGGCCTCTGCCCGGAGCCGGCCTGGCCGGGAGCTCCCCGAGGCGACGCGCGGTTCCCCAGCTGCTCCCCGGCCCAGACCTCAGGTGCGCCGGGCGCTCGGGCCGGGCAGGGCCATGGTGGGGGCGCCGTCGCCCGCCCCTGTGCTCCGGGTCGCTGGGAAGACCCGCCCACTCCCCGGTGCCCCAAGGCCCTGCGACCGCAGCGGGAGGGTCGGGGCAGCGAGGGCAGGATGCCCCAATGCCCCAGCGGCCGATCCCGGGGCCTGCGCGCGTTCCCCGAGCCTACCCCGTCGCCAGCGCGGCGCAGCCAGACCCTAGGGCGCTCCCAGCACCGCGGAGGTCGGGCCTCCAGTCCTGGAGGGGTTTGCTCTGTCGCCACCCTAGGGTTCTGCGATCCCCTCCCAGCCCCCGCGGGGAGTCCCGGGAACACCACGGGCACACACACATCAGACACGCGCGCACACACAGACGCGCGCGCTGGCCGTTGCTATGGAGAGGCCGGTTACCAGCCAGGCTGAGGGCAGCAGGTCCCCTCCTCCGAGCCCCCTCCCCTCCCCGTCCCTTCTCTCCGCTGTCTTCCCCTCTTCCCGCCCCGGCTCCCGAGTCCTCCTCCCGCCGTCTCCGGCCCCCCGCCCCCCAGCGCCACCTCCCCTCCCCTCCTCTGTCTCTGCCCAGGGCCGGGCCTGGGGTCGCCCTGGAGCCTGGCTGGGGACGCCGAGGCACCGGAGGAGGGTGGCGGGGAGGGACAGGAACCGCTACCACTCGACTCTTTGCCCGAGAAGGTCCCTGGGAGGGCATCCCGGGCGCTGGGGGAACCCGAGTACCGCTTCTCTCTGACCTGCCCGCCGCCGCGCCGCCCCCGAGCCAGGGTGCGGGGGTTTTTGCGGGCCTTGCCCTGGGCAGGGGGGACGAGAGGGCCAAGGTGATGTACCCCGTCCCCGCCTACTGGAGGGGTTCACTCATGGGCAGAGGACGCCAGTGACGCCGCAGTTTCTCGCCTCTCGCGCCCCCGCCGAGCCGCACCGGGCCTCCTGCAGCCCGCTCAGGCCTGCGGGAACCATGGCCCGATGCGAGGCCACTTCTTTGCCCTGGAGCTTTATGAAGCGCTCTGGCCTTGCCCTATAAATACAAAAATAAATGCGGAACTCAGCCTGGGCCTGCAGTCAGAGGAAACGGGGTCCTTCGGCCACTTTTAGACAGGGGCCTGCAGCGGACGGCACCGTACTCATATCTGTGGACAACCCCCGCCTCTGAGCCCTGCCCCCTGGGGCTCGCCCCCAGGTTTTACAGAACTAGGTTTGTGAGAGAAAAGCGCCAGGCAAGGCCCTCTGCACCGAGCAGGTCTAGGGGCAGCGCCAGAGTGCAAGGGAGGGGAGGGGAGACTGTGGAAGCGCCGCCTGGGCCTGGCCTGGGGAGGTGGGGGGTGTGGAGGAGTTGGCCCCGGAGGGGCCGGGAGCGGGCGCCGCGGGCAGCCGGGTGTGCGGCGGGAGGGGCGTCGAGTGGCGCGGGCCGCCGTCTCCAGCTGTCCCGGGCGCAGGGAACAATGGCCAGGCGGTGGGAGAGGGGGGCCTAGGAGGGGGCCGCTGGGGTTTCCAGAAAAGGAGAAACTAAAGAGCCCTCCGCAGACTGTCATCTGCGTGTGACAAGATCTGCGCCCCCCTCTTCCTTTCTTCTCCTTGTTCCTGCAGCTGTGGGCCTCGGAGAGCGCATTGTACACACAGATGTTGGGTTTCAGCTCTCCGGCTCTCGCCAGCTCCGCGGGGGCGCCGCGCACCGGGGTGCCCCAACCTGTGGCTGTGGCCCGGGGTCCAGGGCCTGGGGAGAGAGAGCATGGGCGGGAGGCGCGGGGGGGAGGTGCTCAGTGGTCCTAGTCGCCCCGAGACCCTAGCTCTTCTCGCCCGCTGCGGGCCTGACTGCGCCAGGGGCCGGGGGTTATGTGGGCAGGCTCGAACGACTGGGAGCGTGGCCTGTGATTCTGCTCCACTCCTTTCGCCCGCAGAGCGGTGGTCTAGGCCAGACCATTGACCTGGGTAGGGGGAAGGGCAAGGACGCAGCTCGCACGCCTGGGTTTTCACCGCCGTCTCCCTTCGGCGTTTTGGGCTGGCGGCCGACATTGGCCTGGACCAAATGGTGGCAAAGTCTCACCAGTTCCGCGTCTCGCAAGACACTTTCTACGCGCATCGGGACCTAAACACTCGGGAGGACCCTGGTAAAGTGAGCAGAGGGGCTCTCGTCTACTCGCCCTGAATCATTGGCCTGCTTCCATTTGGAAAGGGAGCAAAAAGGCCCGAACGGCAACACTGGAAAAGGTAACTGGGAAGAACGATATGCCGTGCAATTTTCTCTTGCCAAGAGTGGCGACGCACCCCACCCACCCCTCCCAGGACAAAGGTCACAGCAGAGCCGCGCGCCTTGACTTTTCTGGCCGAGGTCTCTCTCCCCTCGGTGCTACCCTGAACTTGCCCAGTATGAACGATGAAAGGGAGAAACACTGAAAAGAAAGAAAAGGCGAAGGCCCTGGCTTCGGCGTTGTACCAATGACTGACAAAGCTGATGTCCATTCATAGTCTCGGGCGGGAGAGGGTGTTTGGAGAGCCGCGGCCCCTTAGCCAATTGCTGTCAGCAACATGTGGGGGGGGGGGGGGACATCGCTATAGCAACCGGTGGCTGGGCCGCGAGCCGCGCCGCCGCCGGCCGGGTGCGCGCCGGGCCGGATATAAGGCGGGGCGCGGCGGCCGCGCTGGTTGGTGCTACGCGCGCGGCCGGCGGCCCTACCGGGACCGTCCGGAGCCCGCCCTGAGCCCGCCCGCGCCGCGCCCCGGCCCAGCGTGCCTAGCCCGGGGGCCGGGCCGGGGCGGAGCACGCGGAGCTGGGCCGAGCGGCCGCGCAGAGCTCCGGCGCCTGCGGGCTCCGAGCCCGTGCCGCCGCGCAGCCGCTGCTGCTGGAGCAGCGACGCGCGGCACCTTTGTCTCCTCCGGCCGCCCTAGAAGTTTGTGGTCAGAAGCGGATGACCCCGCTAGTCTGTGGCTCCAGCGCAGGGAAGCAGCTGGCTGTGATGATGGCGCTGCCGCTACCCGCAGCTGCTGCGCCCCGAGGCCGCTCGGCCCGGCGCACGCCCCCACCTCCTCCCGCGCGGGCGCTGGGCGCCGGCCCAGCTGCAGGTAACCAGGGGTGCCGGGCGGGGCGCGGGCGCTCGTAGTGCGGTTGGGTGGGCCCTGGAAGAGGCGAGAGAGGCTGGGATGGGGGCGGAGGGAGCAGGAAGGGCCCACGAGAGCATCACCAGGCGCGTAGGTGGTGGGGCGAGGAAGAGAGCTTTCGAAGGCTGGAGGGCGCGCATGGGGGCTCTAACGGGCAACTAGGGCGTCGGAGAGCTCAGTTCAGGGGGTCTCTGCCTCGCCGCAGGACTCCTGTCAAAGGCTTGGGCCGGCAGGGGAGAGCTGCGCCTGGGATCATCCCCAAGTGGGTCTAGGGTGGGCCTGTGAGGAGGAGCGGGCAAAGGGCAGCTCCTTCTGAGCGCACAGATTTGGAGGGTTGGCAGCTGTCCTGGCCCAGCGCCCCGCAGAGACCGCCCCAAGGAGTCTAGGACCTCCGGGACTTCTCCCCAGCGCTCTTCTCTCGGCCTTTCGCGTTGCTCCCCACTCCCTGCAGTTCCGACCATTGCAGGGTGCTGGGGGTGGGGGGGTGCAGGCACGGAGATGGGAGGCGTGTGGGAAAGGAGGAGGGAAGGGGCGAGCAGCCAGGATGGAGAGGCGCCAGTGTGGGCGCATTTTCCTCTCAGCCCATTTTGGGGCGCTCTTCACCCTCCTCACCAGGGTCCGGGAGCGCGCCTCCGAGCCATGGGAGTATCCCAGCGGGCGGCGAATTGCAGGGAACCGAGGGGGCCTGCAGGGAGAGGCGTTCCAGAGGCAGGTGGGGACGCCTCTGAGAGGCCATCTCTCCTCCCCCAAAGAGAACTGCGCTTTCTCAGCGCCTCCCCCACCCCAGGTGAGGCGGCCGCGTGCTCGCCAGAGAGAAACTTGTGACTGGACCCGAAGCTGTTGGAACGAGGGACTTCATTTCCTTCCTTCGTAACTACCTGTGCAGTTCCGAACACTGGCCTGCTCCGTGGTTTTAGAGAAGCGTTGCTCCAGGGAATCGGGCGAACCCCCAAGTTAGAGTTAAAATCTCAGCACAATTGCCTTTTAGGGCCGGAGAGAGTCTCCCGCCCTTTTTGGTCCTCAGTGCGCTGAGCTGGGCGCTGCGGGCTGGACGGCTGGGAGAGGGGCCCCGCCACAGCCCTGAGGACGACGCGGTTCAAGTCACCGACCTCCGTCCTCGGACAGCGGCCCCGGGGTCCCGGACGTGGTCCCGCCCCCCGAGCTGCGCGTCCCGGCCGGCACCGTGGAGCCACCCGCCTGGAGTCCGGAGCGCAGGGTGTCCGAGGGGTCTTCGCCAAACCAGGCTGTCCTTGCGTCGCCGATCCCAGATTTTAGGACGCGATCGAACAAGAGAGGAAGTGAAGGTTTGTGCGGAGGAGGGAGCTGGAAGCTCTTCCTTTCACCGACACAGAGGAAAGTGCCCTCCCGCCCCCTCCCAAGCACACCCCTCTGCGCTCCAGAGAAGACGGCGGCGGTGGCGGCTGCGCCGCCCGGGGGCTGCGAGCGCCGGGATTCACGGGTGGACGCGGGCGTGGTTGGGGACCTTGGTCCTCCCTCGCGGCCGGCGCGCTCTGTGGCCAGGAGGCTGGGCCGCAGCACCCTCCGCGCCGGGACCCCTCTCCTGGCTCTGAATACCCGCGGCTCCCGGGAACCCTTGGCCTTTGTGTCCGGCGCTGGGGCCTGATCTTTATGACTCCTGTGGGGATGCGGTGAACCGGCGAGGGGGGAGGGACGGGGAAGCGGGGGAGAAAGCCCAGGCAGGGGACGGGGCCGAACGCTGACCCTCCTTTCCCTCGCCCTCTGCTCAAAGTCGTGCCACAGAGGGGTTCTGACAAGCGACGCTAGGCGGGTCTTGGGTTGGGGCTTCTGAGTCCGGGTAGAGGAGGCGAAGCGGTAACCCCCCCAGTCCTGAAGAGGGTCTGGTTCTTGCGGGGTGGGGAGGCCAGGCCCCGTCCCGAGAAGCACCTGGTGTGGAAGGCGCGCGTGCGTCCAGGCAGGCCTGGGGACCAGGCGGGCGGGCCAAAAATAGGGGTCAGGAGCCGGTGCCTTAAGTGTGATCCGCTGAGTCTGAGTTTGGGTGTCATGAAAACGCCAGCGGAGAGTCTGAAAGAGGCTGGGGGCGGCTTTCTCAGGGGCATCCTTCCCCTGCTCAGCCTCTGGGTCCCTCTCTCCCACCGGAGGCAATCTGCTGGTTAGAATTAGTTTGCACAAGGGTGCTTCCCCCTTTGGACATCAGTATCATAAATCTTCCCTGATGTCTTAAAACACAGTATTTCTTTAAAACTGATGTTTTAGGAGTGCTTAAAGATGGCAAATAGACAATTTATTGCCTTTCTTGTATATTCACTTTTAAGTGTATGCCTGGAAAAACTCAACAAATAGCCCATTTTAAAACAGTATATCCCAACTTATTTTCATTAAAGTTTACATTTAAGAATAATTTTTCCTTGAAGATTCTTTTCTTTTGCTTTTTTGGGTTTTTTGGCCACTTGAATGGCAGATTTGCAAGTACAATTTCATCTGCACGGAGGAACAATAGCTTTCAGTTGCACAAAGGGCTTCTCCCACCCTGAATTCAGACCGCAGTGCCTCTTGCTCTGATAATAGCTTCTGAAAAGATTTTGTAATGCAGAGAATTAATACATGATTATTTCCGCCTGACTTCTCTCATTTATTAGAATTCTGTGGCAAATTCCAAATTAAAAGTAGTTCCGTTAACAGCTTTAAAAAATACTTTTAAAATATTTTAAGACACCCCTTCCCCCGTGTTTTCAAGTTGGATCACTTGCTATGGCCTGAAAACTTAAAATGTTCATCAGCCCTAAAGTGAGTATTATATTTTAGTAATGCCTTTTAGTAAATTTAGAATGAAATTTCCTAATAATTCTAAGAGGATTCATCCAGCAAACCAAAGATAAACTTGTTACAGCAACTCATTAATGGTCTCTAAAACTGACTTCTAAGTTTTAAGAGAAAAAGGTATTTATAATTTAGTAATTTAAATGCACACAAAGATAGGATGAGGCTGGGACTGAAATCTGATTCCTTAGAAATGATACAAATGAAAGCATCAACAATGTTAGAAGTTTAACATTAACTGGCACCGAGCACCTGTATCCCTACGTCTTTATGATGCAAGCATATTTTAATACTGCACATCGTGACTCAGAGAATGAACTGCTCCTGTTAACTGGTTATATCACACAACCTTGGAAAAGGACTAAATCTGGCTACCCGTCAACACATATTTACCATAAAGTTTTGTATTTGTGTGGCTGTATCAGCTCTCACAATTGAGTTTGGGCATAACATGTCCTTTTTTCTTTTCTTTTAAGCTTACCACATGGACAGCTAAAAAAGTTCTGAAGGCATTTTCCCGTAAATGGCTCACAAGGGCATGGGGTGGAAGCCTCATGCACCTCCACTCAGGGGCACGGTCAAAATAATTTAAATTGGTCAGGACAGTGTCTGCAGATGCTAAGTTCTAAGACAGCTCCACAAATTGTCTCTGTGGTCATACACTTATTTTGAATCACAACTTTTGCAATACTGTCTATTCTAAATTTGAGGAGTTGCAGGTGCAGACGGTTGAGAGGAAGAAATATGCGATATTGTACTTCATCTTATTCTCAAGATAGATCTAACCTGGGATAAAATTAACTTAATCATTCCTGATTATTTTTTTAAATTATACTATTCCTGCCTCTGAGAACTCAGCACTGAAGTGTGCCTATCTGTGCATCTCCCCCACCCGGGACGCACCCCTGCCGCTGTGTTACCAGGCCTCCTTCTCCCTCCTCCTCCTCCTCACTTCTTCTCTGTTCCAAACTTTCAGTCATTGAGCTGCCGCTGTACAGAAGGGGGTGTTCCGCTTTTCAAAAACGCCTGACTGTAAATGTCAAAGTCATAAATATTTAAACATAATTTTCTTTCAATTTCAAGTCAAGACTGATAAGATGCCTCTAATTAGTCTGGGCTCTCTTTGGGGTCCACCCGCCGTGGTGCAGCCTTGGGGGGTCGGTGCCCATGGGGGAGATGGCGCTGAGGACCACCAAAGCCACACCTGGGTCAAGACTGTGCCTCAAACTCACTTTTAAACTCATTTCTTTCTCTTAAAGGCCATGGCTAGCAGGAGTTTGAAGATTTTTTTTAACTCCACAAAAAGGGAGTCAAGTCATTGTAAAGTTATTGGAACTCAATCACTTAGAAAAAAATTCTTTAAATCTTCGTTTCTTCCGGGATTCCTAAGACCTGACTTGCAGCCAACAGTTTTTCCCTCCGCATCACCCTCCTGCTCAGCGCTGGGTGGGACACTTGAAACCGTCCTGGGCGTGGAGGGAAGACCTCTTTCTTCGGTTTCTTCTGCGGCGCCCGCGGGCGGGTAGGAAGCGGGTTTCCCAGCCGGGCCCTGGGATCCAGCGACTTCTGTGTCAGGCCGGTGGACCCCAGTCGGTCCCTCTGTCCAGCGTCCCGCCCTTCCCTGCAGTAAGACCCTCCTCGCCCTCAGCCCCGGCGCTGCCCGCGGTCACGACTCCCCGGCTGTCCAGGTCCCGCGGCCCCGCGCGGTCGCCCTCCGGGCCTCCCCCGGCCTCTCCCAGGTTGCAGGAGGGGCCTCCTTGTGGACCGGCGCGGGGAGGTGGGCCTGGGGCGGCTCCCACCCCTCCTCTGCTGGGACAGCGCGGGCCTAGGCAGCAGGGAGCCGGGCGAGGTTGGTGGAGACAGGACTCCAGGGCACTGGGGCTCCTTGCTTCCCCTCCGGGGACTCCTGGGACCCAGCGGGGACCCGGGAGGAGAGCCAGGAGCTCTCCAGGCAATCGCTCTCCTTGACATTTTTCTTTGACCTTTGAGTAAATCCAAGCGCGCCAAGGGAGGCCTCCAAAGCAGGCCCGGTTCCGCTCCCGCGCGTGCGGAGCGTGTCGAGGGTCCCGGCGACAGCAGGTGTCTGCCTCCCTGGGAACAGCCTCGGCTGGCCCCGGGTCCCTCCTGCCGCCCGCAGACCAGGCCTCCTCCTCCGGCCCCCGCGCGTCCCCTGCCCTCACCTGGCCCGAGTGACCGCGGGCAGCGCCTGTGCCCCTTCCTCGGGGAGCCGGAGCCGGCGGTCGCCCTGCGCCTCGGAACCCCACACACCCGCGCGCACAGCCTGGGTGCCACTGCCGGGTCCGCCACACGCCGTGGCCCCGCCGCCCCCTCAGAACCAGGGTGGTCACCGCGCGCGTGTGGGCCTCACGGCGCGGGGCAGGAAGGTTCGGGAAGTCCCTGTTCCCGGGCGCAGTCATCCACGTGAGCGCGCGGTGTCCTCCCGACGCCGGGGCAGCGGGGCCGGGGTCGCCTCCGCGCTGGGGCGGATGGAGGCGCGCGGGGGCCATCGGCCCGGCCGGGATGAGGGGTGGGAGGGCGGCGGGCGCCCCCTCCGCCGGTCGCGCCGCTTCCTTTGTTGTTCTTGTTCCGTCGGCCAAGGCCAGGCGGGACCCGCGGGAGGCGAGAGGCGAGGGGCGAGGGGCGGCGAGGGGCGCAGGCCGGGCCCCCGGGAAAAGCCCTCCCGCCCAGGTATGGCTCCGGGGGACGCGGCCCCGCAGGCGAACATGGACCCTGGGGTGGGCAGAGGACCCGGCCCCTGTCCCGGCGCCGCTTGGACCCACACGCCTCTCGCATCCGGGGTCGCGGCCGCTCCTCCCCGCCTGGGGCCCCCCGCGCGCTCTAGGGTCCCTCGCGCCGGCCCAGGAGGGCACAGGGCGGGGCTGCCGCCCACCCGGGAGAACCAGCGCCCGCGCGGGGACCGAGGAGACCCCGGCCCGGGGGAGGTGGCGCGTGGCCGGCGCCTTAGGTTTCGTGAACGGGCTGTGCCCGGGGAGGGGCGGGGAGGGGCGCGCAGGAGACCCGGTGGGCGGACCCCGGCGGACTCTGGGGCTGGGTCGCGCGGCTCTAGAGTGACTTCTTTCTGGAAGAGGCTGTGTGGGCCGGAGGGAGGGGGGCGGAGGGGAGGGGAGGGGAGGAGACCGGGGAGGGGGCGCGGACCGGATCTCCACGCGAAGGGCGACCCGGCGGCGAGACCCAGCGGTGGCTGCGGGGTCCGGACCAAACGGGGTTCGGGCCGCTCCCCTGGTTCCCGCCCCTCCTCCCTCTCCCGGCTCCCTGCTCACTCCCCTCCCCCACCCCGCGCCTCCTCTCCCTCTCCCCCCTTTCCCTCTCCCTCCCCCTTTCCTTCCCTCCCTCTCCAAAGCCTCCCTCCCTCTCCGCGGCGGCTCCACCGCCTCCCGCCGCTGGAGAACCTCGCGGTCCTCCTCCGAGCCGCGCATCCAGGCAGGAAAATCCGGGCGTCTTTTCTCATTTAACCCGCGTTTCCATTAACTCAGTCCCGGCACCAGCTAATCCGCTGCACCGAAGGCAAAAGGAGGCTAATTAATGACCAGCTTTTCCAGTCAAGACCGGCGATAATTGCTTTGGTGGCCTTTATGATTACAAGATAAAAACGGGCCCGGCCTGACATAAGAGGCACTGTGTACGCTGGGAGACGGGAGGAAATGAAGAGTTGGGAGGCTGAATACGGAGCAGAAAATTACTAATAGAAGAGAGATAATGAATAGGCCGGCCAGGCATTCATGGGGAAAAATCCATTTTGTTACCACGCGAAATTAGGTGGTGGAAAGGGGTTTGCTAATTGTTCTCATCTTGTAGCAGCCAGGACCAAGGCCGGGCGTGCTCCCCCATTCACTCCCCGAGTCATTGTGCAGGGCGCGCGGTCTGCGGGGCGGCCTTCCCATTTTCCTGTGGCGTCCTTAATTGTTGCTAATATACCTTCTAATGAAGTTAATGAGGGGAGAGCCGTGCAACTATTTGCACGTGGAGACAAGTGAAATGCACCGAAAGGGCTTTCTCATATTTTCACCAGCCCTACCCCCGCCCTCCAAGAAGCAGTGAGAATCTGAAGGGTTTTCCTCGCTGAGAAGTGAAGTTCCAAAGGCTCTGCAGCTCCTTTCAAGGAAAAATACGTAGGTGCATAGGTGGCAAGTGTTGTGGTCTGCACCAGGCCACTCCTGGAGAGTGACTGGAGTCAGGTGGGATTCGACCAGCGCTCGCCTTTCAAGACAGGTGGATCCAAATCCCCTGACCTGGGAGGGAGAATGTTCTGTGAAGATGCACAGAGCCAGTCCCACGTTCCTTTGTTGCTGAAGATGTGCTGGACTTGGTGGCTACTTGAAGCTGCAGAAGGCTCCGGGCCTGCCCACCCTCCTCCACCGCCAAGCCTGGCCTCCCCCCAGCACCCCCGACAATCATTGTGCAAGCTCTGGACAAACTGCTGTGCCCGGTTAGAAGAAGGGATGGATACTTTACTTAAGGCAGCAAATTAGCTGCCAAATACGTTACATAAATTTGAAAAACAGCCACCACTGAAGGAAAAAGTGATGCCTCTGACTGTCCTCTTGAGCACGCTGCAATCTGCGATGTGCTATTTTCAAATGATTTCTGCTTCTCCTTTGACGGGGGTTGTTCCGCAGGGCCCTCCCGTTGTGGCTCCAGGGCCAGCACAGCGTCCTGTGGGGCTGAGCTTTCCACTTTCAAGTTGCATTTGGAGACGTGTGTTTTTAGGAGGTCATGCTTTGTCAGGAGCTAACACACCCCTCTCTCCTTGTTCTGCAGAAAAGCAAACTCAAGTTCCTGCCTCCTCAGGCGGAGCAAGAAGACTCCACCAAGTTCATCGCGCTCACCCTGGTCTCCCTCGCCTGCATCCTGGGCGTCCTCCTGGCCTCTGGCCTCATCTACTGCCTCCGCCATAGCTCTCAGCACAGGCTGAAGGAGAAGCTCTCGGGACTAGGGGGCGACCCAGGTGCAGATGCCACTGCCGCCTACCAGGTAAGAGGAGACTTTTTAAAAAGTGGTATATCGGATTTATCTGTTGAACAGGCAGATGATGGCGTTCCTCTCTGGCCCCTCCTCCATTCCCAGCAGTTGTTCCTGTATCATAGTTTGGGGTCTTTTATGAGGACAGTTTGGAACTTCTCATCAGCATTCGTGCAAATACGTTGCAGCCACAGTTGTGCAGCTCTGTATCCGTCTGCTCTTCTTGGATAGCCTCGTGTTAACTCTGGAAGAATGTTGTTAATTAGAAGTGTGGAAAAAGTACAGTACATGAATGATGTATTATCTGTTATCTTAGTTTGGCCACTACTACTGAAAAGTGCCAGAGTTGCGAGATCATTTGGCGTGTAGGTGTTTGAAGATGTCTCAAAAATCATCGGCTTCCTCGGGGTCTTCTGTGAAAAGATCCTTTGACCTGCCCAGTTGCCACCCTGTGCTGTTGTCCGGTCCAGTGAAGCCTAACGCTGACCAGGGGAAGGTGACCCACACGCGTCCCCATGAGGGACACCTTCTCTAGAGGCACCACAGACACCCCTGGAAATGAGCTGGAAACCGGGGAGGATGCGAGGAAGGCAAGTTCAGACCAAGTCGGGCATTTTTAAAAAACCACAGAGTTTCTGGAAGTTCTATGGCGCACATTTCGTATTTAGTATTGTCCTGTAATGAACATAGGCCTTCGGTTTTAACAGCAGCATAAGCCCAGAATACTTACACCAGTCAAGGCGTTTGATTCCTTTGCATATAAAATATCATTTAATTCCGAGAAGATATTCCCATCTGGGAAGGTAGGATGACTCCTTAACCACTGTTTTAAAAGTTTGGTCAGTACATGTGTAAGATTTCCTCATTGGACTGGATCCTTTGTTTTCTCTAGTCACATGATTACAGTGTGCAATACGTCTTGTAAATAATTCATCATTTTTACAGTCGTATGTAAAGTAAATATTATTATTCCATCATCAGAGTTACATGGGTGGGCTCTCAAGCTCTCTCCACAAAGCGCCCTCCAGCACCATACCCTCCTGCTGCCTGAGCTCCTTGGAGCTAGCTTTTCTATACTCTGTGAGCTCTCAGGACCCTCCCCCACATAAGGAATTTACACAATCTCTATGCTTAAAAGAGATTGACCACAAGACAGCTTTTCCTCCCATTTCAAAATTCCTGGTATTGCCATTGAATGGAGGAAGCCTCCAGTTTTCTGGAGAGGGTCACCAGCCCGGTCAGGACGATCTTTTTCTTACAAAGAAATGGCAACTTCAAATGTGTTGAGGCTGGCATTTCAGTTGCAGTGCATAGCTTTGCTTCAAAGCAAAAGGAAAATCACGTTTGAAGAAGCAGCCTGAAAAAAATGTCACATAAACTAGTAAGAATTTATCCAGAAATTCCATTGAGCAAGACCTTCAATGTAGGATGCCAGGTCTTCAGGCCAAGTCTGTGTCAGTACATAAATAAATTATCACACCAGTTCTGTTCCATGCGTGAGAGACGGAAGATCATACAGGCAGAGATTTTTAGAAAGCGTGGCGCCCTTTGATATACTTTGAAATTCAAATATAAAATATTGATAGAATGGAAAGGTTGGACTTGCATGCAGAAATGACTAATTTGAAAAAAAAACTGCAGGTTGAAAATGCATACTTAGGACTGAGTTTGTGATAATTAACAGAAAAAAAAAAGCCTTCCCAGTGACAGCTCTAATTAATAGTATCTGTAATTAAAATCATGCCCTTCCAGCAGGAAAATTGTTTGAATTTCTTGGAGTGACCTTTTTGCTGTTCCTCCTGAGGGCATGGTGGTTAAGTTGATATTGATTTTATAATGAGCTCCGGTTTGTTTAATAAGAATCTGTAATCCAGACAATAAATGAAATGTGTGCTTTTCTTCAATCCAGATTAATAAAAAGGAAAAAAAACTTTTTTTCTTTAAAAATGTGATCTAGGAAAATTTGGAAATGAAATGAGTGTAAAGACTTTCTGGTTGGTTTAGCTTTGAAATCACCACAAAATGCCCTTTAGGGAAGTACTTTGATTAAAGTGGGGGTTTGCCCCATCACGGTGGATTGTTTCCCGGTGAGAAAGTTCTAGGTGCCGAACCATTGTGTTGTTGTGATTTGTGTTTTGGCGGAGCAGGACGCAGTAGTGAGGATGGGACTGTATGATTGTTCACTTTGAAGTTAGCTGAGTAACGTGTCAAGGACTCAGACAATTGCGGTTACAAGGAAAGGATATTTACTTTGGTAAATGAAGCAGGTATTAATTCATTAACGTATCCATATCTCACTTGGGTTTTCTATCACAGCCATGAGTCCCCTGTGAAGTGTAAAAATCTGTTTGAAAAGTTTTTTAAAATATTGCAAACATAAAACAAATTTCAGGAAAGGTGTCTTCTCGCATTAATGTATTTATTTCTGGCTCACTGAACCTGTGTACTTTGCTGATTCTATAATCACAGTGAGGTTGTGGATGATAACTCTCATCACTGGGTTACAAGGAAAATGGAACAATTTGATCTTATGCTTTATTTCATGGGGACATGCTGGAACTACTCAATTCATTGTCTTAAAGCTTCTGAAAAATAAAAAGATTATTGTGCAAGGTAGGTGAGAGGTAGGTAACCTCGGAGAGAGAGAATGGTAGGTGGCAATATCATAAGTTTTATTAATATCAGAATATGAAGTTACACTTTAAACAAAAGAACTTGTGTTCTTACCTGGGGAAAGGAAGGTCAGGAGCAGAGGTGTTCTGATGGAGTGGAGGAGACGGGTGCGTGGAGGTGGTATCCTGGGGGGCACTGGTGGCCTCAGGGTGTAGAGCTGCGTCCTCCCTGGGGTTCCAAAAGGTGAATCCTCATGTCCTCTGTTAAACAGCAGCTGGGTTAGTGTCCTGGCAAGGCACTTCCCGCGTGACCTGGGGGGCCCTCATGTTGCCAACCTCTGCTAAAGCATTTGTCCGCCTCAGCCCTGATAATGCACGCACATCATTAGTGCTTGTACAGAACCCCCCAGCCCCGACCCCTGTGTGTGTGAGTCAGAGCCTGGGCTTGGGACCACAGGGGGCCCACGTTGTGCTCCTGGGGAGTAAGAGAGCTTTTCTTAAAATAGTTTTGAAGCAGTAAGGAGATTGAATTACTAGCTTCTAATGCAAACACCTTCAAACATGTTTACCTGTTTTTCCTCAAAATAGAACTATTTCATGGACAGGGTCAGGATGTTAGAGCTTTCTTCATTTACATGAGTGTGATATTTTTGTTTGCCTTACCTATTGGAAAAGCAAATCTTTTTTGACAGACTCTCATATTTTTGACACTTACCAGGATATCAACCCCATCAGATAATCCAGCCAAGTTTAATTTGCTCAGACTGGAGCAAAAATTGGGTGTATTAACTTTCAGAATAACTGAAATATATTCTTAAAGGTCATTTGTTTAACAGACTACTCGCACCAAACTTCTCCCCATTGTTTTAGTAAATGTTGTTTTTTCTTCTAAATAGATAAAACATGATATATTTGGATTAATTCTGTACTTCATGATGTAAAAATCCAATTTTATTGACTTTTATTCTTTTTTTTCAAATTGGCATAGCCTGTCATATATGCATATATGTGTGTATATATATATTTATACACACATGTACACACACACACACTAAGGATAATGTGAAGACATGGAAGAATTGTGATTTTTGGTACCAGTATACTTTATGCATTCTTTTTTCATGTAGGTGTCCTATTTCTATGGAAGGTGATTGGGTAAAAACTGTGCCAAAAATAAGTTGTTAGATGATTAGAAGACATTCTCCTCCTTTTCTCTCGGAGTCTCTTTGAATGTTGCATCCATTTCCTTGAGGCTTTGATCATCTTTGAGCAGCAAGTTTAGTATTCTGCCAGCCCACTCTCCCTTCCCCGACATGAGGGCAGAGACTCCTGCAGAATTTTCAGCAAGTTCTCTTTTGATGGTTTATTTCACAATACCCAGCAGGTTTCCTTGTGTACTTGGAGGCCTTTGGAACCAAACCCAGAGGAAAGCATGCATCCGGGCCACGGGGACCTCCTGTAAACACAGCGGCTAAGTGCACGTCTCGGTCGCTGCTGCTGCTCCCATTAGCAAGTGATTACAAAGGCAGTGACAGTGTGGTGGCAATTGCTGCGATCTGAGGGTGCTCAGTTGACTGGGGCTGGCGTGTCTGCAAGTCCCAAATGCACCCTGACTTCTTACCCCCGGTGCAGAAAGCTGAGTTCTGACAAAGAGCACAGGTCACGCCTTGGTTCATTCTCTGGGGCTTTAAGAGACCGTTCTTTCTCTAGGTGAGTTTAATCTTCAGGCATTGGTGTAATCACGAGTAATAGAAGTAGGATGTTCACAATTAAATTGGAAAACAGTGACTTTTACTGAGGTTTACTTGACCCCACCAGAAGTTTTTAACAAAGCCTTTTCAATCAGCTCTGTATCTTAGAATGGCTTTCCTCACTATATATTTAAATTTCCAGGTCAAAATAATATATTTTTTGCAAAACTCAAATAAGCAAAACCTATGCTGCTTCAAAAATGAAGGGCACCCTGTGAAAACTGTGCCAAATAGTTTACAAGTATAAAAATACAACATTAAAGATCATTTGTTATGAAATAATTATGATTAGAGAACATTTTATTGTAAAGTCAAGCCTGAAAATGGAAATTTTTCTAATTTTATAATCCTTTCCAAATGTAGCTGATAGTACAGATGTCTACAGTAGAATTCTCTTGAAACTTTCGAGACGTGGATTCGGTTTTGCAGATTGTCCGGGAACAGACTCCAGGCCCCGGGAGGGCAAGGCCGTGCCTCCCTCCTCCCATACTCCATGGCGGCACAGAACTTCCCTGGACTAACTAGGAATCAGCAAATGCTAAATGGTTGTCACGCTGGTGCCAAATCCCATGGTTTCTGATGTGAAGGAAATCGGAAGGAAACCTGCAGAATTTAGCCAGGATGATGAGGGTAAAGGGTACGTGTCGTCCCCAGTGTGGGAAGAACCTGTTTTTGTTTGCCTGTGTGTTCAGTATAGATCATCAGTATGTGGGGTCAGCCGGCTTGGTTTCTGCAGGCTCCATGGAATCTTCTAGATACCTTTTCACCATGAGTCTGAACGTTTTTCTGGAAAGTGCCCCTTTGAAGTGCATTTTTCTCATAAATCTGAAGTGTTCACAGATGCAGTTTCCAAAAGCAGTGTACATCCTGCCGTTTTGCCCAAAATGCTTCCTCAGATACAGCTCCTGAGAGATAGAGCTCGATCTTCAGAGAACAATGAAGTCTCGAAAGGTGGCCAGAGAAACCTCTAAACATAAAACAGAAGCATGCTGCTCGTTGGGGTACAGCAAGCCACTCCCCCCATCAGACAGTAGTCATTAGATCAGACTTAATTAAAATCACAGAGACCACGCAGTGAGATATTTGGAAATAAAAAAAAAATTGGAAAGTCTGAGACATAAAATGTGGAGGGCTGAATTCTGTGGCTTCATTTTGGCACTAGGCCATTCCTATGTTTGCCTTGACCTTGGTAGCTTTTCACACCTGGGTATGACTCGAATAACTGCTTCCTAAGGAAGCCACTTCCTGCTACACACAAGGAGGGGCGCAGGAAAGGAGGTGGGGGCTGCAGGCTTCTTCCAGACGTGCTCACCCTGCACTCCAGCAGCCAAGG
This sequence comes from Homo sapiens, assembly GCF_000001405.40. Classification (NCBI taxonomy): domain Eukaryota; kingdom Metazoa; phylum Chordata; class Mammalia; order Primates; family Hominidae; genus Homo; species Homo sapiens. The sequence continues at coordinate 157,677,040 of NC_000007.14, read as the reverse complement.
AAGAGGGCTGGGCCCCGGGAGGAGGATGGGTGCTCACACAGCACCAGGGGAGGGGCGGTGTGCGTGGTGTCTGTGGAGCGGGTGCTGCTTCCCTTAGGCTTGTGTTGTGTACCAGTCCGCCTCACACATTTCTCTGCCAGAACCAGAGAACACTTCCTTCTCGTCAAAGCCAGGGTCGCTCCTGGGGTGACCCCTGCATGCACAGCAGGTCCTTCCGAGCCCCTGTTCCTAGGCACCCCCTGTCCTCATCAGTCACCCACCCCGTGGAAAGGGACCCTGTGGAAAGGGACCCAGGACACCTTCCCCAGGCATCTCATTATCTCCCAACCCTGTTTTACAAGGGGGCAAAGTCAGCAGCAGATAAACTGAGAGGCGCCCCAGCCCACAGGGCCAGTGGCAGAGCTGCACTGGGCGGTCCCCAGCTGCGCTGTCCCCACTGCAGGGTGTTGAGGGGCTGGCCCGGGCTTTTCTGTCCCGTGGGTCTGGACAGCTCCTCCACCATCTTCCCTCGTAGTGTGAGGCACTGTGGGAGATTTGGGAAAAGGTGACATCCTTTCTTTTCTCGGTTGATGATTTCTTGGAGATGAGGAGTTTGCAATGAAAGTGAACCGGCGGTAAACAGCATTAGTCCACGCATCACTAGGAGGTGATTCGTGTGAAACTGAAATCAAATCCTTGGAGATGACAGAGGAGGGGCTGGGCCAGGTGGTGGGTGGAGCTCTTGGCGGCTGGCGGGAGATGGAGGCGTGGCTGGGGCAGGTGCTGGAGCCATCTGCAGGGTAGGGACAGACCCAAGAGGGTGGGCATTTGCAGGGCTGCCAGGAGGAACTGGGCTAGAGGGAAGAGGTCCTCCCAGTCAGGCCAAGAGTTTAGACAGGGAGCTGGGGTGTCGTGGAAAGGACTCGGCTGCAAGTTGTGTGCCGGCCCAGAGAGGTCAGCTCTTTGAGTTCGTGACAAGGACAAACCCTGCAGTCTGTGGCGCTCCAAGGGACGGTCCATGGCTCGGTGTGGCTGAGTGACCCCAAGAGGATCAGAAGAGGCACATTCTGCCTGCTTTCACCCCCCTCCGTTTCTTCCTTCTTATCTTATTCCCCTCTTGCCACACTTTTCATCTTTTAACTTTTTCTCCAATGGTGAAATTCATGGAAGAAAGGTGCCATTGCCCTTCCATTCCCTGGGGTGCGAGGCCCAGCCCCTCCCTCCCGAAGGCCGCCTTCCTCATCTATGAACTGGGGCCTCCTCTTGGGCCGCCATGCGGATGAGGGCAGCCCTGTGGGTGCGGGTGCCACGTCAGCTCTGAAGCGCTGCCCGAGGGTGACTTGCCCGGTCTGCAGCGACTGTCAGTGCCCGCGGGGCTGGGATGGGTGTTGGATTCCTGCCTGCTCCTCCCGTTTCCAGGGTACCCGTTTCCGCACACTTCCTCCTCGGCATGAGCTGCTCCCCTCCCTTAGACCTGATTAGAGAGGCGGGACACATTTTCTGAACTAAAACTGAGGACATTGGTGTCTGCAAAGCATGCACTTCCAGAGAAGAAAACAGAAGCAAAGCCCTGAAACCTGGGCTGCTCTGCAGAATTCAAGACACTTGATGGAAGGTGTTCGGAGAAGGCGCCCGGGTGAGCCAACACCCGGGTGAGCCCCTGTGTGGTCCGGGGCCCTGGGGGGTAAGGTCAGGTCTTGGTGCAGGTGCAGCCTCGGGCATCTGTGCTCTGAACACCTCACCTCCCAGCCCAAGGGGCTTCAGGGCTCACATCGAGGTGAGGGCTCGGCAGGAGGGAAGCCCTGGTCAGGTGGGCCCAGCTCAGCGGGAACCCTGCTGCCCATGGCGGGAGGCAGGCTCTCCGAAGGACGCGAGCCGCTGTGAAATAAAGTGGGTGTTGGGAGGAGACACTTGAGGGAGTAAAGGGAAGTGTAAAAAAGTGGATTAAACTGGGATTTCAAAAGAAACAGTAGGCGGTGGGGAGGAGATTCCAGCAGGCGGGTACCAGGAGGTAGGAGTGGGTGTGAGCAAGAGGCAAGTCCCACCCAAGGGGCGCTGTGCTTGAAGGCTGGGTCTCCCCACTCCCTGCCTGTAGCCTCTGCTCTCCCGGCTCCCCTTGGGGCCACCGTCCCTCGGGAGGAGGGCATCGTTGTTGGCAAGGAGAAGAAGCCTCGGGTAGCTCCTGGAGCCTCCCCCACCCAGAACTGTGCAGACCCCCCCGGCAGGAGGAGCTCGGCGTGGGAGGAGACGCCCGGCAGGGCCGGAATCTCCAGGTGACAGCCTCGTGCACACGACAGGGTGGGACTCCACAGGCGTGTACAGAGGTACCTGCGCGGGGCCTCACCTTGGGGCCGAGGGTCCTCAGGCCGTTGCTGTAAAGCAGACCTTCTTCTCAGCCTCTGCCTTGATGGGCACGAGAGAGAATGCGCCTCTGTGGTGAATGGCATTATCTGTGGTGAAATGCATTAGCCTGTCAAAAATGGCAAAGCCCAGCTCTTAACACAACACGTACACCGGCATAAAAGGAGGCAAGACGCTGCGCGGGGTGGTGGGATGAGGAATGATGGCTGGAGCCGCCACGGCATGCAGGAGCTGGGTGTTACAAGAGGAGAAAGCTTCGGGAAAAGCAATTGCACGTCAAACCGAGGAGGACCCAGCAGATGAAAGTCATTTCCAAATGTCAAACGGGGATCACTTCGAGGACGTGGATAAGGAAGGCTGATCTGCCGGCCGCCTCCAGCAGGAGTCCCCCCACCCTCGCCTCCTGGGGAGGCCTCCACAGGACAAGTCCCTCGCCGCCTGGCTGTCTCTTCTCTCCCAGGCCCAAGTCCCCTTCGGCCCGGAGCTCTCCATGGCTCTCTGCTCTGTGAGCCCCGCCTCCTCCTTCCCTCCCCTGCTGTGTTGGGGGTTCATTTTGCCATGGCTGACACGTGGGGGTCCCCAGAGCTGTGATTGGTGTTGGCCCGAGGGTCACCCCTAAGGATTGGACACCTTGGGTCTGGGTGGGCAGACAGCCTTGGAACCTCGGGATAGCTGAACTTGGAGCTGACCCAGAAGGCGTTTTCTCAGAAAGCTTATCGCTTCTAAGGGTAGAATCCCATATTCTGGAACAACGGGGACAGCAGAGAACTTGATCTTACATCAGAGTCGGCCCAGTCTGCCTTTGTGAAGGACTCCCCAGTGTGAACCCGGAAACAGACAACACTGTGACCCTAGGGGAGCCCTGGGTGCCGGGTGGGGCGGGCATGGGGCTCAGAGAACGCGGGGAGCCCTGGGTGCCGCGTGGGGTTCAGAGTACGTGAGAACAGAACGTGGGAGAGGAAGAAAAAGGCAACGGCAGAGGGGGCCTCTGTGGGGCGGGAGAGGAGCATGGAAGGGCCTGAGCTCAGAGAGAGAGGGGCCAGGACAGAGGGGGCCTCTGTGGGGCGGGAGAGGAGCATGGAAGGGCCTGAGCTCAGAGAGAGAGGGGCCAGGATGCACAAGGGAAATGGAGGGGCTTCCAGGGGCAGACAGCTAGCTACTCCTCTCCCATTTTTTCAGGTTTATGTGGACGTGAGGTGGGCAGAGTCAGGCATTTCTGCAGGTGTCTGAACAGCGGCTTTTCCTGTTCCATGGGGGCTGCAGAATAGTGCTCCCTTCTTCATCCAGCCAGCTGTTCTGAAACTTTGTTGCTCAAAATGTAACGTCTCCGTGGCTTTTCTGCTTTGGGAGAATTACTGATGGTTAAGAATGAAATCTTGGGACTGGCACAGGGGCTCACCTGTAATCCCAGCACTTTGGGAGGCCGAGGCAGGCAGATCACCTGAGGTCAGGAATTTGAGACCAGCCTGGCCAACATGGCGAAACCCCGTCTCTATTAAAAATACAAAAATTAGCCAGGTGTGGTGGCGTGCACGTGTCATCCCAGCTACTCGGGAGGCTGAGGCAGGAAAATTGCTTGAACCTGGGAGGCAGACGTTGCGGTGAGCCGAAATCAAAACTTCATCTCAAAAAAAAAGGATGGAACCTGGGTATGTTATTTCTCTATTAGCAAGTACAAGAGACTCACTAGAAAGGTGGCAGGTGTGAACAAGCACCCTTTCAAGATTTTTTAATGTACAGGATAATAATGCAGCCCCAGAATTGAGTGTCTGGGTCTGTGCTAGTGTGCGCCTCCAGGTACAGTGACTTGAAGAACAGATGGGAAGATTCGCAGACGATTACATTAGCCAGTAAAGCTACATGTTTTAAAATACATAATTCACTACAGAGTTTGTGGAATGTGGATTTGATATACAGGTTTAAACTTGGATTGATCTTATGCCATTTAATAGCTAATCAATTAAAAGAGTTTACAAGTGATAAGTGCTGGGACTATTCTCACATTGATGTATAACTGGACTGAGTACCTCTGAGGAGAGCGGAAGCTGGATTTGCCCTCTGGGTAGGCGTTTCGTCGCTTTCAGCTTTTTTGGTGAAGACGATGATGCAGGAGAGTGGACAATAACGCAATCTTCCTGGAATGGCCTTTCCCGACCTGGAATCACCTTTCCTGGCCTGTAAAACGCACCCTGAAACCAGAGATCGGATGTTCCTGAGTGGGAGGAAATACAATGCAGATTTTTTTTGCAAAACAAAATACTAAATTGGATGGAAACTGGAGCTGGTGTGTGAGTTTCAGAATTATTTCTGTCCCCATCCCAGGGATTTCTTATTCTCTACCAGATTCAAGGAGAACAAATATACAAATTGTTAAGTGAGCCCCAAACGTGAAGCTGAAATGTGAAGGGGAAAGTCTAGAAAACGTGTCTGATTCTTCTGAGGGTGGATTTCCAGGCTCCCCTTCCTCGCCCCGGGCATGCGTCTGTCTTGCTCAGGCCTTCCCGTTCCCAGTGGGCCCCTCGCTTCTCCAGGGGGGGTTTTCAGACACATCTTGAGATTTCAAATCAACCCCAAGTGAGGCGGCAGAGCTGACACCCCACGTGCGACCCGTGGCCCCTGTACCCCAGTCAGCGGTGTCCTCGGGCCGGCTGCTCCCAGCACCCTCTGCAAAGTTCACTCCCCAAAAACCCTCACACTCCCTCCACGACTCGCTCACGGGTTTTCCTCCAGGGCTGCTGCCCCACCCGTCCCCTTCTTGGGGTACAGCGTAGACTTTTAGAAACTCCCCGTACAGACCTTAGGGCTCAGCACCCTTCGGTCAGAGCTGAGACCTCTGAGACCGGGATTCCCAGCAGGCCCCCAGACCCTGGCCTTCGGGGGTCTGGTAGGAAGAAGCTCTTCAGGGCGTCCTTCAGGCCTTGTGCAGTTCAGGTGTCACTCAGATCAGTTTTAGGTAGAATAATTGGGCCCCAGAACGACGTGCAGTTCCGAAAATGGAGAAGCAGCTGCTCCAGTAGCCGCTCCGCCCCCAGCCCGCATGCCCCTGCCCTTCCTTTGGCTTAATTAAGCTGTGGTGGCCACCGAATGGAAGGATGTGAATACCTTTTGTGTCCCTGGGCTGGGCTCCTCTGCTTCTGAGCCTTTGTTTGCCCGGCTCCCTCCGTTGCACCGCCCCCCCTCCCACTTTATCCCTGCAGACCCTCCCATCTGTCCAGCCCTGTGCAGACCCCCGTCCCCTGAGCTTCCATCTCAGCCCGGGGTGGCCCGTCCCATCCCGAACACCAGGGCCCTATTCATCCCTACCTCCCCTTTATCCCTTCTGCCGCCTCTGCGGTGACGTCTCGTCACCATCCCTCCAGTGTAGGGTGACTTCCTCATTGTGTTGGATGGAGGCAGGCCTGGGTGCAGAGCGGGCCTTGTTGCCCACACCAGACCAGCCCGTGTGGGGACAGCCTTGGCTTCCCAAAGGCCAGGTCTGTCCAATAGACCCACAGCACCCACCGGGGACCTTTACATGCTCGATAAGAATGAATCGATACATTGAACTAAGATCTTGATGTGGTAAGAGCAGGTCTGTGGGCAGGGGACGGGGGGCGGGGGAGCATGTAAACCCTCTTGGAAACCATCCTGTGCAATTCTCAGGTCCAGAGTCCTGCCCGCCCATGGGGAGTCCTCCCTACGCGCTGCAGGCTGAAGATGCGGGTGATGACAGGGATGGCACATGAAAATCAGCCCTTATTCTGAGCAAAAAGAAAATTAGGAAGGTGCAAAAGTTTCTTGTAAAAAAAACAGCTGCCCGTTCTCTACTTCCACGTCAGGCCTGGGCTGCTCTGAAGGCGGATGACTTGTTTCTTACTGACTGGCTATTTTAAATTGTCTGACTATGAAACTGAAAAGCAAGGTTCAGCCTGTGGGGCCTCTCAAGGCTGGCTTTGCTCACAGAGGTCGTGTTGGATCTGTGAACTTTGAAGGCACCACTGACTTTTTTGGAAGCCCTTAGAACTTAATTGCCCGGTGAGTCATCCTCCGTGGGAGCCGGGAAGGGAGGGATTTGTCTCACCAACGGCAGTCTGGCTGGAGGGGCTTTGCTGCGGTGTGACTGGGGTCTCCCATGACAACGGGAAGGGTTGCAGGCATCGTGGGTTAAAGGTGCTCCCTCTCACATCTAAGATGCCACCTTTATGGAAGCATTAAAGACCATCACAGAAGCCGGTCTTAGACATGGGCTGTTCCAGAGAGAAGATGCTCATTAAAATTCTGTGTTTCCTTCCAATGTCTTTATTTTCACAACTGTTTCCTGGTTTCAATCTGATGTTATCAGGAGCAGAGCAAATGAAGAAAATGAATGTCTTTAGTCTTAGGGGAGAGGCAGTCCCTAAGAAAAAGGGAGGCAGGAGGTCGGGTTTCAGCACGTCGGTCACTCTCGGATGCAGCTGACCGCGGGTCCCGTGAGCCCGTACGTGCCTTCTGTGCTTCACGTGGAGCACCTGCGTTTCCCAGCCACCCACCAGGGGCTTCAGGAGATTCAAACACAGCCCTCACCTCCCCAGAGCAGGAAGCCGCAGCTGTCGGCCGGCGGGGGCTCGATGCAGCTGCTCCAGCCGTGCCCCTTGCTGCTCCCCCAGGGCTGCCTTGGTGTGGGACACTCGGTCCCTGAGCGAGCCGTGATCTGGAGGCCAGGGATGCTGACCAGTGTGCAGGGGCTCAGCGAGGGCCCCTCTGCACCACGTAGATGCTGTGGGTACAGAAAGCAGACAGAAGGACTTCTGCTCTTGAGTGTGGGAGGCAGGGGTATGGACGTGAAAATAACTAGGAAACAGCACACGCCTGGATGCCCGGAGCCCGGCCTCGAGGTTGTGTGGGGACTCGAGAAAGGGCTGGTGCTCTGGGCGCCGCAGGGATGGGGGCTGAGCGAGCGGAGAGGCCGCTTTTTTCCTACTGATCTTAGGCTGTTCCAAGACTGTTCCACATTTAGAAGAGTGTTGAAAATTATTTTTCACTTACATGAAACATGTCTATATCTTTAATTTTTGTTTTGAGAAAACATCTTGCGAAATGGGAAGAACTCACTCCATATTGCTTGGCCAACATCGCTCATCGTGGGCTGACTCGGCTTGTTTGCCCGTGCGTGGAACCCCTTCCTGCAGGAGCTGTGCTTACAGCCCCTGACTGGGTGTCGTCGTGTGTCAGGAGCGGGGAGGGGCCTGCAGAGCTCTGTGGCCCTGGCTTGGGCGCTGCTGTCAGGGGCATCCTCCCCTGGGTGTGTGTGTGTGTGCGCGTGCAAACACGTGTGTGGGTTGTTCTTGGTCCAAGTGTAAAAGTTACCTGGACACCAAGGAGAAGCCACTGGAGGCGGTGGGACTGTGTCACCAGAGCAGCGTTGGCCACGTGGGCCATGAGCCGAGGACGTCCCCGGCTTAGATCACGGACAGGCTCGGCTGCCGGGGCCCTGACTCCGTGGCAGAAGAAGGGAGGCTCCCCTGGCATTCAGGGGCGGCCGTGGGCCATTTGCTCTCCAGAAGTGAGCGTGGCCCTGTGTTCCCTGAGGTCTCACAGGGCTGCCCCAGATGCACCCAGACCCCGGAGCACCTTGTAGCGGTGCCGATCAGAGACCTAGCATGGTGGAGTGTTTGTGTAAAGTCGCTCTCCTCAACGAAATCATTGGTTACTGCTCCTCTGCTCCCAGCTGGCCTTGCTGGCCTAGCATGTGAGGCGGTTCCTTCTGAGTCCCTCTGAGTTTTATGATGAAATAAAATCAAGTAAAACTGTGTCATGATCGGGGAGAGGTGATTATACAAGAAACCTTTTTTTCTTTTTTTCCCCACTATGACACATGACCCCGTTTAACAACCTGGAATATTTTTCCCCGGCCTTTTCCCTGCACACGCTTTCTCAACATTTCACCTTCCTGTTTAGATTTCCTGTCGTCACGTGCCCTGCAGCCTCAGTGTCAAACTGACAGAGCGCAGGCTTTTTCCTTAACCGTTTTACATTCGAGCCACCTGTGGTTGCACCGGGCCCCGCGGCTTCTGCTGTGTGTTGCCCTCTGAGCTGAAGGCCAGGGCCCTCCCCAAACAGAGCCGGTTCCCGTTCACCACGTTCTCTTGGTGCCACGTCCAGTCTGGAGAGTGGCCTTTATTCCTCCCCAGCAGAGCCCAGTGAACCCACTTTTTCCTGCCCAGCTTTGTACGTTTAATTCCTTAGTGTTGTCCTGTTACTAGTGATTACACTCTCGAAATAACCCTAAAAACCCAAGGCTCTCTGTGCGCACACTCGGGCAACACGGCTTCATTCAGTTGGCTCCCGGAAGCGTGCAGAGAGGTTTTCCTGAAACCTTTGTTGTCCTGGTCTTCTTTTGGCAGAATTCAAGAATGACAGGTCTCTTCTCTGAGTGATTTCCACTCTGTAATTTTCTCCATCAGATGCTGAGTTAAGAGATGAGACATTTGCCTTGTGATGTGTATGGATGAATTTCTGCCCCCAGAATCCTCTTCAGCTTATTTTGCACATTGTGTTATAGAGAAGTATAAGATACTTTGAGGACTCTGCGGACACGCCCAGGGCCCCGGCCTGGGCACAGCAGAGGAGCAGGCGGCTCTACGGCGAGCGAGGACTGTGGTGTCCGAATGTGCCGTGCTGACCATGGCCTCCTCTGTTTGTGTGCTCACACCTGAGGAGCTGCTCAGAGCACGGGAAGCTTTCAGGGTGGGGGCTCTGGGTGCAGCACTGTCCTGCGGGGATGGTCCCACGTGACTCTGCCCAGGGCAGGGTGCTGGTGTGGGCGCTTGCAGTGCCACTGGGCTCACACTCACAGTTCCAGTTGGCTCTGGATGTGTTGGAGGCAGCACCGAGCTGCAAAAAGATCAATTTTTCACATTTCCCTGATGGAGAGTTTCTGCGCCTGGGTGCGGACGCGCTGGGTTTACCGTTCCTGACAAACGCTGCCCCGTGGGGAGGGTGTTAGGTCGTGAGGCACTAGCATCACATTGAGTTTTGCGGTGGAGCATTTCCATTTAGGGCAACAGTGGAAGACGCCACCATCTTCTTTAAAAATGCCTAGTTACTCTAGTTTTACTGAGAGGGAGGAGGCAGGGAGAGGGTCTCATCAGCAGGACAGAGTGGCCAGAGGGTCATCCAGTGCGGACAGCCCTGGGGGTCTGGCCTCCTTGGTATTGTGTCCTGGAAGGAGGCCCTGCCAGAGGCCCCCAGCTCCCGTGAGGCTGTGTGGCTTCTCTGTGCCCAAATGTAGATGCGGGCACTGGCAGGGGGATGCCCACACCCGTGTAAGATCAGTGTCCCACGGGCCGAGTGTGCAAGTCAGGCTGTGTACTCGTTGCACCCACCTGAGATCAGTGTCCCACGGGCCGAGTGTGCAAGCCAGGCTGTGTACTCGTTGCACCCACCTGAGATCAGTGTCCCACGGGCCGAGTGTGCAAGCCAGGCTGTGTACTCATTGCACACACCAGAGATCAGTGTCCCACAGGCTGAGCGTGCAAGCCAGGCTGTGTACTCATTGCACACACCAGAGATCAGTGTCCCACAGGCTGAGCGTGCAAGCCAGGCTGTGTACTCATTGCACCCACCAGAGATCAGTGTCCCACAGGCTGAGCGTGCAAGCCAGGCTGTGTACTCGTTGCACCCACCTGAGATCAGTGTCCCACGGGCCGAGTGTGCAAGTCAGGCTGTGTACTCATTGCACACACCAGAGATCAGTGTCCCACAGGCTGAGCGTGCAAGCCAGGCTGTGTACTCATTGCACCCACCAGAGATCAGTGTCCCACAGGCTGAGTGTGCAAGCCAGGGCTCGTACTCATCACACCCACCTGAGATCAGTGCCGCATGGGCCAAGTGTGCAAGTCAGGCTGTGTACTTGTTGCACCCACCTGAGATCAGTGTCACACGGGCCGAGTCTGCAAGCCAGGCCTTGTACTCTGTGCTCCACACACATCCACCCTCAGAGTCCTCCCAACAACTCTGTGGAGCTGCTCTGCCTTCATCCCCATTTCACAGATTAAAAACACACACGCAGCTTTTGGCAGCCTGTCCAGTGGCACACAGCCCCGGGTGATCTGGACCCAGAGTCCTGGTCCTCAGCCTCTGCCTTACACGGCCACACCGTGCAGATCTCAGCTCTGTCTTGGCTTGCTTTTTTTGCCAATAATGGATTTCATTTTCTACTGTGGGGTTTTTTTTTTTTCTAACACACTAATGGCTCTGGAATACTTTCTTCTCAAGAATAGAGGCACATTATAATCATTGATATTTTACTATGGAGATGACCTGCAAAACCGTGCCCTTTTTCCATTATTGCAAATGCGTCCTTCTCACTGGGAATTTGACATGCTATCCTTAATAATTTTCTTAATAACTTTCTCAACACCTAAGAGGGGCCAGACAGCTAAAAAGCTACAGAGCAGCTATACTGAGACGCAGGGACCTTCAGAGCTTTCCGGAAAGATGTGAGCTCCATCTCCAGGGACAGGCATTCCAAAAATGCAAGGCAGCATGGCACAAAAATAAATGACTTCCCCTTTGTACCTGGAATTTTTTTTCTTTTTTTTTTTTTAATTATACTTTAAGTTCTAGGGTACATGTGCACAACGTGCAGGTTTGTTACATATGTATACATGTGCCATGTTGGATTGCTGCACCCACCAACTCGTCATTTACATTAGGTATTTCTCCTAATGCTACCCCTCCCCCTGGCCCCCAGCCCCTGACAGGCTGTGGTGTGTGATGGTCCCCGCCTTGTGTCCAAGTGTTCTCATTGTTCACTTCCCACCGATGAGTGAGAACATGTGGTGTTTGATTTTCTGTCTTTGTGATATTTTGCTGAGAATGATGGTTTCCAGCTTCATCCATGTCCCTGCAAAGAACATGAACTCATCCTTTTTTATGGCTGCATAGTATTCCATGGTGTATATGTGCCACATTTTCTTAATCCAGTCTATCATTGATGGACATTTGGGTTGGTTCCAAGTCTTTACTATTGTGAATAGTGCCACAATAAACATATGTGTGCATGTGTCCTTATGGTAGCATGATTTATAGTCCTTTTCTTAGTTCACATATATATTGTTTTTTCTTCGCTGCTAAAGAGTATGAATTGGGAAGAGAAAAGAAAACAGGTTTCATCCACACCCTGGTGGGAGTGGCCCCGTGGGTGCCTTCAGGGCCAGGCAGGCCCATGCCCAGCCCTCAGTGGGATGGAGCCTCCGTCCAGCTCCTCAGAGTGGGGAGGGAATTCGCAAGTGCCGCCGACATCGCAGCTAAATCTACAATCAAAAGAGTTATGTGGTTACATCTACCTTTCTTCTTCATTCATATTTAATTACCTGTTGGTTATTGAGTCACGCAAATGCCACAAGGTCTTACTCATCCTTACAAACTCAAGGTCGCCAAGCTGCACACACTGGGCCGCTGTGGCTGAAGGTGCATAGTCGCGGATCATAAACAGAGCCATCTTCGTGATTGTTAGGCTGAGTCTGGATCTTAAATAGAAGATTTTCCTTTAAGTGAAGTGGCTGGAAGGATTGGACCTTCTGTCCGGCCAAGATCTGTTTGCCAAAAATGTGTCAGTGCCCCCAGGCCAGGCTGTGCAGGGGAGGCCCTTGGGCCCCTGCAAGCAGGCGCTGTGGAGGGGCAGGTCTCGGGGCTTCCTGCTTGGCACCACTGCCGGTTAACCCCTTCAGCAGGCTCGTGTGGCCCACAGGCCTCACTCTGGGGTGTTCACCGTCTGACCAGGAGAGTTTTGTTCCGGGTGAGGATGCACCCTTTGTGTTTACCGAGGATTATAAATCAGGGAAATTTCAAAACATGATGGGGCTGGCCTCCAGCTTTCTCTCAGAGGAGGCTCATGTTGTTGATTTTGCTTTATAAATTATCTTTTGCTCAAATAAAATGCTCTCGAGATCATAGCTCTGTATTTTTGGCGGGTGTAGGCGGACAGGGTCTTGCTCTGTCACCAGGGTTGGAGTGCATTGGTGCAATCATAGCTCACTGCAGCCTCATCCTCCTGGGCTCAAGTGATCCTCCCACCTCGGCCTCTCAAGTAGCTGGGAGTACAGGTGCACGCCACCACACCTAGCTAATTATTTTTTTGGAGATGGGGTCTCACTATGTTGCCCAGGCTGGTCTCAAACTCCTGGGCTCAAGGGATCCTCCCACCTACTTCCCAAAGTGCTGGGATTACAGGCGTGAGCCACCACGCCCGACTACCGTTCTGTATTTTAAACTCACCACACAGAATGGTACTTAGAGTATTCGTAGTGGCGATGGCCATTTCTGTCACTGGCTGACAGGAGCCCCCGCTCTGTGCCCTGGGCCCCCACAGAAGTCTGATAATGAACGCAGGTGATACGGGCAGCGGCTGCTCTCGTCTGATGGCAGTTCTGGTGTGATGGCAGCTGATGCTGTAACCTTCAACTGAGGTTTTAAAGAAGTATGTGTGCCACGCTGTCCATTCAGTCATCGCCTCAGCGGTCAGCAAGCTCACGCCTCCGTTCAGCACCGTGGATGCGACTGCCTTTTCAGGTGTGGATGCTACTTTTCAATGAAGAGTGAGGAGTGTGGCCCCCTCCCCCGCTGTAGCCAGTCACTTTCTAGTCTTGGGAGGGGAAAAACAGCTCCCAGTGGCATCTCCAGTGAGCCCACACTGGCAGCCTTGCTTAGAGGGTTAGAGTCACCTCATGCAGGGTGGAAATGTCCCAAATTATAACCTAGAGCGATTTCAAATGCTGTGAGGTTTGTCTCGTTGGCACTGGCTAAACCATTACTAAGTCAAGTAGCGTTCTACATTTCTTATTCCATTCTAGTAAGAAGTGTGTTTTTCCTTACAAAATTTTTAAATGTTAAGGTAAAGGACTGAGAATGGACAGACTATAGAATTTCCATTATGAATTTGGAAACTATAATCAGCCTAAAGGACCAGTGAATGAGACCACATGAGATGCCCCTCAGTGCTTTCTCCAGCAAGCCATGAGGCAGAATCCAGGCTCCTTCCTGGCTTCCCCCACGTCTGGAGATTCCCAAGAGTGTCCAGGGAAGGGTGGAGAGGGAGGGGCCGGTCCCCACTGTGAGGAGCTCTGGCAGGTGGCCCAGAAAGGGGCCACACAGCAAGGGGAAGGGACGCTGGCAGGGGCAGGCCACAGTGAGTGGGAGAGGCAGCGGCCAAACGTCCCAGCCCCCGTCCTTGGAGGGAGCTGGCCCGACCCCGTTCCCCGTGAGCGCAGCAGACTGGCGCATTTCCAGCTCACTTGTGAGGAATTTCTGTTTCTGTCTCCAGTAGATAGATGTGGCTTTCTTGTGTTTATCGCCAAGGGAGACACCAGGAGTTGGGCCTGCAGCCACGTCTTCCCAGGGGCACGTGCAGGACGGCCGACAGCCAGTGCCGCTGGGACTCCAGGGTTTAACTTGTCAGTGTGATGTCATCACGGTTTCCACGCGCACAGCCCTTGCTCAGTGACCTCCTCGCGGGCCTGGTGCGCTGTTCGCCCCTTGCCACCCCTGCCGTACCTGCAGGGAGTCGCCGATGCCCGGGGAACTTCTTCCCAGCCTGGGTTATGGCCGGGGGTGGAGCTCGGGCTGCAGAAAGTGGCTTCGCGGCCAAGCAGAATGTGGCAAAAGCAATGCTTTGTGGATGTCCTGAGATACGGCGTGAGGCAGGACACTCTTCAGTTGGTCCCATGACAGCCACACTGACTTAGCAACAGCTGGGTTGAATGAGGTGTGAACTTCTGACTGAACCGTGCTGCGTGAACGTGGCTGAGCCGTGAGGTTAGGTGGGCGGTGGATGCAAGGCCTTCCCTTCAGACCCTGCATGCACAAGAAGCACACGGTCGGCAATGTTACTTCAAGCTTGTAGACATCGGGTACATCCCATGTCCAAAAAGAAGGCTCGCCCTGGAAAAGCACATTCCGAAAGCAGTCGCGGCATGGATGCAGAGCGCTGTGCCCGCAGCACTGCCCACCCAGGAGGCTGTAGGGAGTGGCGGCCCCTTCTCTCTCCTCCTCCTCCTTCCTCGCCCCGTGGAAGCTCTTACGCACCTCCAGGCCCCATGCCTGCTCACACCTCCCCATCTCTGCAGGTGCCATTGCGGCCTAGCCTTGGGGCCTGAGCCTCTCCTGCCTAAAGCTTTCTTTGACCTCAAGTTCAGGGAGGGTCCCCTCCTCCCGGCCCCACGGCACCCCTTCCCACGAACGCCCAACACGTGCTGTTGCTGTCATTCCCATCGCTTCTTGCGGTCACTCGTGCCCAGCTCTGGGTGGCGTGGGAGTGCTCGGGGGTCAGGGCCCGGCGAGTCTGACCCAGCCTGGCTCAGCCTGGTGTTCCTGGCACCCTGTGCAGTGCTGACTCGGCAAGGGACCATAGCAAACCTGATTTTGAATAAACTAATAATCATCGTAGTAGGAACAGCAAATAATCACCTGGTGTGTGTCAGGCACAGGCCCAAAGCCTCACTCTAAGCATGTTATCTTATTTAATCCTCCCAGCGGTGAAGTCGGTACCATTATCACCACTTCACAGATGGGGAAACTGAGGCACACAGAGATTAGTGTTTTCCCAAGGCCACACAGTCAGTAAGACCTGAAGCCCAGATTCAAAATCAGGCCCTCTGACTGCAGGTGCTATGAGTGAATGAGTCAATGACTGCCCTGGACGTCAAGGAAAAGAACCAAAGTTAGGTCTGTTTTTGCAGTTCTCATCCTGCTCCTCTGAAGACATACCTGTTTTCTGGGTCCTGGTTTCTAGGAGGCGTCCATGGTGGCCCCGTTGCCTCTGTCTCAGGGCAGCTTTGTGGAGGTGCAGAGACTCTCCTAAGTGGCAGGTTCCCCCAGAGCCTTCAGAAAAGCCTGCGCTGGTGATGTGAGGGAAACATGGCTGGTGCCTCCGGGGAGCCACGTCCTGCCCATCGTAGTGTCCAGGGAAGTAGGACGCGTCTCTCACCTGCCCCCAGGCTCAGGGGCAGCATGGGGGGCTTCAGCCCCAGACACCTCCTCCACCCAGGACCCGGCTTCCCCACCATCCCGTTCCTCCCTGCAGGCCATTCCTGGCCTTATCACTGCCAACCTCCTCCACCCAGGACCCGGCTTCCCCATCATCCCATTCCTCCCTGCAGGCCATTCCCGGCCTTATCGCTGCTCAGATGTTTGCCTGAGCCACTTGCTGAATAGAAACTTGGTAGCGGTGGGTTCAGAGCGGAGCAGCGCCGGGCTAGAGCACCCGCCCCCGTTCCCAGGCGGAAGCCCGCAGGGAGAGCGCCTTCGGGCAAGAGCAGCGTCCCCGGCCGCGCGTTGCCTTGCTGTGGGCACACCCTTCTCCCACGGCAGCGTCTCCCTCTGCACAGGCGAAGAGCTGCCGCCACGGGTCTCCAGCATTCTGCGCCAAGCTTTCGGGGGCTTCCTCTCTGCCAGGGACATTTTTCTTGGATCTTTATCGCAGTTTCCCTCCTTTGAAAAAGTTAAGACCTTCAAGAAGACCCTGCGCTGCGCAGTGACGCGAGACCACTGGTGAGAGCCGCGGGTCCCCGCTGAGAGGCACCGAACCCTGGGTCTCCCTCACCGTGCACCAGCACTGAGCCACTGGGCACTGAGCCACCCGCCGGAGGAGGCGATGTCGGCTTGTCCAGCTCTAAATTCTGCGACTTTGGCCCGGTGCAGTGGCTCACGCCTGTAATCCCAACACTTTGCGAGGCCAAGGCGGGTGGATCACCTAAGGTCAGGAGTTCAAGATCAGCCTGGCCAACGTGGTGAAGCCCGTCTCTACTAAAAATACAAAAATTAGCTGGGTGTGGTGGTGCACGCCTATAATTCCAGCTACTCGGGAGGCTGAGGCAGCAGAATCGCTTGAACCCGGGAGGCGGAGGCTGCAGTGAGCTGAGATTACACCACTGCACTCCAGCCTGGGCGACAGAGCGAGACTCTGTCTCATAATAATAGTAATAATAAATTCTGTAACTTCTTCAGAAATATCTTTACATTTGCCAAGCCGTCAAGAGTTTGGCTCTGGCTTAGAGAACGGCCCTAACTTCTATTCACTAATACGTCTCTCTTACTCATGAATGCTTGAGGCTTTCTCTGTAGCTGCCTCCATGCTAAGCACTGAATATACAGGAAACCATCTATTTTAATCTTCACAGTAACTATAGGATTATCTCCATTTATAAAGTGAAAAAATAGGCTTAGAGACCTTTAGAGGTTTTCCCAAGTTCACATGAAAAGTTTGTGGTTGTTTGCTATTGGTGACTTTGGGAGAAAAATAAATACAATAAAAACGGAAGTTTGTGGTGCAGCAGGGACCTCAGTCCTGTGGGGCCTCTTGGTGGCTTCACCCTCCATGGCACTCAGGAAATAACAGAGCTCAGACCTCACTGTAGCTCTCCCATGGGTGGCAAATCACAGGATGGGCATGGAACTAGCTTGATTTTTTATTTTTATGTGAGTAAATCTCCAGCGTTTCAAATCCTCTTCCCCAGAGGGTCACATTCTCGGACCCTCTGGGTTCCCTGAGCTGTAGCTGTTCTCATGCTTTGGTTGGACGTTATTTTTCTGGAGAAATTGTGTGAAGAGATAGAAGTTACTTCAGAAACATTTCTCAGTGTGCTTTTCCCCCACGTCAAGCAAAATTCATGTGCACAATTGAGAAATAAATGAGATGTATACTCAGGTTGGTTACTGGTATCATCTACCTTATTAAAATCATCCCTCATTGGGTGGATCACCTCAGGTCAGGAGTTCGAGACCAGCCTGGCCAATATGGTGAAACCCTGTCTCTACTAAAAATAGAAAAATTAGCCGGGCGTGGTGGCAGGCGCCTGTAATCCCAGCTAATCAGGGGAGTGAGGCAGGAGAATCGTTTGAACCCAGGAGGTGGAGGCTGCAGTGAGCCGAGATCGTGCCTCTCCACTCCAGCCTGGGAGACAGAGTGAGGCTCCATATCAAAAATAAAAATAAAAATAAAAAATAAAGAATTATCCTTTGTGGGGTTTTTTTTGTTTGTTTATTTTGCTTTGTTTTTGAGATTCTGAGAAAACGTGGGTGGATTTTTTTAAACACACTCACTATTTTAAAACTGTCTATAAACTAACAAGTACCTGAAGATGTATGGGAAAGAAGGAACTGGAACTCTCCCTTTTCTTAGAGACCCCTTACCCTCACCAGAGGCCCTTGGTAAAGTCCACCTTCCCCTGTGCGTCTCTGCCCGGTCCCCATAGTCATCCCCCCCGCCCCCCCCATCCCTGTGACCATCCTCCCACCCCTGTCCCTGCGGCTATCCACCTCCCGCCCAGTCCCCCCAGCCATCCCCCCCATCCCCGCGGCCGTCCCCCCCTTCCCCACAGTCGTCCCCCCCCATCCCCGCAGTCGTCCCCCCCCAGTCCCCGGGGTCATCCCCCCCCGTCCCCGCAGTCATCCTCCCAGTCCCCGCGGTCATCCTCCTTGTCCCCAGCTGCTCTCACAGGGGCTGCAGGCTCCTGGAGAGTGGGGGCCGCAGGGCCCCTTCCCACAGCACCTGTATCTCGCTATGAGTCCGAAGCAGAGAGCCCGGGAGCATGAATTGCTCATCCCAGAGAGCCAGGTGGAGGGAAATGTTTTCTAGATGGTGTGGTGCCGGTGGGCTTGGCAGACATCTTTAAAGCCAAGGAAGCCGGCAGCCCGGGGTGAAGGGAGAATGGACACAAGGAAGCCGGCACCCCGGGGTGAAGGGAGAAGGGACACATGGAGTGTTTCCTGAGCTTTGGCGATTGCCTTGGGGAGTGCAAGGCCTTTGACGCACACGGCTGTGGGGAGCGAGTGGGTGGCTTGGCCTCCCCCGGACACCACCAAAATGAAACCAAGGCAGCAGCAGCCCACGAGGTTCCCCGGAGCCTTTCTTTTTCTCACGAATGCATTTTCACCTCTTCTGTTGAGCTCCAGTTCTCTTATAAACTTTTTCTGGGTATCATTTCACTTTGCAGACTCAGGGTACAGGTATATTTTCATCAGGCAATAGGACGGGCTATCCTAACACAGTGGTTAGAACACTTTCAAAACGAGATTGTTGGTCAGACGTCAGGGGGGCACCCAGGCTGCACCCTGAAGGTGAGCGGCAGCAGCGGGGTCCCGGCGTGTTCTGAGCACCTGAGGCTGCGTGGCCGTGTCCTGCCTGCAGGCGGGTCCCATACGGCCGGGCAGGTGCTCGGGATGCCCACCGCGTGTGTGGTTGAGCTTTGCCTGGGGAAGGAGGGTCGAAGACCCTGCAGTGATCCCTCAGAAGCTGTCTTGGGGTGTAATGTTGAGAGTTTCCTTTAAATACGGGAACTTCTGCTTTGGTGTCTACTCAGCAGCACAGGCCTTTCTCCCTCCCCTGTGCCTTCTGTCTCCCGCACGGCTCCATTTGCCTTCTCTTGCATGGGCTCTTGGACATTGCTTTGGAAAGAGAAAGAAACGTCAGAATGAGGTTCTTCTTTTTTCTGCAGACTCTTTGATTGTGGTACCAGTTTCTGTATCTCAGTCCACAGTGCAAACCGCCCCCGGCCTCCCCTGTGGCTTATATTCTGATAGAATGAGAAGCCACCCAACGAAGGCTACTGTGGCGTTATCCCAGAATATTCCACGTTGATGACAGAGGAGGATCCAGTGGATGCTTTCTTGAATCTATAGGAGTGAGTGTTTGTGGCGTGTGCAGTGTGTGTGTGTCTGTGATGTGTGTATGTGTGTGTGGTGTGTGTGTCTGTGACGTGTGTGTGGTGTGTGTGTGTCTGTTACATATGTGTGTGGTGTGTGTGTGTGGTGTGTCTGCGATGTGTGTGGTGTGTGTGTGTCTGTGATGTGTGTGGTGTGTGTGTGTGGTGTGTGTGTATATGTGTGATGTGTGTGGTGTGTGTGGTGTATGTGTGTGTATATGTGTGATGTGTGTGGTGTGTGTGGCGTTTGTGTGTGTATATGTGTGATGTGTGTGGTGTGTGTGGTGTATGTGTGTGTATATGTGTGATGTGTGTGGTGTGTGTGTGGGGTGTATGTGTGTGTATATGTGTGATGTGTGTGGTGTGTGTGTGGGGTGTATGTGTGTGTATATGTGTGATGTGTGTGGTGTGTGTGTGTATATGTGTGATGTGTGTGGTGTGTGTGTGGTGTATGTGTGTGTATATGTGTGATGTGTGTGGTGTGTGTGTGGTGTGTGTGTATATGTGTGATGTGTGTGGTTTGTGTGGTGTATGTGTGTGTATATGTGATGTGTGTGGTGTGTGTGGTGTATGTGTGTGTATATGTGTGATGTGTGTGGTGTGTGTGTGTGGCGTATGTGTGTGTATATGTGTGATGTGTGTGGTGTGTGTGTGGCGTTTGTGTGTGTATATGTGTGATGTGTGTGGTGTGTGTGGTGTATGTGTGTGTATATGTGTGATGTGTGTGGTGTGTGTGTGTATATGTGTGATGTGTGTGGTGTGTGTGTGGTGTATGTGTGTGTATATGTGTGATGTGTGTGGTGTGTGTGTGTGGCGTATGTGTGTGTATATGTGTGATGTGTGTGGTGTGTGTGTGGCATATGTGTGTGTATATGTGATGTGTGTGGTGTGTGTGTGTGGCGTATGTGTGTGTATATGTGTGATGTGTGTGGTGTGTGTGTGTGGCGTATGTGTGTGTATATGTGTGACGTGTGTGGTGTGTGTGGTGTATGTGTGTGTATATGTGTGATGTGTGTGGTGTGTGTGTGGCGTATGTGTGTGTATATGTGTGATGTGTGTGGTGTGTGTGGTGTATGTGTGTGTATATGTGTGATGTGTGTGGTGTGTGTGTGTGGCGTGTGTGTGTGTATATGTGTGATGTGTGTGGTGTGTGTGGTGTATGTGTGTATATATGTGTGATGTGTGTGTGTGTGTGGTGTGTGTGTGTATATGTGTGTGTGTATGTGTGTTTGTATTCTCAGATTCTGAGAGCAAGGCCTCTCTTTTCCTGCACAAGCCTGAAGTCTTCTCGGGTCACCGTGCTGGGCGCGTGCTTTGGGGTGCGTTGACCGTCATGTTGCGCTGGCCTGCCCTGGGGTAAACTCTCGCCTGCCTGAACCTTGGATCTTAGCAGGAGAAGGGGTTGTGCCACGTGGGTGCCGTGGCCCTCGTCCTGCTGGGTGTCCCCAATGCCACTAACCCCCTGCTCTTCCTCCCCCTGTCCTGCAGGAGCTGTGCCGCCAGCGTATGGCCACGCGGCCACCAGACCGACCTGAGGGCCCGCACACGTCACGCATCAGCAGCGTCTCATCCCAGTTCAGCGACGGGCCGATCCCCAGCCCCTCCGCACGCAGCAGCGCCTCATCCTGGTCCGAGGAGCCTGTGCAGTCCAACATGGACATCTCCACCGGCCACATGATCCTGGTAAGCCCAGTCTTTGCACTCCCTGCCACACAAACACCAGGGCCCTCCTTCCTCGGCCCCTGCAACACCCAGCATCTGCGCCCGCTGACCCTCGGGGACTGGGCGATGATGGCTGCACCCTGCCCGCTGCAGAGGCTGACAGGCAGGGCTCTTTCTGCAGGGAGTCTTCTTAATTTAGATAAACAAGAATATTTACTTCCTGAGATCTTTGCCGTGCTTCTGCCTGGAACGTGCAGCCCCCACACACAGTCCCTGGTGTGTAAGAGTGAGCACCCGCTATTTAGTTTTCAGTGGAATACACGTCTGTTAGTGCCTACCATGTGCGCTGCCGTTTTGGGCCTCTGACTCGGAAGCAGCTGCTGTCTCCTTGGCACTCAAGGCCAGCAAGCGTCATTTGGGTAAATAAATGTCACTGCTGTGACAGCAAGGCAGGAGGAGGTGTGGGCTGGGTGCTCGGCTCTTCACAGGAGCCTTCCTGGTGGCGCCGGCCAGAGGCTCACGGCGACGCGGCTTCAGCGGCCTTTTCCAGGGTCCTCGCTGGAGTGATCACGCGTGTGTGGCCGTGCATTGCCACTCCATACATAATGAATGTCCGGGTGTTATTAGGACAGCTGTCAATAGCGCAGCACGTCCTGCTGGCTGCCTCCTGGATCTCCAGGCCGTAGGCGTCGTCCTGGTGGGTGACCGTGCCTGGCTGTGCTGTTTCCCGCACTGGAGACGGAGCCTCTGGGGTGAAAGGGCAGAGCCTGTTACGCTGCTTGGCCGAAGCAGCGGCTGCACTTACGGGTCAGGGAAACATTCTTCGCCGTACCATTAAGTTCCCAGGTTGCAGGATGGACCCTGTAAGTTGCTGTTAAATGCTTACATTTTTTAAAAATTATTTTTGCCTAATGAGTTAATAATAGTATAGACTGGTGGATCTGGACCACAAAAAGCCAGAAAACCATGTTTTCACTAAAAAGCCTCATTGCAGAGCTTGGAGATCAAGGCTGGAGGCCTCCCGGCCCAGCTGACGCTCCAGGGACAAACAGCTGACGTCTGGTGGGAAACACGCAGTTCTAGACCCGCTTGGACCAGACGTTTGGGGAAACTGAGGAACTCAGCAGCCTTCTCCCTGGATAACTTAAAATGAGGAGAAGCAACAGTCAAGAAGCCTGGCTTTCCCGATCCCTGAGCTGAGGAGGGCACATTTTTTCCCATCACTCCCTGGGGCGAGCCCACGAAGCCGGACCACCCGCCAGAAATCAAACCCGAGGTGTTCACACCCGGGAGCAGACAGCTCGTGGAGTTCACTCGGCAGACCTGTCATCGACTTTGGCAGAACCTCCTCCCTTGATGGACTGTGGTTTTGTTACTTTAGATCTGACTTTTCTGAGGCTGTTTTGACATTTGTCCCTTTTAGAAAAGGAGCAGAGACCAGGAGTTCATATTTGTGATGAGATTTGGTATTAGGGCCAAACCCATCAGCCAAAGACATTCATCTGACAGGTCAGCCAAGAGGAGAGCCGCTTAGCGAGCTCTCATTGTGTTCTGATATTTCCACATTTCAAGGTGCTTGAGTAACAATTTGATGATATCTCAAGCTCTATTGGTACCTGGAAATACTGTATTTCTCAGAGAATTGTGTTTGGCATTCACATATGTAATGGCAGCTCTGACAGCAAGCACCACTTCTGCTGGAATGCCTAAACCGCAAGGACAGACTCAGCCTCCACCTGGCGGAAACCCTGCAAAGCCTGACTCCAGACACCCTGTTGGGGGGTCATCGAGGGCCACACACCGTGACGGGGTCCTGTTTCGGAACGCGTCTCACCACCGCCCACAACTGCAGGGCCGAAACGAGAAACACACTCAGGCCAAGTATGAGTCCGGCTGACTTAGACTCTGTGCGTACAGATTGTAAACTCAGGGAAACTGGATCTTCCTCATCAACCAATGCTGTTTTGAAAATGAATGTTACTGAGATATTTCCCTGACTCCACGATGCCAGCAGGTGCTGGTGGGAGTCAGGGTGGGTGTGGGGAGCGGCGGGCACAGTGTGGAGTTGGGGAGGGTGTGGGGAGCGGCGGGCATGGTGTGGAATTGGGGTGGGTGTGGGGAGTGGTGGGCATCGTGCGGAGTCGGGGTGGGAGTGGGAAGCGGCAGGCGTCGTGTGGAGTTGGGGTGGGTGTGGGGAGAGGTGGGCATCGTGCGGAGTCGGGGTGGGTGTGGGGAGTGGCGGGCAGTGTGGAGTTGGGGTGGGTGTGGGGAGCGGCGGGCATGGTGTGGAGTCGGGGTGGGTGTGGGGAGCGGCGGGCATCGTGTGGAGTTGGGGTGGGTGTGGGGAGAGGCGGGCGTCGTGTGGAGTCGGGGTGGGTGTGGGGAGCGGCGGGCATGGTGTGGAGTCGGGGTGGGTGTGGGGAGCAGCGGGCATCGTGTGCAGTTGGGGTGGGTGTGGGGAGAGACGGGCGTCATGTGGAGTTGGGGTGGGTGTGGGGATCAGCGGGCATCGTGTGGAGTCGGGGTGGGTGTGGGGAGTGGCGGGCGTCGTGTGCAGTTGGGGTGGGTGTGGGGAGCAGCGGGCATCGTGTGGAGTCCAGCAACCAAGTGGGCCAGACGTGGGCCTTGGACCCTGGCGTCTCCTCTCACTCAGCAGTTCTGATTTTCCTTCCTCTGAGCTCACTTTACAAGTGCATTCCCGTGCCCTCTCAGCCATGCGGGGTCTCCTGGTGGGCATGTCCCTGGTACAGGAGCAGAGAGGCACAGACTCACGCCACAGGTGAGCTCCAGGTAGACCTCTTCCCAGGACTCACACAGGTAGCCTTTTAGGCTCGGAAGCTACAGCCAATCTCGGGGCACTGACCGCCACCCTCCCTGGCACACACAGGCTGTAGAAAGCACATGCAGGTTGGTGCCGCAGGAACGCATCAGAGTCGCCGACCTTCCGACTCATCACAGCTACAAGGCAGCCAATTCCGTGGTGATCCAGCAGCCCAGCCCTCTGTGCGCAAAGCCTCGTTTCCGCCAGACACCCAACCGGCCACCTCAGTGCCCCTCACCTGAGGATGGCAGGATGGTCAGATAAGCCACAGAGATTCCCAGCGACATGTTCCTGACATGCAGCCACTCCTGGGGCACGTTGGACAAAACGTGGCATCTGAACCCCACGATCCGATGAAATAAACAGCAGAGGTTGGTGATGTCTGGAGGCCAAGCTAGATGTGAGGAGCCCCAGCAGGTGGGAGAGGCCGGCTGCACCGTCTGGGGGGCAGGCTCAGCACCAAGAGCGGAGACTTTCTGTGACAAAGGACACATGTGGCAGGGTGGAGGCTGCACACTGCCCCGGAGCCCAGACCTTCAGGCGGGGCTGGCCTGGCTGTGGCCCCACAGGAAGGGCCTCCTGGCCCCGAGAGCCCCCTCCCGCCCTGGGGCACTCTACCCACTGGAGCTCACGCTGCTGCTTTCTGCACAGAGGCTGGGATTCCGTGCTGGAGACCCGGAGTAACAGAACTCTAGAAATGAGCACTCCATCTAGAGAGGGGAGCATACAACACTCTTATAAAGGAGACAGGCCAGGGTGTGAGAGAAGGAGGCTTCCCTGGGAGACAGGAGGCGGCAGGTGCCTGCCCCGATGGGGGGATCCATGGGGCTGTGCAGCCACTGGGTGTCACCAGGAAGAGGCTGGTGTCTCAGGACTGCAGGGAGGGACTTAGTTACCTGGTCAAGGTGTCCCAGCAGGTGGAACAAGAGGGAGAGCACACGTCTCAGGGACCCCCGGGGAAGGGGCCACATGAAAGCCTGATGGGAAGGGGCAGGGGTGGGCAGGTCATTGGGGCAGCCGCTGGGTCCCCCGCTCTGCCATGACAGCAGGTGGTCAGGTCTAGATGTGGAGCACAGATTCTGGGCTCCATCAGCAAGGTGTCAGAGCTGAGACGCTTTGCTGTTGCAGGTGCTGTGTCCCAGGACAGACCTCCAACCTTCTTCTCCCCTGTGAGACGGGCTTGATGGCAGTGCCTTTCCCCTGGGGTTCCTGTGAGGGTAAAACCGGGTGAGCATCTGAGATGCCGCCCATCCTGAGACCTCACCTGTGCCGAAGGTGCGTCGGGCTGGAGAGGAAGGGGTTGTGCTGAAGGAACAGAGCCCGGCGGGGCCTTTGCTTGGTAGGGTTTGGGCCTCTGGGCCTGCATTCTCTACACTCTGCCTGATCCCTGTCTCTGGGCTTTGATTCTGGTTTTTGTGTTGCTTTGCCTTCATTTTCTTAGAAAGGTCCTTTAAAAATTCCAGTTTTCTTCTGGGATGAACTAAGGAGAAAGGGCTTTATTTGCAGGGAAAACCCAGCCCAGAATGTCACTTGTTCCTGGAAAATGGGCCTCCCAGGCGCAGGGAAGGTGCAGTCCGTGCCCCTGCCTTGGACTGTCTGGAAGAAGCTGAGTCGAGGCTCACCTGCGGGTGAATGGAGCACTCAGAGGAGGGAGAGGCAGGAAGGAAACACTTCCATCAAGAAACCGGTACATTTCTCTGGAAACGGCCGAAAGGCAACACGGAGATGCTCACTCAGAGCAAGGCTCGGGACTCTGAAAAGCAAGGACGTGATGAAGGCGACTTCGCAGGACGGTTATCAAAGCGGCTGCGTGTTAATCATCTGCGGGGACGTGGCTTCTCAAGAAATCCTGTCACATCCTTTTGTAAGATAAAGAATCATCGAGTTTTTTCAAGATCTGTTTCCCTATCACTTTGCTTTCAGAAGGGTGACATTTCTGCCTGGCTGGCTCTGAGTGAGGAGGTGGAGAAGAGTGTCACCGTCCCGATGTGACTAATTACGCCTGAGTCGGCCGGGAGCCACCGCGTCCACCTTTAAAGGCTAGAGAACGTTTTTTGGAGAGTGGGGATGTTAAGAAAAAAGTTGGCTTCATACTTCTCCATTCGACTTAAATAATATAGAACTTAACTTGGGAAAGCCGTGCTGAGTAAGTGCTTTTCAGAATCCATCCTCTTGAGTGTTGAAGATGAGGATATGGACAGTGATCTTTGAGTTCGCTCATCCTTGGAGAGTCCTGAGGCACTGAGGGCACAGGAGCTGTGAGTAGGCCCATTTCACAGATGACGACATTAAAACCAAGCGCAGTGACAGAGACGTGAAAAACGAAAAGTTAGGCATTGCAGGAAGTGACCAAAGATTTCCCATGATCACAGAAAACAGGAAAGTTCATGAATTTTGCTGAGGAGGGAGGGGGTGCTGCCAGCCTGTGGAGTCGCGCCGCACCTTCCGCAGATTTGCCTGTGGGGTTTCTGAACTCCCAGCGTGAGACGCGTGATGCGTGTCTGTGCTGGCGACCAACAGATGCCGGCACAAGCTGTGACCTCCTCAGACCCACACGGCTCACGGCCTCTGAACTTCGGCCCTCCTGCCTGCCTGGAGTCTTCCCTGGGCCCGTCGTGTCTCTGCCTGTGCACCTTGAGAGATCTCTGTCTCTCATTGTTTGATCTTGTCAGGCTCCAGGCTTCTTAGTTCTTAGCGATAAGTCACCGAACCAGGAGGGCCTCGCGAAACCATGCCAGATGTCCCTGCCCAAGGCTGCAAGTCACCAGCTGCAGCAGAAAGGGGCTGGGGTCCCCTGCACCCCACGCCACCAGTGCCGGGGCCTTGGCAGGCGCTCCCCTGGCCCCAGTCCCTCCACCTTCAGACCCAGTGCCCTGTATTTCTGGAAGATTCCATTCCATCGTTCCCACGTGGTTGACGGGCACAGATGGCTGCTCTCCCAGGATGAGGGGCACTGGGCCACCGAGAATTTCACTCTGGGGCCACGCGGCTGGGCTGGCCGTTCTCGCTCTGGCTCGGGTGCTGGCGCGGAGGCCTGATGAGTAAACCAGGCCGCAGGGCGAACTCTCCAGCTTTGTGGGGCCTGCGTTCACAGACACGGCAGGCCGTTGCTGCTGTCTGGACGATGCCGGCTTTGTGGCGCACATTTGGAGGAGCCTATTTTTGCAGGAAAGCTGTTTCTCACCATTGAGGACTGCGTGGCATAGGCAAGGCCTGCACATGGAGGGGTACATAGTCCCCCCTTCCCAGCACGGCGGGTGGGGGTGTGCCCTGCCCTGATGGGGAGCCCCTGCGGGGGATGTCTCTCTCCGGCGGGCAGGTTTGGGAAGCCTTCACGCCACACAGGACCAGGCACGGAGCCCCATGACCAGAGACGGCATTAAACCAGCAGGGAAGGGGAAAGCTGGGGCAAGAGGCAGAGCCAGGAGAGGAGGAGCGTCCAGGTGCCATAGTAGCCGGCTCTGGAGACCCCGAGACTTCCCAGCCTCACTCCTGCGGGCCTGGGGAGCTCCTTTGAGAGCCATTTACGCGTCCACCGAGTTCAGTGCACAGTGAATGGGTCCGACCCACCGAGTTCAGTGCACGCTGGATGGGTCCAACCCACCGAGTTCAGTGCACACTGGATGGGTCCGACCCACCGAGTTCAGTGCACGCTGGATGGGTCCGACCCACCGAGTTCAGTGCACCCTGGGTGGGTCCAACCCACCGAGTTCAGTGCACAGTGAATGGGTCCGACCCACCGAGTTCAGTGCACGCTGGATGGGTCCGACCCACCAAGTTCAGTGCACACTGGATGGGTCTGACCCACCGAGTTCAGTGCACAGTGAATGGGTCCGACCCACCGAGTTCAGTGCACAGTGAATGGGTCCGACCCACCGAGTTCAGTGCACGCTGGATGGGTCCGACCCACCGAGTTCAGTGCACAGTGAATGGATCGGACCCACCGAGTTCAGTGCACAGTGAATGGGTCCGACCCACCGAGTTCAGTGCACGCTGGATGGGTCCGACCCACCGAGTTCAGTGCACAGTGAATGGGTCCGACCCACCGAGTTCAGTGCACAGTGGATGGGTCCGACCCACCGAGTTCAGTGCACGCTAGATGGGTCTGACCCACCGAGTTCAGTGCACAGTGAAAGGGTCTGACCCACCGAGTTCAGTGCACGCTGGATGGGTCCGACCCACCGAGTTCAGTGCACGCTGGATGGGTCTGACCCACTGAGTTCAGTGCACAGTGAATGGGTCCGACCCACCAA
This sequence comes from Homo sapiens, assembly GCF_000001405.40. Lineage (NCBI taxonomy): Eukaryota > Metazoa > Chordata > Mammalia > Primates > Hominidae > Homo > Homo sapiens. The sequence continues at coordinate 157,649,303 of NC_000007.14, read as the reverse complement.
GTTCAGTGCACGCTGGATGGGTCCGACCCACCGAGTTCAGTGCACAGTGAATGGGTCCAACCCACCGAGTTCAGTGCACGCTGGATGGGTCTGACCCACCGAGTTCAGTGCACAGCGAATGGGTCCGACCCACCGAGTTCAGTGCACGCTGGATGGGTCCGACCCACCGAGTTCAGTGCACAGTGAATGGGTCCGACCCACCGAGTTCAGTGCACAGTGAATGGGTCTGACCCACCGAGTTCAGTGCACGCTGGATGGGTCCAACCCACCGAGTTCAGTGCACAGTGAATGGATCCGACCCACCGAGTTCAGTGCACAGTGGATGGGTCCGACCCACCGAGTTCAGTGCACACTGGATGGGTCTGACCCACCAAGTTCAGTGCACAGTGAAAGGGTCCAACCCACCGAGTTCAGTGCACGCTGGATGGGTCCGACCCACCGAGTTCAGTGCACGCTGGATGGGTCCGACCCACCGAGTTCAGTGCACGCTGGATGGGTCTGACCCACCGAGTTCAGTGCACAGTGAATGGGTCCGACCCACCGAGTTCAGTGCACACTGGATGGGTCCGACCCACCGAGTTCAGTGCACAGTGAATGGGTCTGACCCACCGAGTTCAGTGCACAGTGAAAGGGTCTGACCCACCGAGTTCAGTGCATGCTGGATGGGTCCAACCCACCGAGTTCAGTGCACGCTGGATGGGTCCGACCCACCGAGTTCAGTGCATGCTGGATGGGTCTGACCCACCGAGTTCAGTGCACAGTGAAAGGGTCTGACCCACCGAGTTCAGTGCACGCTGGATGGGTCCGACCCACCGAGTTCAGTGCACGCTGGATGGGTCCGACCCACCGAGTTCAGTGCACAGTGAATGGGTCCGACCCACCGAGTTCAGTGCACAGTGAATGGGTCCGACCCACCGAGTTCAGTGCACACTGGATGGGTCTGACCCACCGAGTTCAGTGCACAGTGAATGGGTCCGACCCACCGAGTTCAGTGCACGCTGGATGGGTCCAACCCACCGAGTTCAGTGCATGCTGGATGGGTCCGACCCACCGAGTTCAGTGCACGCTGGATGGGTCCGACCCACCGAGTTCAGTGCACAGTGAATGGGTCCAACCCACCGAGTTCAGTGCACGCTGGATGGGTCCGACCCACCGAGTTCAGTGCACAGCGAATGGGTCCGACCCACCGAGTTCAGTGCACGCTGGATGGGTCTGACCCACCGAGTTCAGTGCACAGCGAATGGGTCCGACCCACCGAGTTCAGTGCACACTGGATGGGTCTGACCCACCGAGTTCAGTGCACGCTGCATGGGTCTGACCCACCGAGTTCAGTGCACGCTGGATGGGTCTGACCCACCGAGTTCAGTGCACAGTGAATGGGTCCGACCCACCAAGTTCAGTGCATGCTGGATGGGTCTGACCCACCGAGTTCAGTGCACAGTGAATGGGTCCGACCCACCAAGTTCAGTGCATGCTGGATGGGTCTGACCCACCGAGTTCAGTGCACAGTGAATGGGTCCGACCCACCGAGTTCAGTGCACGCTGGATGGGTCCGACCCACTGAGTTCAGTGCACAGTGAATGGGTCCGACCCACCGAGTTCAGTGCACAGTGAATGGGTCCGACCCACCGAGTTCAGTGCACACTGGATGGGTCTGACCCACCGAGTTCAGTGCACAGTGAATGGGTCCGACCCACCGAGTTCAGTGCACGCTGGATGGGTCCAACCCACCGAGTTCAGTGCATGCTGGATGGGTCCGACCCACCGAGTTCAGTGCACGCTGGATGGGTCCGACCCACCGAGTTCAGTGCACAGTGAATGGGTCCAACCCACCGAGTTCAGTGCACGCTGGATGGGTCCGACCCACCGAGTTCAGTGCACAGCGAATGGGTCCGACCCACCGAGTTCAGTGCACGCTGGATGGGTCCGACCCACCGAGTTCAGTGCACAGCGAATGGGTCCGACCCACCGAGTTCAGTGCACACTGGATGGGTCTGACCCACCGAGTTCAGTGCACGCTGCATGGGTCTGACCCACCGAGTTCAGTGCACGCTGGATGGGTCTGACCCACCGAGTTCAGTGCACAGTGAATGGGTCCGACCCACCAAGTTCAGTGCATGCTGGATGGGTCTGACCCACCGAGTTCAGTGCACAGTGAATGGGTCCGACCCACCAAGTTCAGTGCATGCTGGATGGGTCTGACCCACCGAGTTCAGTGCACAGTGAATGGGTCCGACCCACCGAGTTCAGTGCACGCTGGATGGGTCCGACCCACCGAGTTCAGTGCACAGTGAATGGGTCCGACCCACCGAGTTCAGTGCACAGTGAATGGGTCCAACCCACCGAGTTCAGTGCACCCTGGATGGGTCTGACCCACCGAGTTCAGTGCACACTGGATGGGTCTGACCCACCGAGTTCGGTGCACAGTGAATGGGTCCGACCCACTGAGTTCGGTGCACGCTGGATGGGTCTGACCTCCCAGTGGCTGCCATGGCCTTTGGGCCCGGTGCAGACCCAAGTATCCGTCCTCACACCCTAACTTGCTTGAGGGGACGTTCTAGAGCCTCCCGTGTCCATGCAGCCACCCAAGCCACAGCTCCTGCTTGACGCTCCTGGGACTCTGTTCTGTACCTGAGACTCTCACAGGGCCCGGTACCAGTGGGACCCAGCCTCCCCTGTGCAAGGGCCTCCCCTGGGTGGGAGGACATGGGCTGTTAATTAGACCCGGGTTCATTAGACAGGTGTGTTAGGCTGTTGTCACACTGCTATACAGAAATACCTGAGGCTGGGTAATTCATAAAGAAAAGAGGTTGAATTGGCTCAGGGTTCTGTAGGCTGTACAGGAAGCATGGTGGCCTCTGCTCCTGGGGAGGCCTCAGGAAGTATCCAGTCATGGCGGAAGGCAAAGGGGAGCCAAGACGTCACATGGCAGGTGCAGGAGGGAGAGAACAGATGGGGAGTGCCGCACACTTTTAACAACACCATCTCAGGAAAGCCTGCTCACTATCCTGAGGACAGCGCCAAGGGGATGGTCTAAACCACCCATGAGAAACCACCCTGTGACCCAGCCACTTCCCACCAGGCCCCACCTCCAGCCCTGGGGCTACATTTCAACATGAGACTGGCCAGGACACAGATCCAAACCACATCACAAGGCCATGCGGAGGCAGCGCCTACTGTGTGCCTGGCAAACAGTTGGCATTCAGTCAGTGATCAGCAGGATCCCTGGTTCTGCTACTTTGGGGTTTTGGGGTACAGGCTCCACTCTCTTCCCTGAAAGGAGGCCCTTCATCTGCTAATCTCTAAACTGAAAGATTTTAGCCCTTACGTCTTGCACCTTTTTCAAAAGCAGCTTTACAGTGACCTAAGCTCTAAACTCGTGGTTTTCTTTGTCATATTGTACCAAGGGGTGGGACTGTGTCCCAGCAAGCAAGTCCCGGGCTGGTTTGGTCTGGGACGTGCTTCATGAAGACATTACAGCCACTCGGCATCATTGTGGGGAAGGTAACCACGGCAGGGGTGCCCACCCACACCGGGACTCTGGGGCCCAGCCCCCTCCCCAGGGCCAGCCGGTGCTGCTGTGGTCATGTGGTGCGTAAACAGCAGCTCCTCACATGACGCCGCTCTCAGGAGAGGGCCCTGCATGAGTGTGTACAGCCCGGCCCCACCCTCCTAACAGCCATATGTTCTCCTGTTATTGGACGCACAGAAATTTACTGTCTCCTAGTAAGGGCAATGTAGGCAATTTCAAACTTTTGCCACTCCAGACTACACGGACCATGTGAAATGTGAGTTTTTAGAAGCCAGATCCTGAGTCATCGCGGATGCTTATTGTTTATTTTGATAGATACTGCCACATTCCCTGCAATAATCTTTGCCAAGATGGCGTCCCCCTAGTGCCATAGACATGGTACCTCTGTCCCAGGTCTCCCAGCCTCAGGTATCAGCGAACCTTTGAACTTTGCCGCTGGTAGGTGGGAAGGGCTGCATCCAAGTGGTTTTCACTTCTGTTTCTCTGGCTTGCGTGAGACTGAGCATACTTTCTCATGTTTGGGAGCCGTTTATGGTTCCTTCCAAGAGTGGTTTTGGACACAGTCCTCATGGCAGCAAGGCCAGCAGCCTCGAAAGCCTGCCAAGTGCAAGTGTGGCACGTCCACGCAACATCAATCACAGGTGCTGTCACGGAAATGGACGTGGCAGTGAAACTGTTCTGCTCCTGTTCGTCTCCTCCGTGTCCGTCATCACAGCCACAGTCACCTCTGAGAGAGGCAGTGATATCGATTAATTAGGGCAAAGTTTAGGAAGACCAAGGAGAAAGAGAAAGCCCTCTGAGAGTTCTTGTCCTGTCCAGATGTATGTGACCAGGTGAGAAAGGAGCCGGCTGGGTAGCTCGGGCCCGTGTGGTTCCCACGGGTGGAAATCGTGCATAGGATTGTAGCTCAGAGCAGACAGTGCTGCTGCTTTTGTTTTGTTTTCTTTTGTTTTTTGTTTTTTTTTTTTTGTTTTTTGAGATGGAGTTTCACTCTTGTTGCCCAGGCTGGAGTGCAATGGTGTGATCTCGGCTCACTGCAACCTCTGCCTCTCGGGTTCAAGTGATTCTCCTGCCTCAGCCTTCCGAGTAACTGGAATTATAGGCGTTAGCCACCACGCCTGGCTAATTTTGTATTTTTAGTAGAGTCGGGGTTTCTCCATGTTGGTCAGGCTGATCTCAAACTCCTGACCTCGTGATCCGCCTGCCTCAGCCTCCCAAAGTGCTGGGATTACAGGCATGAGCCACCGCGCCCAGCCAGAGTGCTGCTTTAATTGATGAAGCAAGAATGGGGCTCCTGGGAGAGGCGTATGCTGGCTATGTGAGGTCTGTGGACCTCCAGGGGCCTGCCCTGGCCTGCTGGGGCTGCCGTGACGACATCCCTCAGGCTGGGCAGCTGAAACCACAGCAGTGTCTTCCTCACAGTTTCGGAGGCCAGAAGTCTACAATGCAGGCAGGGCTTGTTCCTCCTGAGGTCTCTCTCCGTGGCTGGCAGATGACATCTTTTTCCTGTGTCCTCCCAGAACCTTTCGTCTGTGGGAGCACATCCTGCTCTGTCTTCTCAGGACCTCACTCAGATTGGTCTGGGGCCAACCCCAGTGGCCTCATTTTAACTCCATCATCTCTGTAAAGGCCCCACCTGCAAATGAGGTTATGTTGCGGGGTAACCTGGAGGGGATTAGGGAGGCAGCACATGGATTCTAGGGAATGGTTCAGCCCGTAACAGGGACCGACGCCTGATGCACACCAGTGTTTTCTGGTAGCTTGTAGCGCATGAGAGGCCCCTGGTCTTCCAGCCACAGTCCCACGGGGGAAGCTCCAGTCTCCCCGCACTGGTGAGCTGAGCGTGCGGCGAGCACTATGAGGCTGGCCGGTGTCTGGGCCCTGGGCTGTCACCTGCCACAGCCCGGACTGCCGTCTATCTGCTGCACGAGTTGGTGACGAACCTTCGAGGCCTGACGGAGAGGCTGGTGAGCCACTTTAGACACCACCACTTTCTAGAGCTCAGCTCACACTTCCTGGCTGGAGCCTGGCCGCCTGCTCCCACCTCCTTTACTGTGGGTGCGGGTGTCTGCAGGGGGTCCTTGGGAAGGGCGCAGACAGAGGCTGGAGGCAGCAGCGGCTGTGCAAGGAACAGGGGCTCCGTCGGGGGAGCAGTCACAGCCACTGGTTCTGGATTTCCCTGGGATGCCCGGGCCGTGGGTGTGCCCGTCCTGCAGCAGCTGTGCCTTGGTCAGCGGCCATCACGGCCTTCCCCTGCAGCCCCCACACCTCCGCCACAGTGCCCCTTGCAGCGCTCTGTGGATAGTTGGGTTGTGACACAGGCAGAGAGTGTCCCTTCCATGATCCGCCTTTATTGAGGGTGTGGAACTCTATTTTTTTGTGGGAGGGGGAGTGATTTGACTTTTTATTTTTTAAAAATCTGATTTGCTGCTTAAAATGCTAGAGCCATGCTAGTGCTTTATTTTTCAGTCTCTCCAAGTTTTCAATATGTTGTCTTTTCTGCCTTGAGCACTTAATGTTTAAAGGAAAAATTCTCTGACCCCAATCTGACCAGTCCCTGCTGCCATGCTGGCCCCAGCGAGACAAGTGGCTGAGTCTATAGGAAGAGTTTGTACCATCTTTAGTATGACAGATGGTGGGTTATGTCCCAACAAACCCATCGTAAGTTGAAAGTGCATTTTTGACTTAATGATATTTTCAACTCCAAAGAGGTTTATCCTGCCATAGCCCCATCATAAGCGGGGACTACCTGTATATTTACGACCTGGTTTGATTGGATGTTTGGGCTCCAGAGAAGGTGGGTGATGGTCCAGAGAGTCTGCGGGAGAAAGAGGTAAGCTGCTGTGATGCAGCTTGGCCTTTGGCTGCCGGGGCGATTGGCTTAGGTAAATGGCACCCACTGTCCCGCAGCCCTGCGTTTTAGCTGCTTTTTTTTTTTTTTTTTTTTTTTTTTTTTTGCTGTTTCTTGACTTGGTAGACCCTTCTTATAGTGTGTGAATGGGGCATGATAGAAGAAGTGGAATCAAGCATCCAACTCATACTTGTTGAATTAAATTGGGTAACCAAACATTAAACTTGGTAAAAGTTAACAGGTCCACGAATTAACGGTTGTGGGAGGAAACACTTGAAGCTGGTGCATAAAGTCAGGTCTGGAAAGTGCTCATTCGTGCAGCGTTTTCTGAGCACCCAGTGACGGACGGAGACGTCCACAGGCTGCTCGGGAACTCATGGAAACTTCCTGGAGAAACCCGAGGCGAGGAGGCGAGACCAGAGGCCGCCTCCATCTGGTCTGTCCAGTGACTCCTGCATCTGCAGGTTTATAGACAGCATCAGAGGAATTGAATCACAGCAGTTCAGGGCCTGGATGGAGTTATCTGATTCTTTGTGTAAATGTGTAAACCTAACACGAGTTTAATAAAATGCAGCTTTTGAAATTCCACAAGCAGTTCAGAAATGAGCTGGCGTCAGGTGGGCTCTGCTTACCTTCATGTCCTCAGCACGGCTCCTGGGCAGAGGACCATGGGGATGCTGGGTGTGAAGGAGGCCAGCAGTCTGGCTCCTAAGAGGCTTACAGCCAATTTGGGGCAAAAGGGGGTGAAGGGCTGGAGAAACACTAGACATTGCCACACACCAAGCTGCATTCTTTTGCTAGAAGACGTCTCTGTCCTTGACGGGAGTGTCGGGCGTGGCAGGGGGGCTACAGAGGAGACTTGAGGTGGACATTTGAGACCAGGTTTTGGTCGGTGAAGACAGCTGTGTTGGGCAGGTGGCATGCAGAGGAGGGAACAGCACAGCTCCATCAGGAAGCAGAGGGCAGTTCACAGAATTGGAGTTCACGGTGGAAGGAGCAGAAGATGAGCTCAGCCTGGACTCGAGTGAACACCTTGAGCCAGACGTCAGGTAGCTTTGTGCGTCCACATGTGGAGTGGTGCTTGACTCCACATGTAATTGTTGTGACTTCTTGAACCCGAAAAGTCGACATTATTCACTTATTTGTGTACGTTTGCAGAAGGTGGGAGCACTTAGGATGCATGAGCCAGGGACTGAGTGGGTCCTGACTTGTCACTAGTGTTTTCTCTTCTGGAGCAAGAGGACAGTGATCTTGGAAAGACAGGAAGATTTGGTGCTGCAGTGAAAAGATGGTGCCACGTCCAGAGTCTGGCTTCCCAGTGTGACATCTGGGCCAGCATTACATCCTGTGAACTCTGGCTTCCCCTTCCACAAAATATGGCTGGTTACAAAACTCATGCAACCATACTGCCGTAAAGAAAAATAATGACGCCCACTGTGGGAAAATCTCCTAACATACTGCAGAGTATTGCAGTGACGTTTCTAAAATTATAGAAACCATGTTGCCAAGTAAGTTTTTCTTTAAAAAAGCTAATCTCTCACTCACTCAGTGTTTGGCCTGTGTACATCTCATTCTTTGCCTTACATATGCCCTGCATTTTCTGAGTTGTATTTTGTTGCAGCATCCTCTCCTGCCTTCTGTGGGAATGAATGGGTTTTCTTTATTCCCTCTCTCCCCCTTGGCTAGTTCAGCAGTTATACTTTAGTAATTATCCTGATACTTTTAATAACCATGCTTGGCTTAACAATATCTGGAGTTCACATTTCTGCCCTCCTCACAAATAAACCCAGGACCTGAGACACAGACCTCAGCTACCTCCCTCTGACACATACAGTATTGTTCAGTATTTCAGTTGTGCCTTGTCTTTGTATCCTGAAATCAACCGTTTGTTTTACTAGCTTTCATAGTCAGCATTTGTTCAGACCGACTCTCATTTTATGAGGTTCCCCTCTCCCCCCATCACCATTCCTTTTACTGCTCAATTCTTCATTTTGGGTAAAACTACCTTTTTTCTGAAAGATATCCTTCTTTCAGTCTTTTATTGGGAAAGTTTCCTTCTCTTTGTCTGAAAATGTCTTTGATCCTCACACTTGCATAACAGATTAGCCAAGGGTCAAGTTCTATTTCTTTTTCTTTTATTACCTTGAAACCCTGTTCTCTTGTCTCTGGTGCCCCTGCACTTGAGAAGACTGTCTGTTGCTGGTCGGATGGTGGTTCCTTTGTGTGCCAGCTCTAGCTCCTTCCTGATCGCTATGTCTGATGGTGGTTCCTTTGTGGGCCGCTCCTTCCTGATTAACCTTTACTGTTTTGGAGTTTCCTTGTGTCCTGTCTTGGTAAGGACTTATTTTATTTTTAATTTTTGCTCCAAACTTACTGTGATTCCTGAATCTGAGAATTCCTTTCTCCAGCTAATCCTAAAAAATTATAAACCATATATAATTTACATTTGACTCTCTTCCATTCTCCCCTCTAATGGAAATAAGTTGTACCTTCTTATTCCCATGTCCCTTAAATCCCTTTCCTATTTTCTCTATCTTTCTGTCCTGCATTCCAGGGAATTTCCTCAGATCTGTCTTCCAACATACAGTGTTTCTCTTCAGCAGTGTCTAACCTGTAATCCATGCATTGTAGTTATAATGTTAAAGAGTATGGTTTTCACTTGAAGTTCTATTTTGTTCTTTTTCAGATCAACCTGCTGGGTTGTTCTTTTCTTAAATTGTTGGTTCCTACTTTAACACCTTCAATCATGATCAATGCATTATCCGATGGTTTCTAACACGTTTATTAAGGTCTCATGGGTCTAAGCCTGCTCTTTGATGTTTGCTGATTTGCTCATGGTAGTTTGTTGTCTGGTGGGTTCTATAATTCCAGATTATAAGCTCCTCATTGGTGGGGCTTTAGTTCTAGTTTTGTATGGCCCTGTTCTGAGAGTATTAACCTCAAGAGAGCTTTTGCCAGACACACTAGGCTGTCATTAAACTGAGACTATCTTCATGTCAATTCCTCACCCAGATCACTCATGTGTTTGAGCCTCAATTCTGGATGAGGCCCATGTTTCAAGCGTCTTCCCATTTTGAGTCCATATGGTGACAGACGAGATTCCTGTGGTGTGAGCACACCCATTTGCTAAGGGTGTGGTTGTTGAGGGTCCTGTGTTATGTGGGGGGCTCGGGTCCAGCTCTCTACCTCCAGCAAGGCAGGGTTTTCCCTGCTGGCCCCACATGGGCAGCAAAGTCCAAGACCCTGATTTTAGATGTAGGGAATCCTGTCGCCTGCCTTCCACCCAGGGCTTGAGCGGCTTCAGGCCGCACATCCCCCATTCCAGTTTCACTTTCTCCTTCAGCTTGGATTCCTGGGGATTTCCCTTAATTCTGTGAAAGGCTGACTGTGCCATTTGTCCAGCATTCTACGTGTCTGTGGAGGAAGACACTTCAGGTTATCTCCTTCTTCATATCACTGGAAACACACATGCCATGCAAATTACACAAAGGAAAACAGTGCAGAGGCCGCACTGTGCTTCATCTCACATCACATTGACAATTGCCTCCAAGAACCAACTGTGTGTTCTCCCTAATAAAGAAAGATAGCTGGGCACAGTGGCTTACACCTGTAACCCCAACACTTTGGGAGGCCAAGGCGGGCAGATCACTTGAGGTCAGGAGTTCAAGACCAGCCTGGCCAACAGGCGAAACCCCATCTCTACCAGAAATACAAAACTTAGCTAGATTTGGTGGCGCATGCCTATAATCCCAGCTACTCAGGAGGCTGAGGCAGGAGAATCACTTGAACCCAGGAGGCAGAGGTTGCAGTGAGCCGAGATCACACCACTGCACTCCAGCATGGGCCACAGAGCAAGACTCTGTCAAAAAAAAAAAAAGAAAGAAAGAAGGAAAGAAAGACATCCTACCGATGGCTGTCTAGAGTCAAAGATGAGCAGGTAATGATCACATTCCGCCGGGTTTCCACACTCACCTTTCTGTAAGCAGTCAAAGGGATCGCTGTGTCCAGAATGCTCTGCCTCTGGGAGTGCTGATGGGCCAAGGTCTGCAGCAGGTGAGCAGCGAGTGGGCCCTGACGGCTAATGCTGATGGCCTTAGGGAAGTCCAGGTGGTCCACGTGGCTGAGTGACGACAAGGCAGCTGCAGGGAGGGACAGATGAGAAGTCCCAGCAAGAAGAGTGACCCCGATCATCCACTCCCACCTCACCCTCCAAACCCTGGGAATGCCAGCGGGCATGTCATTTGGTCCCCATGCCGTGTGACTGGCACTGAGCTGGGAAAAGATGTAAAATATCTCTGATAGTCTCACCTCTAACTCTTCACCCTGAAAAGTGAAAACACTGTTTGACATATCAGCTCTCTGTTCTCTTCTCCTCCAAACTCCTCGTTTCAAAGCAATTGGAAGAGGAGTGGTGACCAGTCAACACTTGGTAATTGTGGTTGACTATGGAAGCCTGAATGTTCTCTTCCCTTCACCAACATTTTAGAAATTTCACTGCTCACAGGAAGGTCTGGAAGGTGGAGGAGGTAGACTGAGCCCTCCAGGCTCAGTTCCTTGTGAGCACGTTTGGTTGGTGAAGAGCTGGATATTAACTTTGTCTCGCACATAGACTGACCCCTCCAAGCTCCGTTCCTTGTGAGCACGTTTGGTTGGTGAAGAGCTGGACAATAACTTTGTCTCGCACATAGACTGACCCCTTCAAGATCCATTCCTTGTGATCACGTTTGGTTGGTGAAGAGCTGGATATTAACTTTGTCTCAGACAAGCAAGTCTTTCTGGTATTTTTGGTGCCATCACCTTGTCAGTTGTTTTGTTCCCCTTTTCTTGTATTATTGCTCATGTGCATATAGCCTGTGGGTTTTAGGAAGTGAAGCATCAAAACATTCTACTTTCAGTGAGCACCTTTAGAACTTCGGCATTTTCAAATAAGGTGCTATAGAATTCAGTGTTTCTCCTCTGCTTATGGAAGAAGACATGCATGTCTCCATCACTGTCCTAAGTAACCTTTACAGCACTTGCTGGAACTCTTTATTCTTCCTAAAAACTTCATCAGAAAATCGTAATGAGTACATCGTTGGCACAGAATAGAGAATGCTGCTGCTAAGAAAAGACCTGCTACTTGGGAGCGGGAGAAGCTGTCTATGCGTTGCCTGGCAACCGCCCCTCCTCATCCTTCTTCTGAAAGGTCTCCCTGTTAGAACCACTGTCGTCATCAGTGGAGTAAAAATGGTCCCCTCTGGGCTGCTTCTCCTGGGTCGGGTGCCAGCAAAGGAGTCTGGTCTCTGAGAGAATCTGATCATACCGTTTTGGCCATATGGGCTTTGTAGGTGACCATCAGGGTGGGGAGAGGTGGGTGCATGACCACTTAAACAAATGGGTCTGCTGCCACACAAAGCATAGAAATCGTGATACGAAACGGCTTTTGAAGGGATCTTACGGAAACCGCCACTCCCCAGGCTGCTGGAGGCTGGTGTGGATGTTGCTGCTGAGCCACCCCGATTCCCCCACCCAGGGCTGCTTGTCACAGAGCTGGGATGACAGGGGCTGCTGTTCACTTTAGAGATTCTGCTCTTCTCCTAGAATATGTTAGTGTGGTAGGAGACCTCTTCAGGGCTTAGTTACGTAAAGGTTGCATTTCATGAACTGTTTTCTTTCTCTTGCACCCTCTTTTCCTATGATCTGTTTGGAATCCAAGGTTGGTTTTCAGCTGAATTTTGCACACTAATGGAATTTTTAAGTAACTCATGGCTTAAACTATATTTCATATGTCAAAGGGATATGTTCGAAGCTAGAGTCAAATTCTTTTCTCATTGAATAAGGAATGTGTATTGATTTATATTAATAAAAAAATGTTGTAGAACAAATATTTGCAAATACATTTGTTCATATTGTTCAAATAAGTTATAAAAAGTAAACAGAAATATAGTTTTTTCCAACTTCCTTTTTCTGGTTATAATATTCCGATTTCTCTTCCTCATCAAAGGCTTAGAAGATATTTACTTTCTTTGTAAAGGTTAGCATTGGTTTCTGTGTTAAACTATCTATAGTTAAACTTTGATTATCCAAATGGAATGAGAGGATTTAATTATTGCTAAGCAGAGAGGTTTAAAATGGACGGGAAAAGAATTGGGGGAGTTTAATCTGTTTAGAATGATTGAGCATTATCTCTTCATCTTCCACGCCATTTCTCCAAAGTTCTCCAGTGTTTTCCATTCATCTATAAAGGTGATGACCGCAGATCCTGGTATAAAGAAGACACCTGAATAGTAAACTTTGTGTTTGATAAATAGCCATTTCAGGAATTTGAAATACCATGGGTAAATATTTGAAACTTCTAAAAGGCAGAAATCAGTAGAAATATATGGGTAGACATTTTAAACTTCTAAAAGGCAGAAATCAGTAGAAATATTATAAGACTGAATTAATTTTTCATTAGACTTGTTTTAATCGAAGTAGCTGCAGTCTGGTATTAAAATCATCACACTGTCAATTGTTGTTGTTGTTTTTTTTAACTGTCTGTAGACCAAAATTACAAGAAGAAGAGAAACACACAAAGGATATTTGGTAAAGGCAGGTGGTCTTGATGAATAATGTTCCTTTCATTAACATATTTCCCTTATTAACTGTGTAATTAATTGTACATAGCCAAGGGAAGCTATGGAAATTGCATTTTGAGATGTATCAAAGCTGACTTATGCTTCAGACTTCCATGCAATTTACCATTAATGAAGCCAGAGATGGAAGCCTCAAATCTATAATTATTACTTACTGTTTGAATGACAAGCAAAGAATTTTATCAGCAGAGTTTTAAATGAAAGGGGATTAGCAGCTAATGTTGAAATTGTTAATCTTTCTTATGAAAATAATTTTGAAGAAAATGTTTTAGTGGAAAGAGAGGGTTGGGGAAGTATTTGCCATTAAAATAGCGATTTCCTGATACTTCATGTGACTTTGTCTACATTTGACAGCAGGGTGCAAATATTTTTGAAAGTGAATGAATATTTTATAGGGTCCAGAGCTGCTCATGCATTCTGGGAATGGATTATGCAATAGTTCCAAATGTCCTGGCTGGGGTGAGAGACTGTAAGCTAGCCAGAGGAAAGAGCTGAGGCTAAGAAAATAAAATATAGGAGAAAATTATAGAAAATCCAAATATCCTGGCTGGGGTGAGAGTCTGTAAGCTAGCCAGAGAAAACAGCTAAGGCTAAGAAAATAAAATATAGGAGAAAATTCTAGAAAATCCAGATATCCTGGCTGGGGTGAGAGTCTGTAAGCTAGCCAGAGAAAAGAGCTGAGGCGAAGACAATAAAATATAGGAGAAAATTCTAGAAAAATGAAAATTGGTTTATTGTCCCAGATCTGTACCCTTCTCCCCCTCTGATTGTTCACTTGATTTTAGATGGTGAATGACAAATATTGGTGAAGAAAATCATTCCATGAAACACTGGTAACCATTTGTCCGAAACGCCTTCATGGCAGCACTGCCGTGGCTCAGTACATTGCACCTGCACTTCCAAAGTGAAGGTGACTGTTACCTGAAACCCATGTGCCTGGCACACATGACCAGCCTTGGACACAAGAGGCCTTTGATCAGAAACTGGGAGGCACTCCCACATTCCCACAATGAAATTCCGTGGGTGCCTGTACCCTGAGTTCATCCAACACATGGTTACTGATCATGTAGGGTGTACCAGGCTATGTCAGACGTTAGAGACACCATGAAGAGCAAACAGTTAGCTTATGGGGAGTGCCTAACGCACACCTGCCATTTACATCTTTGTCCTCATGATTCTTCCCACTGAACCAATGGCACTGACTCAATATACGTGGCGTTGGCTGGTTAGAGCCCGTGTCGCTGTGGACAGGAGAAAGGACGTCCAGGGAGATGGACCAGTGTGCCGTCCTTCACGTGTGTTCTGGACTTAACGTCACACTCGAGACATGCTGGCTGGTCAGAACATCTGGGACCTGGAGGCCTGTTAGGTTCTTTAGAAAGTTCTGGGCTCCTCCCACACGCGGTGTCCAAGGACAACAGGCAGGTGACCACGTCCACTGCAGATGTGCAGTTTTCATCTCTTAAAAATTCTGGTTTTCTCAAACTTGCTGTCTCCCTGGTTTCAGTTTGAAATGGATTTAATGGGCTAGAACCCCTGTCAGCCTACGTCAGCCTGTGAATCTTTCACAGAATTGTTTTGTGTTCTTTGGAAAGCAGTTCATGATTGCAGGAGTCATTTAATAACTGGAGCCCGGGGGGTCTGGAAGAGGTCGTACGGCCCCTCTGACCTGTGGGGGATAATTCACTCCCAGGACCATGCCCGGTCGCGATGCATTGACAACGCAGCCCTGTGTGCACACAGGCACCCGGATGCCTTGGTCTGTGTTTCAGGAGTTGCCTCATCTGTGGACAAGCACATCACGGCGTCCCAGGTTAGGTTAGTGATTCGGTTGTCTTTACATTTTAAATTTGGGGTTTAGCTATGGGCAGTTAATTTTCTATGGTACTTTGAGCAAACTTACTTTGACGAAAGCTGAATAGTGCCATTCAATATCTGAATGTCTTGCCCATGTAACAAAAGCATGAAGGCTATTGGAAATATCAGAGTTGTGGATAGAATTTTTCAGGTTTTTATCCAGACTGTTAACTTCAGGTAACTTAAGGGTAGGTATGACCTTGCTTCTCAGATCAAATCATTAGGGTCTTTCCTTGCTGTGGTTCTGTGAGGGGTGAAGAGTTTAAACAATGACAAAATATTTTGCAAGCTAAAGAGCTGAAGACAACTTAGGTGTGTGAGGAAGGGCAGGTCAGATGAGCAGACGGGAATCCTAGGACGTGTTGCCTGCAGGACGCGGTGCACCCTGCCCAGTTCTCTCATTCGCCCGCCTCCACTGCTGTTCCCCACGCGCTGTTCCCCATGCCACAGCCACTGCCTGCTCTTCCATGGTGGGCTGCAGCAGTCCTGACTTGCATCCTGCACTGCCACCTGGGAACCAGGGTGGTCTTCCAAAAGCGCCACCATCAACCACCATCACAAGCATCTTTGGCTTAAAACTCATGAAAGCTTCCCGTGGCTCTTAAAATAAACTGCTGAGTCCTTGCAGGCCAACAGCTCCTGGTCTGCCGGACACCGTTGCCCTCACATCCATTCCTTCTCTGCAGCCCCGACCTTCCCTCCTCCCGGAGTGGCCACGCCCTCCTGCCCTGGGCTCCAGCCTTCACTGCCCTTCCCTGTAGGACCCCACCCCCACTCAGGCCCTGCCCAGGTCCTTAGCATCGGGGACTCGGCCCATGGCTCTGAGAGTTTACCCTTCAGAGGGGCCCCCTCAGTGCCATCCCAGGTGCACCCCGTCCCCACACCCAGGCTCTGCGTCGTGACTCTTGTCCGCATCTTCTTACTACTCACTGTTGTCTGAAATCACTTTTTAAAGCTGTGTTTATCTACTTGCAGATGGTCTGCCCTCCAGCTAAAGAAATTAATGAGGCCAGGCGTTGTAGCTCATGCCTATAATCCCAGTACTGTGGGAGGCCAAGGCAGGCAGATCACCCGAGGTCAGGAGTTTGAGCCCAGCCCGGCCAACATGGTAAAACCCTGTCTCTACTAAAAATACAAAAATTTCGTTTTCGTATGATGGTTTGCACCTGTAGTCCTAGCTACTTGGGAGGCTGAGGCAGGAGGATTGCTTGAACCCAGGAGGTGGAGGTTACAGTGAGCTGAGATCATACCACTGCACTCCAGCCTGGGCAACAGAGTGAGACTCTGTCTCAAAAAAAAAAAAAAGAAAAGAAAAGAAACTAAAGAAATGAGCCACATGAGGACAGGGTCTTTGGCCAGCTAACTACTGTGCTCCCGAACCTAGGTCATCCCTGGCTTATAGGACGTGCTTAATCAAACTGGATGACTGAAGGGACAGATGACTAGACCACCACAACATCGGCAGGAATCCGACAGAAATGACAGCAGCTCTTAGCCCTCTGTCCCAAAACCAGATGAGGCATTCACATTTCACTTAGAATGCCAAGCAGACCTCTTTTGCCCTAAATTTAAATATTAATAGCTGTACATTTATGGAAAACATAGTATAATTCTCTGAATTATTTTCCATTGCTTATAAGCATTCATCTCTGTATTTTACCTATGTTCACATAACCTTAATTTTTAAGATGTTAAATAAGATAATAAGATTCATAAAATTGTTCATTTAAAATTCTTTGCGCTTCTCTGAGAATGACAGCCTGAAATACAAAGTGATGCCTCTGTCATCATCCCCATTATTAAACAGCTTCTTTCTTAGTCTTTCTGCAGGTGACCCCTGTCACCCCCTCCTACGCACACTCCCTAATATGATATCTTGCTAAAAAATGCCCAACGTAAAACAATCCATCAATCGTATGAAAGAACAAGACTTTCCCCTACTTAGTAAGAGTAGGTGGTAAGGAAAAAATTACTTATCTTTTTAAGTTTATTAATTAGAACATTTCTAGAACACAATGTGTTCACTATTAACATCTTCCATTGGGGTTTTTGTTGTTAAGTCTTTATCAAATTGTCATATTTTTCTGTAAATGTGTAACAGAAGTTTAGTGGAAGTCATAAACTGAAATCGAGGATCACCAGGCGTTGGTGCACCAGGCCACCTTTCCACGCATCGCAGGTCTTCATGCAGTCCTTCTAGAGGTGAGGCAGAGACTGGGCCGGCTGTGGACTCCAGGAAGTACCCTGCAGGTCACCTGGGCATTGTGTAAGAACTCCTTTGTCAGTGTGATTTCTTACAACTCTGGACTTTGTTATCGATTTGGAACATCAAAAGCCAAATTATAATAAAAATACACTAATTAAAGTTTCTACTCAATCAAGATAGAGCCAGTTTTCATGTCCTCTTAACACACCACTTTGCAAAGAGTTAACCTTCCTTTCCCTTTGCTCTTCGGAAAGTACGTAAGGTCTGTGATCATGTCCCAGTGCCTCTATTAGAGGCAAGGAATCTGTCCTCTTACAGTGTTTTTCTAACAGGACTTTGAAAAAAGCATGTCATTTTCTTGACAGCCTTATCTGAAGGGCATTCTTAATTCTCTCTTTTTTTTTTTTTTTTTGAGACGGAGTCTCGCTCTGTCGCCCAGGCTGGAGTGCAGTGGCACAATCTCGGCTCACTGCAAGCTCCGCCTCCCGGGTTCACGCCGTTCTCCTGCCTCAGCCTCCTGTGTAGCTGGGACTACAGGTGCCCACCACCACGCCTGGCTAATTTTTTGTATTTTTAGCAGAGACGGGGTTTCACCGTGTTAGCCAGGATGGACTCGATCTCCTGACCTCGTGATCCACCCGCCTCGGCCTCCCAAAGTGCTGGGATTACAGGCGCCCGCCACCACGCCTGGCTAATTTTTTGTATTTTTAGTAGAGACAGGGTTTCACCGTGTTAGCCAGGATGGTCTCGATCTCCTGACCTCGTGATCCGCCCGCCTCAGCCTCCCAAAGTGCTGGGATTCTTAATTCTCAGTGAGTGAATTTATTTTTCAATGATGAAAAAGTTTTAAATAAAGCAGATAGTTCAGTAGCGTTCCCGGTCTCAAAACCAACACGCACCACACGTTGTTTCCCCTTCTACGCTTTGTTCCTGCCGCTGCTACTTCACCTTCTCCACCCGAACTGCATACCAACTGGGGACTTTCTCCGGAAGATTCCATTTTGAAGTATTTGAACTTTTCTCCACTACCTTAATGGTTTATAATTTTCTGTTACTCCACAGTTTGATTGGTAACAAGGCAAAGAATGGAAATGGATTTCTAAGTCACATTAAGACGCAGGGAGAACAGTTTTCAAGGGTCTCTGGGCTTGCCAGAGATTCTAGGTGGTCCTCAGAATAGGTCAGCTGGAGACAAAACTCTCAGAGAAAGAGCTTGGAATAAATGGCATTAATTCACATCCATCAGGGAAGCCAGTTGTGGTGCCCACAGGAGGAGGCTTTTGCCAGTTTCATCTGTGTTGACCACTTCCCAGTTCCCTGCGGTAAGGGAAGCATATGACTTACTGCAGATACGTGTGGGAATGCCTCCTCCTTACAAACAAGTTGTCAGGAAAGCAGTTTTTAAAATGTGATCAAAAGCGAGAAGACCCCATGAATGGTCTTTCACACACTCTTGTTAATTCCTTGGGTCCCATTTCTACTTCTTTTTGGCTTTGTACGGATGACCCAGAGGCTGAATTCCAAAACCGTGTGTTTGCTTCTCCCGAGCAAACTCCACCCTGGCATGCAGGCACACTTCGAGTTGGCTGCCATGGGCCTGTGCCTTTTGGTAATGTGTGCATATCTGCCCTGCATCTCAAGTTGCTTGTTTGGAGAGCCGGAACAATGCCTGTTTCAGCTGTTGAGTAAGACCCGTAATTCCATGGCAAGTCAAAGGTGCTGCCGTGACGGGCACACGGTGTGTTAGAGGAGCGGGATGGTGAAGAAGCCGGTTCACTCCCTGCCGCCTCACGTTGTGGGCATTGCTTTCTGAGAGTGAGATGGCAAGTTGAATATGGTCGTATGGGTCGGGATTCCTGTTTCAGGAAGAGCTTTCTTAAACTAAGAAATAGTGAAACTATCTTCTGATCCTTTAACCATTATCTGTTCTTCTTTGTGTTCACATGTACTACTTTGAATTTCTAATTTTAAATATTTTAACATTCCTGCTGCATAATATTAACAAATAATATTTAAAATATGCCAGATGCAGCAATCTACAGACAATAAAATACCTTCTCATCAAGGGTTTGCTGCTCCCGAAGCCCCCATAGCTGTGTGTGCTGAGCCAGGACAATCAACCTCATCGAACTTCTCCTTTCATCTTTTCACAGTTTTGCTTGGAATTCAATTGTCCTACTTTTGGAATTCAAAAATTTAACATGAATATTTCCCGTTCATGTATTAATGAAGACAGGTGACTGTGTTTATTTTTAAAGAAAGAAAAGGTCATCATTTCCCCAAGTGGCAGTGGAAGCAGCTTAGTCCTTGCTTTTAAAAGCATTACTCTAACTTGTGACTTCAACACACAAACCTGTGGTCTCGTCACAAGAAGGAAAATGTAAAGGGATTCTATTATTCGTTTTAACAAAAGGTTTGATTGTAATGTTCAGTAAATTAAAGGGCATTGTGCTGCAATAGGCGCCATTGTAGAAAAGAGAAGTATAGCCTTCCCAGTAATGACTGGGTTCCCCAAAGCCCAGCTTTCTTTAACACGCCTTGTTCTACAGTGGGAAGAAGTCTCCACTGCTGGCAGCATCGTTGTAGGAACGAAGTTTCACCAGGACAGTTTCCACTCGTCCCATATCCGAAGACCCACGGAGTGATGATGGGCGCCTCCAGTCATCCGTGGGGACTCACTTTCCACTGCACGAGTGGTTTGATTGATGAGAAATAATGCCAGATGGACCGGCTTTTGCTCATTTTTAAATAGTCCACTGAGTTTTAGGAGTCCTTAGGACTCCTTAGGAGTTTTAGTATTGCATGGTGGGAGTTTATTCTCATTATTATTTTTAATAATAATAATAAATCATCTTGCACCTCTCAGTATCTCACTTCTTCATTGTTACAGCCAACAGATAGATGCCAAAATAACCTAATTTCTGTGACTCTGAATGGAGCTGAAATAGCACTGACCTGCTCCAGCCTTTCTTCTGCCTCCCCATGGGTTCTGCGGTGTCTTTGGCAGCAGGGTCTGCAGGAACAGGTGAATCAGCATTGGCTGACCCAGGATCCCAGTGCCTGTGGACGGGATTCACATGGAACCACATCTGGACCCTTTACAAGTCTCCAGATGCACTACCCCAGTACTCAGAGGTGGCAGCTGCACTTCCTCCTGGTGCCAACAGGAAGGCGAGCATGTTTCGTGTGAGCGGGTCCTGCATCAGATGCACACGGGATGCTGGTGTGCTCTTCCCACCGGAGAAATTGTCCTTGTTAACTAGCAGTTTAGTGTCACATAGTCTCTTAAACAGGCATTTCCTAGGATTTCCTCTCCTGAAGACAGGCCATGAAATATTTCCCTCTTCAAAAAAGAAGTGAACAGAAGAGAGTGGACATGTTGTATTTCCTTAAACAAGAGGATAAGAGTCTCCCCAGAACCGCAGTGCAGCCACAGAGCGTGGGAGGGAACTCAGGAGTCTTTCCAGTACCCTCTTCCTCTACTGAAACACTGAGACCGTCCCGCACCCCATCCCCGGGCACACACCTTCTACTGTGTCTCCCATATTCACGCATCACCCCTCAAAACCTCCTTGGGAACATAGACTCTGGCTCTCCCCTGTGAGCTGTGATGACCAGGTTACGAAGGGGTGCACCCGTGGGGCTCAGTCAGATGGCCTGACTTGCCGGAAGGCTCCACGCCAAAAAGTAGCTGTGGGAGGGACCCACACCGTTCTGTGTAAGACTGTTAAGAACTCTATCAACACAAAGTCCAGTGCCTTCCCAGTGTGTTCATGTGCGTTCCTGTTCCACAGAAGCTCCTTTCCATGTTCATCTCTGCGAGTGACAGGGTGGTTCCTCTCCTGAAGAGAAGGTGCTCTTGCAATCGTTAACAGACACTGTTGTGTTCTGGACTGTCTGTGCTCCGTGTTCCTAGAAATCAGCCCCTTGACCTCAAGGTGTTGACCATTTGACCGGAAGACGGTGCTGACGACATTTGTGCTATGTAATACATTGTGAACACATTCTCCCTCAAAGTGTTCATGGCAATCACACTTTTGTTACACAAATTTTGGGGTTCTGTGTATAATGATTCCATTAAATGTGGAAGCCAGTTGGTTTGCCTGACACATGGAGGCTGTTTCCTCCAAAACCCGTCTAGCAGCACCCAGTCTTGTGACCCAGTGACTGTCCTTAATGCTCCAACCCTAAATGGTCTCGTAGGATGAGCTAGAAAACACCATGAGACAGGGACTGGCAGGATGGATTCAGAAACGGGAGAAGGATGACAGGGGAAACCTTAGATTGAGTTCATATCTCTAACAAAGTAGATTATGTGAGCGCTGATGGTGTCATTCTCAAAGGGTGAGAACGCGAAAAAGAATGCAGCCACATCTTCAGCTGCTGTGGTGTGGATGTCGTGTGCTCTGGGATCTACGTCAGATAGTGAATGTTGGCAACACCCTTGGGAAACCCACTTCCTGAGTCCCCGTAGCTTTCTCCATGAATGGTTTGATCTAGGAATTCACTCTTCCACAAGCACATCATGTCTAGGCCCTCAGGAAGTATGAGAATTTGAGAAGGTTGGAGACACCTTTTCACTCAGGGCTTATCTAGAAACAGCTTAAGTAAAATTCCCTTAATGGAGTTTAAAAATATGAAAATGTCAGACTGAGTTCTCCCAGCCAAGAGCCCTTCAAAACCCAAAATTATAGAGCAAGCAGCTCTAAAAGACGAAAGACACACCTCCAAACGCTTCCTAAGGATCAGGGAACAGACAGCAACTCCAACTTCCCTAAGCACTTCAGCCTGCATCGACTGAGATTCACCACCAATTCTTCGCTCCCTGTTTTCACTCTTCATGGATTTCCTGATGTGAGCACGCATTGTGGTGCAATCCCGCCTTCACTGGCTCACTCCCTCTGGTATTGTCAGCCTCAGTCAGCTCATTCTAGAGCTTTCTTCATAAAGCTTCAACTCAGAGGCACTGACGGAGAGCCCAGAGCAAGGAGCTGTGTGAAGTGGGACACGGTGTGAGAAGGGGTCCCTGACCACCAGGAGCTCACGCCCCGGAGGAGACCCAGCTGCAGGTGCGGTGCACACTGGTGCCTGGAGGCCACTGAGAAGGCTCCAGGGGAGATGGAGCACCCCACCTGGGACCTGGACTGTGGAGAATGAGGGAGATGTGAAAAAAGGAGAAGAGTTGTGGAGGAGACTTGTAGAGAAGAGCTCTCTGAACTGTTGCCCTTCCAAATTTATACGACTGCTGTTAGGTTCAGGTTGTTACAGGAACACTCAATGAGCTGACACCTGTCTGTCATGAGTTACAGTGATGTTTGCTGGGCAACCCCAGAAAGGAAGATGGCAGCAAGGTCATGTATAGTAAAACATTCCAAGTTCCTTATGCTCCTTTTTGGAGAAGTTCTTCCAAGTTTCAGAAGATTCAAAGGCAGTGTTTTGGATGCCCATCATCAAAATAAAATGTTTACCTATAATATAAATCACTTGTAGAGATTTCCAGATTATGCATTATTATTCCACAGATATTGGCTGAGTGCTTGCTGCCTGTGCTGAGCAGCTGAAACACAGTCCCTGCCCTAAAAAAATTAATCTCATGAGAAGAATCAGAGCTTGAAACCCACAGTTAAAGCAACAGGAAGAATGTGACGAATGCCACAGAGACGTATGTTTGAAGTAGTAACTGTTTGATGTGGGGGGTGGGTTATAGGGAAGAAAGATCATGGGGTGGGGTAGGTAATGGGCATGTCCTGACCGGACTCCTGGAGGAGGAAGTGTTGTCTGAACTGCACCTTGAAGTCTGGGTCGGTTCATTACAGAAAAATCAGCACAAAATGTAGAGAAGGATGGCGGTGGGGACGGGGCAAAGGCTGAGAAGCAGTCTTATGGGATAGAAAGTATCAGATTAGTAAAAGGAAATTCAGAAAAAGGACAATGCTAGTCTAGGCACCCTTGGTAATTTTTTTAAATAGGTTATATTTTGCACCAGAAACGCCAACCTGGTCGTTCAGTGAAAAAGCAACTGGAAAGGGGAAGCGATGGTAAGAAGATCAGCGAGAAGGCTGCAGTGACGGGCCAGGAGAAAACCCACAGGGCATTTCAGAGGCCAGGCTCAGGCTTTGGTGCTGCCACTGGCTGCTGGGGGCTGTGGACCAATTGCTTACCTTCTCTAGGCCTTGGTTTCCTTATCTGTAAGATGTGAGCCTCATCTCTGCATTTTTTCACTTTAAAGCAGTAAATTGTATTCTGTTGAGGATGTCCAAAGCTGAAATGAAGGTACTCAGCACTGGGGGAAAAGGTTGCCTTACAGTTTGCTGTGGGCCCTGGGGTTATTCGTTGCCATTCTGCTTATCTTCATTTTCTTTTCTTTTCTACATATGCTATTTATGTAACAAAAGTTGCAGTGCCTTAAGAAACTAAGCCGTCCCACCACCACACTCTCTCACACATGCACTCATCTATAAAATAAAAGAATTTAAATGTCAAGGTTTTTTTTCTGAGCTAACTTTTTTATGATTTTTTTCCATTTATTGGGGTACAGGTGGTATTTAGTTACATGAATAAGTTCTTTAGTGGTGATTTGTGAGATTTTGGTGACATATCACCTGAGCAGTATACACTGCACCATATTTGTTAATCTTTTATCCCTCGCCCCCCTCCTTCTCCTCCCCTCAAGTCCCCAAAGTCCATTGTATCTTTCTTATGCCTCTGCATCCTCATAGCTTAGCTCCCACATATTAGTGAGAACATATGGTTGGGTTTTCCATTCCTGAGTTACTTAACTTGGAAGAATAGTCTCCAGTCTCATCCGGGTCACTGCAAATGCTGTTAATTCATTCCTTTTTATGGCTGTGTAGTATTCCATCATATGTATGTACCACAGTTTCCTTATCCTCTCATTGATTGATAAGCATTTGGGTTTGTTCCACAATTTTATAGCTGTGAATTGTGCTGCTATAAACATGCATGTGCAAGTATATTTTTCGTATAATGACATCTTTTCCTCTAGGTAAATACCCAGTAGTGGGATTGCCGGATCATATGGTATTTCTACTTTTAGTTCTTTAACAAATCTCCACACTGTTTTCTATAGTGGCTGTACTAGTTTACATTCCCATCAGCAGCGAAGAAGTGTTCCCTGTTCACTGCATCCACACCAACATCTACTGTTTATTGATTTTTTGGTTATGGCCATTCTTGCAGGAGGAAGGTGGTATTGCATTGTGGTTTTGATATGCATTTCCCTGATCATTAGTGATGTTGAGCATTTTTTCATATGTCTGTTGGTCATTTGTATATCTTCTTTTGAGAATTGTCTATTCATGTCCTTAGCCCACTTTTTGATAGGATTGTGTTTTTTTTTCTTACTGATTTGTTTGCTTAAATGTCAGTTTTAAAAACACCTATAGCTAAATGCCCACTACCAGGGAAAAGCCACAAATACTGTTTAAATTACATGTTAATTTCCTAATAATTCCAGAAGACGTCTGAGTAGAGTTGCTATACTTGTCCAAGTTCACATGCAGGATGACCACAGTATAGACGGCCCCCAACTTATGATGGTTTGACTTTACAGTGCAGAAGCAACACGCATTAAATAGAAACTGAACTTCAAGTACCCATGCAACCATTCTGTTACTCACTTTCAGTTCAGTGTTCAATGAATCATGTAAGATATTCAACACTTTATCCTCAGTAGGCTTTGTGTGAGATGGGTTTGCCCAGCAGCAGAGGAAGGTAGGTATTCT
This sequence comes from Homo sapiens, assembly GCF_000001405.40. NCBI lineage: Eukaryota > Metazoa > Chordata > Mammalia > Primates > Hominidae > Homo > Homo sapiens. The sequence goes on along the minus strand of NC_000007.14, from coordinate 157,624,498 downwards.
GAGCATGTGTAAGGCAGGCTAGGCTCAGCTGTGACACTCAGTAGGTTACCTGTGTTCAATGCACTTTTTTTTTTTTTGAGACGGAGTTTCACTCTGGTCACCCAGACTGGAGTGCAATGATGCGATCTCGGTTCACTGCAACATCCGCTTCCCAGGTTCAAGCGATTCTCCTGCCTCAGTCTCCCGAGTAGTTGGGCTTAGAGGCGCCCGCCACCATGCCCGACTAATTTTTGTATTTTTAGTAGAGACAAGGTTTCACCATGTTGGCCAGGCTGGTCTCGAACTCCTGGCCTCAGGTGATCCACCCGCCTCAGCCTTCCAAAGTGCTAGGATTATAGGCGTGAGCCACCGAGCCCGGCCTCAATGCACTTTCAACTTAAGAAGTTCTTGGGCCATAACCCATCATAAGTAGGGGAGCATCTGTACTAAGCTCCCGTGGTACCTTTTGGTTTTGCTTTCATTGTTTAAAACATTACTTTGCTATGAAGGCCTAGCTTCCCCACAGACTCACAGATGAAAAGCATCTTATCTACAAGCCATGAAAGAGAAAAAAGACTCCTAAGATGTAGTTGGGGGATATTTCATCAGTTTAATATCACAAAGGATGTTTCATAAAAAATATTGATAGAAGAATACAGAACAGATCAAATTGAAATGAGCAGAACGGGACAAACACAGCCCACTGGAGTGGCGTGTGCAGAGAGATGTCAGCTCTATCTCAGTTTTAATAGAGTCACGTGCCTCTGCAGATGACTTCATTCTCCGTGAAAAAACATCGCGTCAGTATCTACCTCTTCCTCCCTCCTACCACCCAACCTTGGGCCACACAGGCTCAGTTTATATTTTTGCCATAAATTTAGAAATTCAAGAGAACTTAGAGTGTAATTTTGCTTCCTATAGTTAAGATAAATGTGAGAATTTAAATAGCTGTAGTTTATACGAATTAAGATAATATCCAGTGCCTCTTTTGCAGATAATATTTTCGATTGGATTAAACCTGCTAGGGTTCATCATTTTAGAACCCATCATGTTTTACTGAAGGAAGCCCATTTGTTTGTGATGGATTTTATGAAAAGAGCATTTTTCAAAGAAAAGCTAGGACCCAGAATGATTTTGCCAGGAACCATTTTCGACCTACCTATTTGTAGAACTCTACGTAAGCCCAACTTGAGAAAAGTAGCCACAGAAACAGACTGGGACTATCCTTTCACCATAACTATCAACCTCCCAGCTTCCCTCACACACCAGATTTGGGCTAGATGAGCTGGTCAGTATTTTCACAAAACTTAAATATTATATCATCCAAAAATGTTTTTCCTATTAGGGTAACTTTGGTACAAAAATATGAATTTGATGTTCCATAATGATTGTCTCAAAAGAAAGAATGTGTAGCATTTCCTAGATTGAGCCATTTGAATTTTGCCTAATTTCACAACTCGAGACATCTCTGTGGGGTGCTTCTTCCATGCACAAGGAAACCACGAGGCTTCCTGGGTGTCGGGGCTGGTGACGGGAGTAGATGAACTCGTTCGCTTTGGCTCAGAGCAGCCCTGATGTTTCTGTTCCTGGCGCAGGTGTGCTCCCAAGGCTCAAGGTGTGGTGGGGGAAAAGCGTTCGCTGCGTGGAGCAGGCAGTCGGTGCGGCTTCTCAACGGCACTGGAGTCCCTCTGCTTTTCCCAACTAGCTCAAGCAGGGCCATGGTGGGGGTGACAGTGACAACCTGGGACCTCCCAACAGACGGCCTTAGAGTGCCCACCCTGAGCCAGGCGATTGTCCCTCACCACCACACCCACCCAGATGCGGGGGTGTCGCGCAAACAGCACAGGTGCCCGATGCACCTGCTCCCGTGTGAGCTGGGCCAGCACAGCAGGGTGTGTGTTTGCTGCATGGGTTCAGGTTGGCTGTGGTCAAAACTTCCACTAGACGGCACGATGACCTGAGATTCCCGCCTCGCCGTGTCCAGCCCTCCCTCCCTCTGTGTCTCTTTCTCTACCTGTCTCCTGGAACGGGCCCCAGTGGGCAGGGAGGGACCATCCCAGCTCCTCGGATCAATCGAAGGGGATGTCAGGGGGTGGGCAGAAGGTGAGAAGGGCTTGGACCCCGGGCCTGACATTGGAATGCGTGGCCGCTTTGCAGCAAAGGACCATGTGTACACATGCATGCTTTATTTTCTCGTGTGGACACACTTGGAACCTGTGTCTACACATGACACACAGTACCTTGCAAATCCACAAGCAGAGTGACAGCAGACGAGGCCGTCACTTCCTGTGGTGCCATAGTGCAGCTGGGTTTGGTCCTTTGAAATGTTCTTTCTTAAAATCAGGGCTTGTTCTCAACGGTACAGATGAATAAGAACCGAGTGGGCTGTGCTGGCGGCATGGGGGTTTTTGTGGAAGGGAATTTTCAGGAGGCCTTTGTTTCCTTGTCTACTCATAGTAATGCTCAACGACAAGCACCAGAAAAATTAAGATCGAAACAGCCAAGGGTTAAAATATTTGCTTCCATCCATTTGTGTTTGTTTCATGCTAGAAGCTGTCCCGCATTTTGCACAGATCAGAGCAGCCCAGTCTCTCAACTGCATCACACCCAGTGGGTTCAGAAACGTGCGCCGGTTTTAAGAAAAATGACTTCCATGCAAGCAGAAATGGGCACGCGGAGCAGCCCCACCGAGAGCTTGGTCTGAGCTCCCTGGCCCTGTCGTTAAAGCATGTGATAATTGTTGTCATCTCAGCGGTAAACTGATTCCCAAACACCGGAGTTTATATTTACATATGTAAAATGTGTGTTAACAATGCACATATTTCACTTAACGGTTGCATGGTATGATATGCATTGTGCACCGTAGCACAACGTCGCACCATGGCCCAGGCTCGTGAGCAAGGTGGGCATGGCCCACGCGGCGAGTGCAAAGGCCTCCGCTGCCTTTTGTGCATCTGCCGGTCTGGGCTCACCACCTAGGTGCGCTCCTGACCCTGTGTTTCCCTTTCAGTCCTACATGGAGGACCACCTGAAGAACAAGAACCGGCTGGAGAAGGAGTGGGAAGCGCTGTGCGCCTACCAGGCGGAGCCCAACAGCTCGTTCGTGGCCCAGAGGGAGGAGAACGTGCCCAAGAACCGCTCCCTGGCCGTGCTGACCTGTACGTACCAGCCCCGGGGGCAGGAAGCCTGGGTTACGGGCGGTGGAAACTGGCCGTGCTGACCTGTACATACCAGGCCCGAGGGCAGGAGGCCAGGGTTCCGGGCGGAGGAAACTGGCCGTGCTGACCTGTGTGTACCAGCCCCGGGGACGGGAGGCCTGGGTTACAGGCAGTGGAAACTAGCCGTGCTGACCTGTACATACCAGCACCGGGGGCGGGAGGACTGGGTTACAGGAGGGGGAAACTGGCCGTGCTGACCTGTACATACCAGCCCCGGGGGCAGGTGGCCAGGGTGACAGGAGGGGGAAACTGGCCATGCTGACCTGTACATACCAGTCCCGGGGGCAGGAGGCCTGGGTTACAGGCGGGGGAAACTGGCCATGCTGACCTGTACATACCAGTCCCGGGGGCAGGAGGCCTGGGTTACAGGCGGGGGAAACTGGCCATGCTGACCTGTGTGTACCAGTCCCCGGGGAGGGAGGCCTGGGTTACAGGCGGGGGAAACAGCCCCATCCTGAGGGTCTGCAAAGCCCTCCGCTTCTCCTTCCCGGCACCCCCCGCCTGCAGCAGACTTGCCCCCTCTGGGAAGGCCCTCCTGGGAATCTCCCCTCTGCGATGCCATCCCCAGCCCAACCAACAAGGAACCAGTGTCTTCCTTTCCTCCAGCACGGGCCTGGGGACATCTGCACCCCAGTGAGCATCAGCTCTATTGTTCTCTGTCACCGAGTGACTTGAGACATGTTCCTGAACCTCTTGGAGCCTCCACGTCACATCTGTAATTGGGGTCACGCTGTCGTCCTTGAAGTATTACTGCTGTAAGGGTTAGACGAGGTCATTAGCATAGCACCGGTACGTCGCAGGCACACAATCAACAGTGGTTGCTTTTACAGCATCTTTAACTTTACAATTATTTCCACAAACTGAGCACCTACTACCTAGCTAGGGATCACTGCCAGAAAATGGAAATATAAGCCAGCAGTTCTCCGAGTGACTCTCGTGGACTGGAAGAGACACCGCCTCGTGTTCCCACAGCACGGGAGGCACTAAGCTGCTTACAAGATGAGGAGGGCAAGGACTGCCCGGCGCTGGCGTCCACCTCACTCATCCTCTATGTGTATAGCAGGTTCCAATGAAGGTTCCACACTTTGATTGGTTATAAACCCACCCGCCAGGAGGAAGGGGGTCCTAGATATGTTCCTGACCAGAGTTTCAGGGGGAAGTAGATACTCACAACGTTGAGTGATGAATGATAAATGACAGTGTGGGTAGAGTTTCTTAGTTACTCTCCTGAGGACCCTAAGACAAGGCCCTTGCGCATGTCTCTGATGCAACAGAGGGAGCTTCGTCAGCTCACACTTCGAGAGCACCACTCGGCCACACTCACTTTCAGCTCAGCATCAGGCGGGACCAGTGTCCCCTGTGGCCGAGGCCGTCTCTCCGTCACTGTGTCCCTGCCTCAACCCTTCGGAGCCGGTCAAGGGATCAGACTGGTGTCCCTGAGACACCGCCTGTCCCCGTACCAGCAGCACAGCCCCCCACGCCAGGGAGAGGCACTGCCCTTGCCCTCCTTCCAGCCCTCAGGAAGTGTTACAGGTCAGAACAGTGAGAAGCTGGAATCTTGTTTTGCTTCAGAAACTAACCTGGGGCACTGCAGACCTGTGTAAAATCCCATTCACCCAGCTGGGTGCACGCTTCTTGCTACCCATTTAGTGTTCAGACCAGTTTCTATGAGGTCTGAGGGTTTTAACCCTAAAGAGATCTAAAAACAGAAGCTGTGTGATTTATAAATTTTATATTTAGAAGAAAAGCAAAATACAATACATCCCATTAGCCAACTAACAGATATTTACTAAGCACCGGCCCTGTGTCGGGGGCTACTAACAGGCTCTGGGGGCCTGGCCACTGTCCTCAGAGAGGAGCAGCCTGGGGGAGGAGAGGGCGGGGAGTGAAGCCGGTGTGGTAGGACAAGTGAGGGTGGTGGTGAGCGGGTATCCTGCTGAGTCCTGAGTGGAGAATGGTTCGTGGTAAATAGCCATGCAGTAAGCGTGCATTATATGTCTCTGTGTGTCTGGTCATTTACTTAGATTGTGAGGTGTTTCATGGTAAATATTCATCTGACAGCACGCCCTCCCCAAAGACAGCCCGGAGCGTGGCAGAAACGACCTGCCGATGGGGTTTTCCTCCCGTGTGCCCTGCAGCCTTCTGGGCTCTGTCTGTACAGTGTGGATGGGGGGGTTGGGGGCGAGGGACCTAGTGATGGTGAAGTGGTCCGTGCTCAGATGGGACACAGGCAGCCTCCCCAGGTAGCAGCCGGTGCCAACAGGGTGGCCACATGTGGATGGGCGCCTGATGTTCTCATGGGGATCAGGACAGCCCTGCCCATTCTGAGCCAGGTGACGGGTGAGGGGGAAAGCACCTCCCTCCCGAGACTCGCACTGGAGCCAGAAAGAAGCTGCCTGCACCTCCTCCCAGGGTTCTCCCGACCCATGTGCCAGGGTGTGAAGACACAGCACTGCCCTTCAGGGTTGAGAGGCCACCAGGGAAGACAGAGAACGGCAAGTTCACCTCCTGGGAGAACCCTAGATAGAAATATTTTCATGAACACATAGGTTTATTCTGAGCAAACTTGTATTACCTACTTTCTTCTCCATACTCTTGGCCATCTTGCTTTTGGGAAGGAGATCTTGTCCTCCGGGAGACAGTGGCTTGGCAAAAGCTCTCGCTGTTGCCAGGCCCCAGAGAGATGGCCGCCTCCTCCATCTTCACTCCTGCCTCACCTGCGGCCGCTGCGCTCTTCACAGGACACAACTGGCTCCAAAACAGCCACACACGGTCCAGGAGGACTGGCTTCCCTGTGGCTCTGTGGCTTGGAAGGCCCATGCTGCGCTGTCATGGTGGGGGGACGGCACTCGAGCTGGGCTCCATGCTGTCCTCTGTGTCGCGATGGAAGCGAGTCTGCATGCTGGGCATGCACTATCCTCTGTGCAGGGTTGGAAGCATGAGTACTCGGCCACGCTGTCCTCTGTTAGGGATGGAACCTTCAAGTCCTCCCTCTGCACCTGCCGCTCCCACCGCGTCCTTTCCGCGTGCTCACCGGGAACTCCCAGGTCTATGGAAAGGGTCCTCGGGACCACCCCTCCCTTCTCTCATGCCCCGCCTTCCCCATGGAGCACTTCCCTGGGTCATTCTTCCACCCAGGAGATGGACACAGTCGCCCGACTTCCCAGATGCACCCTGATCGGAATGAGCCCCCAAAGGAGAAGGAAACACACATTATGCAATGCTTGGCTGGCACCATGCTAGGTCTAGTTGTATTATCTCAGAAGTTTAAAGAACTTAACATGCATTTTCTGTTTTTTGAATGTTTAAAAAAGAATTATGCAGCATTTCGCTTGTCTGCATTTCAGATGAAGAACAGGGATATGATACTATTTTGGTGCCATATCCTAAACAAAAAAGTATTTTTGGCTCTATGTTGTAATAACGAGAGAGAGAGAGAGAACCAGGACAAACAATGCAGAGAGACAAGACAGAGACAACGAAGAGCTGAAGGCTCAGGGACAGGAAGACAGCAAGGAGGAGAGTCATGTGGGGTTCACATCTCCCAGCTTCTGAGGGCATTGCTGCTGGAGGACCACAGCTGCCTCACAGCCAGAGGCGCGGCTGTGGGCATCTCCCAGGCCCTTGCCTTGCAGCGTGGTCCAGTGAGGCAGAGGCCCAGCTGATCACCGTTCCCAGGAGTCAGGGTCACCACACTGGCCCTGCGCTGCAGCTGCTTGAGCAGCATCCTAACCATGGCATCACTGGGGCATCGTGAGCCAGCATCCCCCGTGCTCTGCGCTGCAGCTGCGTGAACAGCGTCCTAACCACAGCATCACTGGGGCATCGTGAGCCAGCGTCGCCCGTGCTCTGCGCTGCAGCTGCGTGAACGGCGTCCTAACCACGGCATCACTGGGGCATCGTGAGCCAGCGTCGCCCGTGCTCTGCGCTGCAGCTGCGTGAACGGCGTCCTAACCACGGCATCACTGGGGCATCGTGAGCCAGCGTCCCCCGTGCTCTGCGCTGCAGCTGCGTGAACGGCGTCCTAACCACGGCATCACTGGGGCATCGTGAGCCAGCGTCCCCCGTGCTCTGCGCTGCAGCTGCGTGAGCAGTGTCCTAACCACGGCATCACTGGGGCATCGTGAGCCAGCGTCCCCCATGCCCGTGGATGTGCCACCTCTGGTCCTCACAAGAAACCCCCCCACTTGGCCGACAAGAACTTTGGGGTTTAGAGCCCGCCCGTCAGAGCTGAAATCCAGACTCCCCAGTGCCATCCTCATAGGCTGTCTTGGGCTCACCTGAGATTGTGCGTGTGTGTTGGGAAAATCCATGTCCATTTCAAACTTCTACAGAAGTATTTGAAACATGTACAAGGGCTGAAGCACTTTGGCTAAGCATAGCTTTCCTTAGAATACTCAGAAAACAATTTATTTCTAAATAAACCTTTGGTTTAGTTTTTTTTTTTTTCTCTCCCAAAACTCTAAACAGAGTCCCCTAAGAGGAATATTTTGCCTTGGTTACTTCTGAGTGACCAAAAGTTATCATGATTTGCTTTTAAAGATGAATACGTGGGTGATTCTCCTAACTCTGATGATTAAGCCAGGGTTTTCTTTTTCCTTCCATAGAAAAAGGTTCTGGGCATATATGTCACCTCGCCAAGAAAGTTGCTGGAGAGAGACTCCCAGCCTGGCTGCCTTCCCTTCACCCCTTTTGATCTCAGTGCCAGCCGACTCTGCCCTAGGATTTGGGAAGGCTGTCGGTTTGTTGGTGTTGGAAAGAAAATATCCCAGCAAATTCTGTGTGGGCCTTTTTCTTTGCTACCTCACAGGCAGAAGCTGTTCTGGGCAGCTGTTCTGCCAGAGACTGAGGATTCTTTTTTAGGAAGAGATCTACAGAGTCCTTCTCATTAGGCTACTTCTCGAAGGGAAAGATTGTCTAAAAGCATCATCTCTGAACTACAACTGCAAGTGCACCTTCCGTGAGCTCTTCAGGACCTCCAGTGCAAAGAAACAGTGCCGGTGGGGTTGTCAGGAGCCACGTTGATACTCCACACAGTTCAGCTGCTCAAAGTTCAGATTTTAGATCCTCTTTGCTCTCTTTCTTAAAACTGAACCGATAGGTTGGTAAGATGTCTGGCCTGGTGTGGCATGGCTACCCGTCCTTCTCACATCCTCCTTCCGATTCCGCTTACAGAATCTTCGTGTGGGGAGGGTCTCACAGTGTGGGGCGAGCCTGGCCTTCGGGGTGGCAGCAGCCGGGCTCACCGTCTCCTGGGCGCCCTGTTTCCCGTGACTTGGAAGACCTACCCTCCAGAGGGGCCCCAGGCCACGGTGTGCTTCTTCCTGGATCAGGCCTCCCACTTTATCCACCAGAAGTTACGTTCATCCTGCCAGGTGCACATCTCAGCGCCGGCTGATTCTGAGGCCGAACCCACTAACATCCAGAGTCTTTTCCTTAAGGTCTTCGGTGGAGCCCAGGGCCTCGCGCACCCCCCACCCCCCGTTGGTGACAGTCAAGTTTAACAGGAGAATCGAGCCTTGTGTTCATCTCCTGTAACCGATTCTCGTTCAGCCTCCAGAGCTTGTGGTTCCTGAGTCACTGCGTCACCTCCCTCTCAGCTCGGCACCATCTGCTCGTTTTATAAACATGTTTTTCACGTCGTCAAGTCATTGATAAAAACACATTCCGCAGGACCAGTGCTGAGCCAATCCTCCCCCGTGACGCGGATCCACCGCGGGACTTCCCAGGCGCTGGTTCCAGGGCTGAGATTGTTTCCACGGCCCGGCCTTGCGATGGGGTCACCCCAGCCGTCCCCAGGTCCCGAGCATATTGGCAAAGGCTCATCAGATGTTTCCACGTGAGGCTCGGGGCTAAACACCTCCTTTTCATCCTCGAAACAGCCCTGAGATTCACACAGGGACAGAGCTGGGGCTGAAGGAGGTTAGGGAGCCCAAGGTCAGCGGCTCCCCGGAGAGTGCAGCCTACACTACCCCAGCGCAGACCCAGCCGCAACCCACGCACACCGCTCTTGCAGGGCCCTCTCTGGAGCAGAAGTGTGGCTGGCTTAGCATGACTTCCTCCCCCACTTTTTATTACAAGAGTTTTAAACACTCAAGTGGAAGGGGTAGCGTGGCATCGCCTGCACACCCACCACCCACGCTGGCCAGCCGCCCAGTGTTGGCCGTATTAGCGTGACCTGCGAGCACTTCATTTATTTTCTGGCTGGACGACTTCAAGTAAGTATCAGGCGTCATGACGTCCAAATACTTTAGCCTGCCTGCAGGTCCTAAATACAAGGGCCTTCTCCTAGGTAGCTGCAGCCCCGTTATAACTAAGAAAATTAACAACAATCCCTCAGTGCCCTCTAACACCCAGCTGTGCCCATCTGCCCAGGCTTTGGAGACAGCAGATGAGCAGGTGAAACCACAGAATTGCATTTCCCCATAGTCCTGGAGGCCGGAGGCTGCGGTCCAGGATGTGGCAGGGCTGGCCGTGTCCGAGGCCCTCCCTGGGGCTTGCAGGTGCTGTCTGTAACTAAGGGTCCCCTTTGTTTAAGGACAGCAGACCCACTGCACTAGGCCCCCCCTCAGGACCTCACCTTCACTTACTGGCCTCTCTAGAGGCCCTGTCTCCAAACATGGCCACACTCCGCAGTCCTGGGGGTTGGGGTCGTCACACAGGGGCATCAGGGCACAGCTCAGCCCACAGCGCCATTGCTATCACACACTCCCAGGGACTCCCGCCGCTTTCTCTACAACACGGTCTGTTATCTGTTGTCTGTTTTGTTTTTTCCACCAGGATGCAGTCAAGATTCATCATTGCATTTTGGGTTTTGTGTCTCTTTCGTCTTTTTAATTTTGAAACAGCTGTCCCTGACTTTTTTTCCTGATATGAATGGTACCTAATAAAGCTGTTCTTTTAGTGACCACTTTCCCATTCCAAACAATCACAGACTCTCCATGTGGAAGTCTGTAGGGAACTCTGCAAGCCCACGAGAAGCTCACCTGCCCCCTTCCAGAACCCCCGTTTCCCAAGAACCCGGAGTGTACAGGTCTCCACGATGCTGTAGGAACATGACCAGCCTGCTCTGCGACCTTGCCACGGGCCACAGACTTCAAACCCTGCCTTGGCCCTGAGCTCCACCCTGGCCCTCCCCTGTCCTCCCCCTTCCTCCCCTGTCTTCCCCCTCCTCTCCGTCCTCCTTTTTCCTCCTCCCACCTCTTTCATGGTTCCCTGTGTTCTGATTGGCCGGTTGAGCAGTCCTGCTGCAGAACGATGCTTTCCAAGGCATCCCGTTGCTTGTGGTCTTCCACCAGCAAGAATGTGGAGGCCAGCCCTGTGAGCTCACAGAGTCACAGTTGTGACGGGAGGGTCGCCCCTGGCCATGTGGCCTGTAAGGGGCTCGAGGAGTCCGGATAGCAGCGCCGAGGTCTGCTCGTGGTGAGAGACCCCGAGTCCCGGCACACTGTGGGGGGGCCGCAGGACGGCGGCCCGGGGTGCCCTCGGGACCCCTGCGCTCCGAGACTCGAGGACTACGCGACAAACGGCAGTTCAGGCTGCCGCGGGTGCAGGTTTGCTCATCCACGGCCGCCGGGTTAGGGAGACGATTCTGGCACGTTCCAGGCAGGCCGGTGTCGGGAGAGGGTCCCTGCGTGTGGGAGACGGAGGCGGCGGGGTCGGCTGGAGAACCGGGGAAGGAACGCGGCGGCCTCCTCCCGCGGGAAGAGGCCCAAGCCGGGCTCGCCCTGCGGCTCAGCGAGGAGCCCGCCCTGCCGGCTTCTGAGGACGCGCCCCGGACCCTGCTCTCCTGGGCCTGAGGTGACACGTTCTGTCGATTGAGGCCCCGAGGTTTGCGGAAGTCTCTGGCCGCAGCCGCGGGAGGCGCAACACGCTGAGGCTGCGCGACGTGGGGCCCGCCCGGACCCGCCTCCGCCCGTGTCTCCCCGCAGCCGTCTCTGCCAGAACTATCGGAAGAGACCGGAACTGTTGGTTTTGTGTCTGTGAGAAGAGCAGCACTGGGAATAAGTCACCTGCTGAGCTGACAGCGGAAACGAAGGACAAGCGGAGTCGCCTAGCGCCGTCGCTGCTTAGCCCAGAAAACGGCCTCGTCAGCGCCCTCGACCTGTTTGCGGACCGCTTCAGGAGCTGAAGGAACCACCGAGGTTCTGCGGCTGAGGCGGGAGGCGGGACTGGAGACGGGGCCGGGCCTGTCCCTCCGGATGCGGGGGGCGCTGCCCTGTTCAGCCGCAGGGCTCTCCCTGCCTCCTCCTCCGGCCACCCAGGCCGGAAGCACCCCGGCCCCTCCTCAGGGACTCTCCCTGTCAGTGAGATCAACCCTCCGGAGCTGCTGTGTCTTCACGGAGCCGCAGACCCGGGCGGGGAGGCGGGGCCTTCGGCTGCCGTGGGGTGTGGGGGGCCCTGCCCTGGCCGGGGTGTGCCGCCGGAGCTGCTCCCACCCGCTTCCCCGCTTCACCCCAGCGCCTCTGTGGATGCCCTTTGACCGCGACCCCTCCCGTGCGGCGGAAGTGAGTTGCTCCCGCGAGCTGTTTGGGCGTTTTCCACACCTGCCCATCAGTTACGCCTCTAGGGAGCTAATGTGTAGGTTCCCGCCGAATTTCCTCCCTTACTTTTCCAGACGCGCCTGCTTGGCACAGTCTGCCCTGCGCCCCGTGCTGTGGGGTCAGAGGTCACTGCCTTCTGCGGCTCCCCTGGCAGCCCCAAGACCGTCGGTCACAGGTGCAGCTTCTGCCCCCGATCCACAAAACGGGCGTTAATCTCAGGCAGCACAGCCACAAGCCAGAGCTGTTCTTCTGGTGATACCCTGTGTCCTGGTGATAAGGCGTGTGAGCTGCCCCCTGCTCCTAGTTTCAGCTCCTTGGAGGCGCCCCCCAGCCGTTTGTGTCTCTGTCTTGCCGCCGCCACACTCATCTGCGCTGCTCGCACAGACGAGATTCGTCATCAGTGTCGATGGACGGCCTCTCGGTGGAGCCGTGCAGACAGCGTGGCCCTGCCTGTCTGATATCTGTGCTCCTGTTACAGCAAACTGTTCTAGTTCCTGCGAGAAAGTCGCCACCAGCGCACACAGCCACGCCTCGCTGTGTGTCTGGAGCTGGTCTCTGGGTTGCCCACACTCCACAACTGCAGGCTGGCTCCAGGCGGCGCTTTCTCCGTGCAGGCACCAGGTGCTGCTCAGGGCATGGGAAGCCAAACCCAGGTCGCTCCAGGTGCTCTGGGCCTGGAGGGCTGCAGGGACAGAGCGCCAGGGATGGGCAGTGTATGTGGCCAAAGCAGGCTGTCTCCCATTCCGGAGGCCAGAAATGGAGGTCAGGGTGTCAGCAGGGCTGGCTTCTCTGGAGGCCTCGCTCCTCAGCACGACCACGGCTGTCTTCGTCTTCACACGGGCGCTCTCCCTCCGCGTGTCCCCAGCATGACTGCGGCTGTCTTCGTCTTCACACGGGCGCTCTCCCTCCGCGTGTCCCCAGCATGACTGCGGCTGTCTTCGTCTTCACACGGGCGCTCTCCCTCCGCGTGTCCCCAGCATGACTGCGGCTGTCTTCGTCTTCACACGGGCGCGCTCCCTCCGCGTGTCCCCAGCATGACCGCGGCTGTCTTCGTCTTCACACGGGCGCTCTCCCTCCCGTGTGGGTGTGCAGAGTCCTTCTTCCTAACAGCACGCCAGTCATATTGCATTAGGGCCGCCCAAATGCCCTCCGCTCGCTTACCTCTGTAAAGACCCTATTTCCAAATAAGGTCATGTTCCCAGGGCTGGGACTCCAGTGTGTCTTTTTGGGGGAGGGTACGCAGCTCAACCCTGGGACCTGGTGCCTCCAAGTCAGCTCAGTGACTGGGCGGGCGCTGCCTGGCCACGGCAACCCCCACACACCTTTGGCGTCTGTTCCCCCTGCATTCTGCCCCCGCATAGCCCTGCCTGGGGAGTTCCTTCTACACAGATGCCTGAGATGAGACTAGTGTGGGTTAAAATCGCTTCAGGTATGGGAATCCCCCAGGGCTTGAGGCTCCTTCTAGTCCACCTGCCCCAGGTCACCTGCCCAACATGCTTCCGATCCCATTGGGGGGCGACTTTCTGAGAGATCTGTCTGTGGGGGATGCCAGTGAAACCATTTAAGACATGAGACACTAAACCAGCCTTGTGACCATGCCATTTGGGGCCACTGTTGCTCCTCTGGGACCTGCTTTTGACGCGTCCAGTGTGGAAGCCGGACACCAGCCTCGCGCTCGGTTATTCAGCTCAGCGGTGGGCAGCGTGCCTCCTGAGTGGTGGGTGGGGCAGGTCTCATTTTCATGACCATCTCTGGATGTAGCAGGGCTTTCTGGATATGAGCCCCAGCCTGTCCCAGTCTGCCCAGATGCAGCATTGTATGCTGAGCTGCGGAGGCCCTGAATGACACTCAGCTGACTTTCCTAAATGTTCGATGAGCTTTATAGCTTGAGCTGAGCATTTCCCAAAGGCATAGTTGGAAGCAGAATGTCTGCCTGCTGACTAAGGACAGGAGCGTGTGGGAGGAAGAGGACCTGCCCCTTCAGAATGCGTTCTGTCATCACGCTGTTGCTGGTCTTCAAGTGCCCAGGTCTGCAAAGAATCAAGCCCATGTAGCTTCTCAGAGTATTGAAACAAACGTGGTCCGATCATTTATTCCTTTGCCTCAACTATGACAAGTTCAAAGGCCTTTCTGTGTGTGAGCCGCTGGGATCCCTAAGCAGCACTGACGGCCCTTGCTGACGGCCAGCAGCCCCGGGATGTGCCTTTGCAGCCCTCAGACCTCGATGGACACCATAAACTCGGAGCAGGAGCTTGTGGGTGCTGGTGCCAACTGTGGAGCACATCCCGGAACATGTTCTCTGCTGGAGTCAGGACTCCCTCTAGGAGCAAGACACCGGCTCCACCTCTCCACAGGCCACACCATCAACATGAAGAAGAGGGCCTCCTGCCAGCATAAATGACTGAGCCTAAACCTTCACAGAAAGCAGAGGCAGTTGGAGAGCCCGAGAGAACACCTGAGACCCCTGAGTGGAAGGAACCCCATTGCCGAGTTCCGTGAGGCCCCTGGGAGGAGGGAACCCCATTGCCAAGTTCCGTGAGGCCCCTGGACTCAGCAGTGGCTTCACAGATGGCCTCACGCATCCTCCAAACAGCAGCACCGTGGAGCCCATGTGCTGGTGGGAGGCAGATTCTTGGCCCTGCAGAGCAGCTTCCTGAGTGTGGACAGCAAGCCAGGAGGCCTGGGGGAATGCCGTCCTCAGGGATCTGTGTAGCAAGACGATGTTCCGGGCAGAGGAGTCTTCCACACGCTTTCCTCAGATGCAGTGGGGTGGGCACGGGAGGTTCTAGATCATGATTAATGACTATACCGCCGCGTCCTCTAGCATGCTTAGCTGGGCCATCTCCCAAGGCTCTTTGCCATAGTAATAATCAACAAGAAATTGTGGGATGTGTCTCTTCTGTTGGCATCTATGAAAAATCGCTCCATATGTTCTGCCACCACGGGGCAGCAAGAACACGCTTTGCCAGCTTGGCTGACCTGCGCAGTTGGGTGCGTGTCCACCGTCATCTCAGCCTTGCTCCTCATTGCTTGCTGCGTGCCATTTACCACAACAGTGCTGTGAGTTGTATGTTATCATCCTGCATTCTCCGAACACTGAACAGTTTACCCAGGATCGCCCGCTGGCAAGCAGTGGGGCTGGGAGTCAAACCCTGTGCTCCCCTGTGGACCACGAGGCCGTGGCCACGTGAATCGTTCCATCCTTATGAGTCTTAGTTTCTTCAGCCTAAAACGGGAAAGTAGTCCCTGTTCTGTCCGTGGTCCAGGATGGCCACTGGGTCCAGGATGAGAGAAGAGGATCTAATCCGTGAAAATATGGAACATCTGAGAAATTTGAAATACTCTTTTTTTTTATATTTAAAAAAAAATTTTTTTGAGACAGAGTTTCACTCTTGTTGTCCAGGCTGGAGTGCAATGGCACAGTCTCAGCTCACTGCAACCTCTGCCTCCCGGGTTCAAGCAATTCTCCTGCCTCAGCCTCCCAAGTAGCTGGGATTACAGCCGCCCACCACCACGCCTGGCTAATTTTTGTATTTTTAGTAGAGACGTGGTTTTGCCACTTTGGCCAGACTGGTCTCGAACTCCTGACCTCAGGTGATCCACCCACCTCAGCCTCCCAAAGTACTGGGATTATAGGTGTGAGCCACCGCGGCCGGCCTGAAATATTGTTGAACAAGGCACTAACGCATGATAAACACAGTAAAGGGTCAGAAAAGGAACGTGCACAGTGGGTTAATTTAACCCAATGACATTAACTCAGTTATAGGGCCAGGTGAAGGAAGACTCTACGTGAGTTCCCACATTTTCCTGGCCTCTCAGTAAATTCTCAGACTACGGTTTTGATAGAGCACACCCGTTCTTAATGGAAACATGAGCCCCAGGCTGTTATGAATTCTCACCCTGTGGTTCCCGCCATTGCTCTGTGTTGCCTCCCCAGGGAGGTCTGATATTTCATTTGACAACAGAAGGGAGCAGCCTTCAGTTCCCCGAGCACAGGCCAGGGCTGATTGCGCGTGGGCCTGCCCTGGCTTCATCTCCAGCCTGGGGTTGGCCTTGAGAGGCCCCAGGCCACCTGCTTCCCTTCACTTCATAGAACACGAAGACCCCTCCACAGGCCTCGCACGTCAAGGAAACTGCCCTTTAGGGGACTCGGGAACTGGATGGCATCATCCTATTTGCTCTCAAAACATCTCATAAAAAGTAAGAGAATCACAAAATAGAGATTCGCCAGGCACATGAACTCTCCGCACGAGGAACGGTTGCCGCCCCCTGCAGGAATCAGAGTCCGCCCTCCTCCACAGCCTGCAGCGTCCCTTGGCCCTCCCAGGATGGCTCCAAGCATTTCCCGGAGGTTCCAAATGACCCCATATTACAAACACAATGATTTTGCTGGCCAGGCACAGTGGCTCATGCCTGTAATCCCAGCACTTTGGGAGGCCGAGGCAGGTGGATCATCTGAGGTCAGGAGTTTGAGACCACCCTGGCCAACATGGTGAAGCCCTGTCTCTACTAAAAATACAAAAATTAGCCATGTGCAGTGGTGCGTGCCTGTAGTCCCAGCTACTCGGGAGGCTGAGGCAGGAGAATCACTTGAACCCGAGAGGTGGAGGTTGCAGTGATCCAATATTGTGCCACTGCACTTGAGCTTGGGTGACGGAGCAAGACCCTGTCTCTTTAAAAAAAAGACTTCGCTGGTAATTTCAAAAGCAATATGTTGACACAAAATCAAATATGCGATCAGGAAGTAGGAGCTCTCCGAAGTCATGGAAGCCGGGTCCTTGACTCAGTGCCATCTTTAAAGGGTGACCTCGGGGGAAATGAATTCGGCTAAAACAATTTTCCACCAAGAAGCCCATGGATTGTCCACTTGCCAGCAGGGCTCAGGTGCCCATGGCAGATTCCCCCTCTGCCATCGAGAGGAGAGGGCCGGGCTCGTAGAATGCATGTCTAACTCCCCAGGACTCCCGAGCTAGGGAAGCATTTTCTTAATTTTCCAATGAGAAAATCCAGCTGGCACTTGTCTGCTGAGTCCAATGGCAGTGGCCACTTTCCCCGTGGCCTGTTGCTCACAGGGCCTGGCAGCAGGGACCCCTCAGCTGAGGAGGAGCTCCCAGCACGCTGCCCTGATGCCTCCTCTGCCCTCCGTAGAGGCCAGGCCACTGGTCTCAGGGTGCCGTGGGCACCATCAAAGCACGAGACCAAGCCAGGTCAAAAGCCTGAGGGCTCCAGGCTGCGCTGCCTGTTCCCTGCCCTGCTCCCTCCTGACCCTGCTCTTGGTAATGCCTTCTCAGACACGTAAGAACGGTCCGCAGTTGCTGGTCTCACAAGTGCCTAAAGGTGGCTGTGCTGAAAATGAGGCAGGGCCCTAGAGGCCCCTGGAAGCAGCCAGAAGCCCCTGCTTTTATTCCCACGCTCTGTGTGGGCTGCAGCACCGGGCCCAGCCCAGCACCTCTGACCACAGCCTCATCTCTGGCTGCGGTGTCTGTGTGGCCCCACTGTGAAACTGGGTTTCTGGAATCAATGTTTGGAGTAGTGTGTGTGGGGTGTTCAGATGTCAGAGTCAACCAGTTTTTTTCTGATGATTTGTATTACAATTTCCTGCCACTGCCAATTTTCACTCTCCAAGAACTAATTTGTGCAGGAGCTAAAAGCCATTGAGTCCCTGGGATTTTTGCATCATTCACACCTTCGTTCAGAGCTGATGGGATGACTTGCAGCTTCATGACATTCCTGAGGCATTCAGCTGCATAGAGCATGTGCGTATGTACACATGCATTCTTCTCCTCTCTCTAGATGTTTTATCTTATCCCATCTTGTCACCCCTGAAAGAGGCTGACATTCCTACCTGAAGGAAGGTGTCAGGACAGCATCCAACCTGGAGTGTATTGATCTCTAGTGCACAGTACTTTCCTAGTTCAATCAGTTAAAACACTCACTAAGTTTTCCAAGCCCTAGGATTTGTTGTTTTAAAAACTGTAAGTAAAATCTCCAAGAAAAATGAAAGAATTGCGTAGAGAAGCAGAGTCCGTGCAGCTTCACCACCACCACACTGCTCCATGATTGGGGCCACTTCCTTCTGGTGCCAGCGCCCACAGGAGGTGCGCAGCGAGTTTGGAGTTTGGCCACAGGTCCAGAGGGGACCCACGGCCACCAAGCACTGGCCTCCGAGGGCTCCAGCGAGGGTGCTTTTGTTTTCTCAGAAAAGATGGAAATTGGTGTTGTGTGCAGCACCAAGAGGTTTTCCCTGGGACAAACGGCAGCAGAGCCGAGATGTTGTTGCTTCCAGATTTCAGCCAGGGATGGCAGTGACAGGCCCTCTGGAGTGGCCACTACCATCACACCAGCTGCAGCAGGGAGGCGTAACCTGGGCATCCTGTTCCACGCGGCAGGCAGGACCCCACCCCCACCCCCACGCTGGGGAGGAGCTACAGCTGCCCAAACCGTAGCTGCAGACCCAGGCAGCCCTGCACACTTAGGCACCCAGGAAGAAGATCCTTGCCCCTGCAGGAAGTGCCTGTTCCTGCTACCTGGATTCTCCCTGCTGTTGGCACCCATGCTGATCTTGGAGCAAAGTCAGGGCTGAGCCCGGGCGCTGTCACAGCCCAGCAGGTGTGACACTCTGGGCAGTGCTGACACACCAGCCCCCTGCCACCTCAGCCCCCTCTGGACTTTGGGCACCAACAAGCATGGGAGGGAAGCCGAAGGAGGGCTGAGGGCAGCTCAGCTCTGGCCTGCAGGTGCCCCTTGGCACAAACAGCCTGGGTGCCATGAATGGCAGCAGGAGACAGAGATTCCTGGGCAAAAGGGGGCAGGTCCTCCATGAAGCACCACCTTCAGGCCAGGGAGGGTTTGAAGGCTGGGGGCTGGGCTGCAAGTCCTGTGGATCAGAGTGGGAACTCATGGTGCCTTTTCCAGGCCTGCCCACGGCCACTCGTGGGCCAATCAGCATGTACTTCCTCCCCTCTGAGGCCCATAAATGCCCCAGGCATAGCCAGAGCTGGGCAGACATGGGGATGACCAGCTGCAGAGAGGAGCTACCCACTCCAGAGCCTCCCCTTTGCTAGGAGCTGAACACTCATCGGGACCCCCTGGCTGCAGAAAGGAGCTGCCCCCTGTGGGAGACTGAGCTGTTCTATTGCTCGATAAACCCCTCTTCATCTTGCTCATCCTCCACTTGTCTCCATACCTCATTCTTCCTGGTCGCAGAACAAGAACTCAGGACCTGTCGAATGGTGGGGCTAGAAGAGCTGTAGCACAAACAGGGCTGAGACATGCCCCCTGCTCGCCACACTGTGGGTGAAGAGAAGGAGAGAACAGCTGTAGCCCTTCAGGGAGCCCAGACCTGGGAGCTCCCGGAGCTAGGCCTGTGACTCCATCTTTGGGACCCTGTGGTTCCTGGTATCTCCAAACTTCCAGGAGCTACCATGTTCCTCAGTGTCAACCATGGAAGCTGCTTGCAGTGTGTCTGGTCTGGCCGCAGCCTCACAGAGAGCCCGCACCCATGCTGGCACCTGGAGCTGCCCACCCTGCTGCAGCACCCAGCGTGCCTGACTGGTGTGGCCAGACCCCGTGCTCCTCACACACCCCTCGCCACTCCATGCCTGACTCGCCCTTGGCAGGCATGGGACCCAGGCTGGTAGTGTGAGCCAAACGTGGCCTGCCAGGCCCAGCCTGAGCAAAACTTGGGCAAAGGCGCCACCGGCCACAGAGATTTCTGGCCAGAAAAACACCACCCCAAAGATCCTGTAACACAAAGCGCACCTTGCAGAGAGAAGGAAGCGGCCACACACCAGGGAGTTGGGAGGTGCAGGAGGGGCTCTTGCGGCTTCCACTCCTCTGTGAGCTCTGCTTGTCGAAGTTTCTAAAAACAGAGCAAAGAGGAGGGCGGCCACAGCAAGCAGGATGGGGGTTATCCCAGAACCAAAGCCAAGACAGCTCTCATATCACACACGTCACAAGTGCCTACTGTCCCCCCGCTGCGCCCGGCTTCAGCAGCCGTCAGGTTACTCTGTCTGTCCGAGCGAGTTTTTATGCCAGTCTCCACCAGTACATTTTTCCTCCATTTCCTCTTTATCTGCATTTTATTTGTCTCTTACTCTCCTTTTAAAACTAAATTCCAGTAATCTTGAGGACTTAACTGTTCATTGACTATGAAACTTTCTATTTTGAAACGCGGGCGATTGCTTAACGTTCATATTTCTGTTTACCTGCTGTGTGTTGCCAAGTGTGTCTGTGATTTAAAGGCCAGCATGGTATAAAATTCTGCAGAGGAACCCCTGACCTTGGTGTGTGAACTCCACGTGGGGGAAAACACCAGGATATCTCCATTCTGCTGAGCGGGAGCTTTGTGCCAGTTCCCCACATGCCGTTCGTCTGCCTCCCACCTGGAGGATCACAAACGGAGGGGAGGATGGGAGCAGGAACATTGGAAACCACATTCAGAAGGGTGTGAGCAGAGTCCTGGGAGAGGATGCGGGTGGGCCCTGGAGCCCGGGCAGGGGTCCCACACTGCTGGGCTATAGGCCCTGGAGGCTGTTTGGGAGTCCCACACTGCTGTGTGATGGACCCTGGAGGCTGGGCAGGGGTCCTGTGCTGCTGGGTGGGGGGCCCTGGAGGCCAAGTGGGGGTCTCACACTGCTGGGTGGGCCAATGTTCCTCTGACCCCTGCACTGTGTCCTTGCAGATGACCACTCCCGGGTCCTGCTGAAGGCGGAGAACAGCCACAGCCACTCAGACTACATCAACGCTAGCCCCATCGTAAGTGCACTGCCGGGACAGGGGCCCCAGGCTTTCCCTTGGGTGGCACGGACGCGGCAAATCACGTGGGAAGGTTCTCGGGGGAAATCACGTCCCCACCCAGCTCAGCGTCTCTGCGGTGGACAGGGCCGACTCTGCCCATTGGGCTCCCGCCACTCCCCTGTTCCTTCACCAGCGGGGCTGTTTATGAGCCGTGTGGGTCCCGGCTCACGCTGGGCGGTGGGTTCCGTGACTTGTAGAACATCCAGCAATGGTGACTGGACAGTTTCCTGACTAGAAGACATGGCTTTTAGGAGAGGTTCGTAGTGGGTGCCGTTCCTCTTTCCTGGAGCTACACATTCCCTGTATATTCATGGGGCATGGGGACATGAGGCCTCAGTCTACGCTTTTTGTAACAATCAGTGGCTTGGAGGCAGGTCCAGAATTTCAGGTTCGTTTTCCTGAAGTATTTCCAGTGAATGGGACCCTGTTTCTTATGAAAGAGACCGTTTGCTGGCTGTTCCTCCCCCTGGGATAGACGCAGGTGCAGTGGAGATCGGGCTGTCCTGTGTTTCTGGGGACGAGTGTGGTGGCAGCTCCTGTGCCGTGAGTTATGAGTCCCTGTGGCCTGTGGTCCCTCACTTCCCAGGGGCTCCTCTCAGCCCATGCTAGACGCGGCTCTCACCCTATTTAACTCTGGGCATCCCCCTTCCCTGTCATGACCTGTCGGGGGAGCAGGGCTGAATGGGGAGGTTTGCAGCCCTCCCAGAGTGAGCAGAGGAGGGAGAGATATGAGCATGGAGAGGGCTGAAGCCACAGGCTGGGGACACTCGGACTGGGTGTTCAGATGAGCAGTGATGGTGGCAGGTGGCGGGGGCGGGATGGGACACTGTCCAGGGCCGGGGCTTTGGAGACCTGGCGGATGGCACTTTAAACCAGTGGTGGAGAGGCTGGGGCTCCATGCAGATTTATGGCGGACACTGGTTGTCATGTTTCCCCCTTTAAACAGCTCTTCTCAATTCTGGTCTTCAGGGAAGGATGAGGACATCTCACTAAAATTCCAAATTTGCCTTTAATCAAACATGGTGCCTGCAGGATGCAATGCTGTTCTAGGGCTGAGTGAGACGGGGCAGGTGATCGAGGCACAAATCGCACCCTACGGTGTCCCAAAGTTTCTTTGCTCGTCCATAGGGAGCTTTGGATGAAAGTATTGGCCCAACTGCCTGCAGGCCACGGCCACTGATGGCGGACAGTGCTCAGCTCTCGGCTCTGCTGATCTCAGCAGCCACTGATGGTGGAGGGTGCTCAGCTCTCGGCTCTGCTGGTCTCAGCGGCCACTGATGACGGACGGTGCTCAGCTCTCAGCTCTGCTGGTCTCAGTGGCCACTGATGGCAGATGGCGCTCAGCTCTCAGCTCTGCTGGTCTCAGCGGTCACTGATGGTGGAGGGTGCTCAGCTCTCAGCTCTGCTGGTCTCAGTGGCCACTGATGGCAGACAGTGCTCAGCTCTCGGCTCTGCTGGTCTCGGCGGCCACTGATGGCAGACGGTGCTCAGCTCTCGGCTCTGCTGGTCTCAGCGGCCACTGATGGCGGACGGTGCTCAGCTCTCGGCTCTGCTGGTCTCAGCGGCCACTGATGGTGGAGGGTGCTCAGCTCTCGGCTCTGCTGGTCTCAGCACACCTGTGGGATAAAGCACGCTGGGAAGATGTCCACATGCCTGAGCCAGTCCCGTTTTCCCGCAATTCGTGGCCCACACAGTGAGCATGTTCAGCTTTGAGAGACTGAATTCAAAGTGAAGAACTGGCCTAGTGTACTTGGTCTACACCACCTGAACCCAGGTTTCTGTTTATGTGTTCATTCTTAAGAAGGAATCACTTCCTTCCTTCCAGCAGAGGTTGACTCCCAAGCTTGGTTCCGTGTGGGTTTCAAAGATCCTCATTCATCTTCCTTAATAAGATGTGATGCACATAGTATTTTTCTGTCATCAATTCTAATTCAAAAACATCAAACCAAAGCCTCGCTGATGTGCCAGCCTCTCACTTGATGAACAGAACGTGCGTTCTGGTAAAGCCAGGTGTGCGCGCCTGGATTCCGTTCCTGTACTATGTGCAGCAGAGTTGGCAACACGAAACCGTCCGAAGGAAAAGAAAAGCCATGTTGAGGTCCCTTTTCCCTGAGATGAACCATTTGATGAAGCCAGAATGAGGAATAAAGCCGTGATTCACAAGCCTAAAAGACGAGAGTTCAGCGTTGCAGCTGGGCCCACTCTCCCCCACTCGATGGGTTCCAACTTGCAGATGTCTGCGCTATTCCAGGCCACAGCCAAGCCCCAGCGTGGGCAGCAGTGCCCAGTGCAGCAACTGTGTCGAGCTGGAAACGGTGGACAGCTTTCATCCCATGTGGGAACCAGAGGGGGTGTGTGTTTGGGGGATGAATTCCTGCACATTCATGCAACTCCCTCTCCAGGCCTTACTGGGCAGGAGCTTGGGTGAGAAGGCAAGGCCAGGAGGGAGAAGTAATTTTATGGTACATTTTGTGTCTTTCCTTTATTTCATACCACAATTCTTTTTTTTTTCCAAATTTGGGTTGTAAGAATGAAGCAGAAGAAATCGATGGTGCCTCTTCTTTATGAAATAGCTGAAGGTACAATGATAATTACCTTCCTAGCAGCAGCTGAATGAAAAGCTCACAATTACAGCAAAGGAAGGCCCTGGCTGTGCAGGATAAAACTATGATAATTACATCTGTCATATTTGTACTTAGTCCTCATTACATTTCAGGGAAGGCATCCAGTGGTAAATAATGTGCAATCTTTGCTTTTAAATCAGAGGTCATGAAAGTCAATGGGAATTCTGTTTTCCCTCGTAGGTTGTCTGAGAGAGAAACCCATGAGCTACATTTAAAACAGCCTGATTATTACTGAGGACACCAAGTTGAGGAATGGTGTTCACGCAACAGCCCACTCAAACACAGCACACAAGCTTTATTACCAGGACAACTCTGAAACTCCCAGTGACGTGTAAAAACTAGCTTAATTCTTCATTTCACTGTCTATTAAGGGAGAAAAAAACATCATTTAAAGTTTTAATTCAGAATGCATTTAACTATGTAGGGACAGAGTGGCTTTTCAGAAAAAGAAGAGAGGTTGGATGTTCTGACTAGCATAAGAAATTGGCCAAATATGGGAATCACTTCAGTTATTTACAACCAAAATTCTGTGTATAATAATGGTTTATATTCAGTATTTTACTTAAGTAAATCTCAACTCCTAAGAATACGATATAAAAATATTTCAAGTTCAAAAGTCAATCTGCTGACTGGGTGCAGTGGCTCATGCCTGTAATCCCAGCACTTTGGGAGGCCAAGGCAGGCGAATCACTTGAGTTCAGAAGTTTAAGACCAGCCTGGCCAATATGGTGAAACCCCATCTCTACTAAAAACACAGAAACTAGCCAGGCATGGTGGTGCATACCTGTAATCCCAGCTGAGGCAGAAGAAACATTTGAACCCAGGAGGGAGAGGTTGCAGTGAGCCGAGATCATGCCACCACACTCCAGCCTGGGGTAAAGAACAAGACCCTGTCTCAAAAAAAACAAGTCAATCTCCCATTGATTACTGAAGCTACAATTTCCCAATAAATTCCCATATTAAGCCTTAGTATTTGGAAAAGAGACTTGAGAAGTCAAATGGTGGTTTTCAAGAAAGCGTTTCATGCAATTTGCTTTAAATGTTAGGAAAGGCAGGTGGAGATGTGGGCAGGTGGAGATGTGGGCAGGTGGAGAGGTAGGCAGGTGGAGAGGTGGGCAGGTGGAGAGGTGGGCAGGTGGAGAGGTGGGCAGGTGGAGAGGTGGGCAGGTGGAGAGGTAGGCAGGTGGAGATGTGGGCAGGTGGAGAGGTGGGCAGGTGGAGAGGTGGGCAGGTGGAGAGGGGCAGGTGGAGATGTGGGCAGGTGGAGAGGTAGGCAGGTGGAGAGGTGGGCAGGTGGAGAGGTGGGCAGGTGGAGAGGTGGGCAGGTGGAGAGGTGGGCAGGTGGAGAGGTGGGCAGGTGGAGAGGTAGGCAGGTGGAGATGTGGGCAGGTGGAGAGGTGGGCAGGTGGAGAGGTGGGCAGGTGGAGAGGGGCAGGTGGAGAGGTGGGCAGGTGGAGAGGTGGGCAGGTGGAGAGGTGGGCAGGTGGAGAGGTGGGCAGGTAGAAATACCTACAGATGAGGTGTGTGCTTATTCTCTGTGCAAGATTTCAGAGTAAAGACGTGACACCCATGCCCTTCCCCAAAGCTGGCCAGATCCTCTTAAGATGTTAAGGTCACAGCTGCCAGAGGCCGGGGCTGGTTTGGGAGCAGAAACTGGCGTTCCCTTCACCTGCCCCGCAGTGGGTGCCTCTGCCACCATGGAGGCTGTTGAGGACTGCAGGACACAGTCCAGTGGTCCTGACATGCTGAGTGCTTCATTTCTAAAATGAGCTTTGTTTGGAATATTGGGGAAATTGTGGCTAAGTTTTTCATGCAGATTAGGGTTTCTAAAGATACTTGTTTAGTAATTATCCTCTGATAGCATAAGGCACATCACTAGGCCATCTTTACACTGTGTATTCAGAGAGACAGAGGAACACACCTCACTAGCATCCTAGTTCATATGACATCTTCATAAGAATCAGTCAACCAAGGGATAACAGAGTCAACACAGACAAATGGGCTTTATTTTTATTTTAAAAAAGTAAGCCAGGCGCAGTGGCTTATGCCTGTAATCCCAGCACTTTGGGAGGCCAAAGCAGGCAGATTGCCTGAGGTCAGGAGTTCGAGACCAGCCTGGCCAATATGGTGAAACCCCATCTCTACTAAAAATACAAAAAGTAGCTGGGTGTGGTGGCACACGCCTGTAATCCCAGCCACTCTGGAGGCTGAGGCAGGAGAATCGCTTGAACCCAGGAGGCAGAGGTTGCAGTGAGCCAAGATTGCACCACTGCACTCCAGCATGGATGACAGGGTGAGGCTCCATCTCAAAAAAAAAAAAAAGTAAAAACAGAATTATACTGTTAATTGTACTTGCCTTCTGGCTGTTGATTTTCATGAAGTCACTTGGAGTGAGTCACACTGGATTCTCTGTGGTACCGGCCTCTCTAGGCGGGATGTGTTGCTGCAGAAGCCCCTGTCTGGGGAGAAAGCGCTCAGAAATGACCGCACCTCGCCATTCAGATGCTTGGCCCCGCACACCACTGGAGGACACAGCAGCTCTGTGCTTGAGGAAGCAGCATCCTTCCTTCCTTCTGTGGTTCACTGAGGACAGCATGGACGCGTGTTCACGGGCCGCAGACCGCCTGACAGCTTGGCGTTCACCTAATAAATTTACAGGTTTTCACGGACAGTTTCGGGATGACCAACACCAGGACACACACATACACACAGACGAGTCTGCACATGCACGTGCACTGGAATCCAGAGCTAAAGGACACTTAGAAACCGCATCATCCAAGCTCCTCACTCCCTGAGCTCACCCACCATACAGATATGGAGACTGAGGCCCGGAGACGCCGACGTCCAAGCTCCTCACTCCCTGAGCTCACCCACCATACAGATATGGAGACTGAGGCCCGGAGACGCCGACGTCCAAGCTCCTCACTCCCTGAGCTCACCCACCATACAGATACGGAGACTGAGGCCTGGAGATATGACAGGCCTTTTCCCACAGCCGGGCAGTTTGTGTCGGGAACATAACAGTCATACAAATAAAAAGTATGTTGCAATGAAATGGAAAGTCATGAGTAGGAGGCGAAGGGTAAGAATGAAGACCGGAGGAAGCCAGAGTAGGTGCCGTGTGATCGCTGGGTGGGGAAGACAGAGGGACACACACCCACCATGTCCGGTTGTCACGCAGATGCCCTCATTGGAAAAAGCAATGTTAGTAGAAACTCACTTGATTTCCTCCACAGCCACTTATCCTGCCCGAAAACCTTAAATGTAGTAAAATCTCTGTGTGGCCAGTTAAGTATTTGCTTGACTTTTCCTCGAAGCCTGCGTGAGACCACAAGGAGGCTGCCTGTGGCCTTTGCAGTTGCTGCTTCCACAAAATCCTTCTGCCCAGAATAATTTTCTGTTCAACAGAATGTGCCTGGAATTAAATGAATGTAATTGTCTCCTGAATTATTGTGAAACCGATGACACATGTCACCACTCGGATCATCATGCTGTTCCCGCCTTCCCAGTGGCCCCCACAGGACGGCAGGTGGGCGGGAGGGAGGTGAGGCCGGTCCCCACTCAGTCTGCACAGCCCACACTTCCTGTTCAGCCATCCCCCTCCCAGCACCCTGACTGTATTTGCTCCTGTCTTAGGCATTGGAGCAGGTGATGGGTGTGTGGACTTTAGGACACCTTAACAACTCAGACCTAAATCAACAGTCACCTTATCGACCCTCCTGCAACCCTGTCCAGCATTTTACTTTCAATCACCTATTTCTCATTTTGAAAGCAACTAAATGTGCTAGTTTGAACATGCTTACAATTTTAAAATGTGTTGCTGTAGAAATTGCTCTGGGCAAAAAAAAAAACACACACACACACATTTCAGAAGGAGGCGGGGCTTTCCTTTTCATGCATTACTATTTGCAAGGAAGAGACAGGGGTCTCTGTAAATAGCTGTCACCCCCAACAAATGCATATTTCAAAAAATCAAAACTTATTTCTGCTAAGCATTTTTCTACTGAAACATTCTAATTGGGGCTTTCAGCGACGGTAACATAATTTTACCTGTATTGTGTGTGTTGTGGCGAATTTCAAAACGAGGTCCAGTTTTAATTACGAATCACTAAATCAGATGCACAAAAAGCTTTTCTCCCTGCTTCCCCCCAGCCCCCGGCTAGCGTCACCGTGTTGTTCTGTGAGAATAACTTACATCTGTTCCTTTATGCTCGCCCCTCTTTTATGGTGAACATAATTATAAGGTGCATTTGGTGCCTTCTTTTGTGCTGACAGCCATCATCTCTGGGGCTGGTGACGGCTGCACGGGGACTCACTGGCTCGCTGTTAAAGAAAACGTGCCCCACGTCAGCTTCCCAAATGCAGCAGCACTTAAGGTAGCACCGGGGCCACCACTGATGTCCTCGTGCGTTGGCTTAAAATTGCATAGGGTTAAAATTTGCTCATTTTTCACTGTGTTGAGAAATGTTTTCTTAATAATTACCTTGAAATCTGAACATTGTAAATCTCGAATCAAACCCTGATAGCAAAAGAGTCCATTTTAGTCCTAGACACAATAGAAGAAAGGACTGTGCGTCAGATGCACAAGCGGCTGCCTCCCCAAGGTGAGGTTCCCCCAGCGCAGCATCCGGCTCTCCGGGGGTCGGTCTCTGCAGATGCTTCTGGGAGGTGTGGGGAGGAGCTGGTGAGCCCTGGGGATGATAGTGATGTCCTGGTATCTTCGTGTCCTTTGCAGGGTGGCCTGGGCTTGCCCTCTGGAAGACAGAACCACCTCCATCTGACGCCCCTCAGCAATGTGCTCAAATCTCGCTTGCCTCTCAAGGCTTTGTCCTCAAGTTCTTTTTTCTGTGCTTAATCTTCGAAATAAATGTAATAATTATGGTCTTCTAAGCCAACCTTCTCCCATTGGAGCTAGCAAGATGCGTTCGGACAAACTGGGGAGCCGGAGAGCCCACACCTGCCCTCTTTGTTTCTGGTCCCTGCCTGGTGGGGAAACAGAACAGGAGGCCACTCCCAGCAAGGCCCTTCCGCCCCGGCTCTGCCACAGACCCAGGCCCAGGCTGACCGGCTGTGCCTGTGCCCCCTTTCCAGGATACACAAAAACAAGCCCCCACACACAACGAGTTAACTCCAGCAGGGAAGCAGCAGGTAGCGCTAGTTCGTTCTCCCAGGACGCTGGCAAGTTTGTCCATGAGGCCTGGAGGAACCCTGTTCACACTCTCCATTGAGAGCTTGGAGCTCAGCCTCACCCCAGCCAGCCCTGTGGCTCTAGCAAGAGGCTCGTTCTCCTGAACACAGGGCAGCCTGGGTGGGCTCCGTGGCCAGGAAGCTCTGGGGTCACTTGCAGGCTGGAAAGCTCATCCATGTCATGGGGTCGCACCTGCTGAGTGGGCTAACAACGGCTGCCTGCCCTCCTTGGGCTACTGGTCTTCATTTCTGTTGATGCTGCTCTTAGAACCTCAACCTCAGGTATAAGGAAAGCATTTCAGACGCAGTGGTTCAGGCTCAAGGCTCGGGACAGCTGGGTCCCTACCTGTGCCGGGTGCTCGTTTGAATCAACAAAGGGCAAGTTGTGTGTTGCTCAGTTCAGGAGATGCCACCTTTCCCTCTTCCTGAACCCAGGCTCTGCTTCCTGGCTTCCTAACCTCCAGGCTCCCTAACCTCTGGGCTCCCTAACTTCCGGGCTTCCTAACCACCAGGCTTCCTAACCTCCTGGCTTCCTAACCTCCGGGCTTCCTAAACACCAGGCTTCCTAACCTCCTGGCTTCCTAACCTCCAGGCTTCCTAACCTCCTGGCTTCCTAACCTTCTGGCTTCCTAACCTCCGGGCTTCCTAAACACCAGGCTTCCTAACCTCCTGGCTTCCTAACCCCCAGGTTTCCTAACCTCCGGGTTTCTTAACGTCCTGGCTTCCTAACCTCCGGGTTTCCTAACCTTCTGGCTTCCTAACCTCCAGGCTTCCTAACCTCCAGGCTTCCTAATCTCCTGGCTAACCGCTGTGGTGTGGTCTTGTCTCTGCAGATGGATCACGACCCGAGGAACCCCGCGTACATCGCCACCCAGGGACCGCTGCCCGCCACCGTGGCTGACTTTTGGCAGGTGAACATTTTTAAATTAAAATCTCTCTTTCTGAAAAGAAGATCTCAATAACTGGGTCACGAATCATGTCTTGAATCTGATTAGGCCAATCAAACTTCTTACAAATGCTCATCAAATGTTACTTATATCAGAATTTCAGTCTGTTCATATTTTTTATTATCAATCTTTTGTTTTCCAAAACTTGAGTATGAAAAAATTCCCTTTGAGAGATTTAATGCTTTCAAGATCATTACTTTTAAGCCACTTTACATTTGCATTTTATAAAACAGCGAGGATAAAGTTAGTAAGTCATTCCATGTTATTGAAATGTGCCTGTTGTCCATGGCGTTGTTATGATGGCGGTCACAGCAGGACCCAAGTACATCCTCTGTCATCCTCTCCTGGAGTCCTGTAGGGCATCTGAAGGCCAGGCCGTGCTTCTCTACTCGACGCAAGCCCAGGTCACACAGATGAAGGCACAGACGTGAGGGCTGACGTGAATGTCAAACATCAGCAAATAGAGCAACATGCAGAGGGCAGGTGGGGTCTTCCTTCTCCAGCTGCCCCCGGGTCTCCCCTCACCAGCCACGTGACAAAGCTGAATAGGAATGGGTTCTGGAACCTGGAACGTGGCCGTGAGTTACCGCAGGAGCACAGGCACCGGCCGCGTGTCGGGCACACCAGCCAACCCCGAGCCTGGCAGAGAGGAGCTCCTAAGGAGAGTCGAGCTGGGGACGAAGGTGGGAAGCGACGCGTCACCCATGCGGCAGAATCCAGGCAGGGAGGTGCCTGTCGCAGCAGTGACGCTGGGATCAGGCTGCAGCCTCCTGGCGATCCACAGCCCGGGCCTCCTGGTGATCCAAAGCCCGGGCCTCCTGGCGATCCACAGCCCGGGCGCCTGTGCAGCACTGGGGTGAGACATTTCCTGATGTCGCTGTGCACCGGAGTTGGTAAATTCACTTCTGCCCCAGGCTCTTCCTATTCCCTTTACTTCCCTTTCCTGGCTTTCCCGTCAGCCTCGCGTGACTCCGATTACAGGAAGGGGAGCCTCCTCTCTCTGCCCTTGAGAACAGTCTCTGCAGGGCTTTCCAGAAAAGTCTGGAACAGATCCGGGTTTCCGAGGGCCTCCGAGCACCCTTGCATGGTGAGCATTTGAATCCTCAGGTGCCATCATCCCATTTTATGGGCAAGGCACATGGGTATTGGAGAGATGGCATCACTTACCCAGGACAGCTCGGATGACGCCAGGATCTGAAACACATCGGTATGACCTCCTGCCCTTTGTGTCTGCCTGTGTCTTCACACTATTGAAAATAAATAAATAAAACTAAACTGCATCTCTGTGTGACGTTGTTGAAGCTTGTAATCCCGGCATGGCACGGCGAACCTGTGGCACTTGGATGGTTTTGGGGGCACTTGGGCTCCCTACTTGTCACAGCTGGGGAGTCGCCCAGCCCGGTGAGAACATGCCTTTCCCAGAGAAGATGGCACCCTGGGGCCCATCGTCTCAGGAGTTTCGTGGTAGGAAGGTCTTTGCATGGCACACACCTGCCTTCCTGAAACATGGACCCATCCGTCCCAGCGCTGCCCTTAGAATGGAGCCCCAGGGCCCTTCCAGGGATGCCCCCTGCTGTGCACGCTCACCCCGGCTTCTCAGGGAAAAGGACAGAGTGTTCAGAATTGGAGGGCGGGCAGAGAATACCCACGGAGTCCTAATACCACTGGAGTTTTCATCCACCTCAACCCATTACCCAAAATGTGCTTATTTGTGTGGCATGGGGTGCCCCCAAATATGTGTTCTTTCATTTTTATGAGCCCTTGGGCCCCCACAGCCCAACATCAACTTCATCTCCTCACCTGTGCAAGACTTCTCTGTCCAGCAAAGCCACAGGGTCTGGAGGGCATCCACACTCAATGACCACGATGATGCCCACATCCACCCTCTGTTCAGCAGGTGCCACATCCACCCACCATCCTGTGTGAAGGCTCTCGGTGTCCACGCGCAACAACCATGATGATGCCCACATCCACCCTCGGTTCAGTAGGTGCCACATCCACCCTCCGTCCTGTGTGAAGGCTCTCGGTGTCCATGCTCAACGACCACGATGATGCCCACATCCACTCTCAGTTCAGCAGGTGCCACATCCACCCTCCATCCTGCGTGAAGCCTCTCGGCATCCACACTCAACGACCACGATGATGCCCACATCCACCCTCCATTCAGCAGGTGCCACATCCACCCTCCGTCCTGCGTGAAGCCTCTCGGCATCCACACTCAATGACCACGATGATGCCCACATCCACCCTCCATTCAGCAGGTGCCACATCCACCCTCCGTCCTGCGTGAAGCCTCTTGGCATCCACACTCAACGACCACGATGATGCCCACATCCACCCTCCATTCAGCAGGTGCCACATCCACCCTCCGTCCTGTGTGAAGGCTCTCGGCATCCACGCTCAACGACCACAATGATGCCCACATCCACCCTCGGTTCAGTAGGTGCCACGTCCACCCTCCGTCATGTGTGAAGCCTCTCGGCATCCATGCTCAACGACCACGATGATGCCCACATCCACCCTCGGTTCAGCAGGTGCCACATCCACCCTCTGTCCTGTGTGAAGGCTCTTGGCGTCCATGCTCAACGACCACGATGATGCCCACATCCACCCTTGGTTCAGCAGGTGCCACATCCACCCTCCGTCCTGTGTGAAGCCTCTCGGCGTCCACACTCAACGACCACGATGATGCCCACATCCAACCTCCGTTCAGCAGGTGCCACATCCACCCTCCATCCTGTGTGAAGGCTCTCGGTGTCCACACTCAACGACCACGATGATGCCCACATCCAACCTCCGTTCAGCAGGTGCTGGGTCCTACATGAAGCTCTCACATGCTGACCTGTAGTCTCTGTGGTCCGTGAGACTCAGAGGCTCATAGCGTGCCCAGATTCCTGTGGCTAGTGAATAGAAGGCGTGAACCATTTTTCTTACTGTTTATTATGGATAGTTGCAATTGTTGGAGGCAATTCATTTGATCAGTGTTTACATCTTATGGGCTATTTTAGAGTGATAATCAAGGAGCATATATTCTTGAAATTGAAATGATGCATCTCTGTATGAAATAAGTAGAGACAAATTTTAAAGCAAGGTGAAATGCAAGATAATTTTGAGACACATCTCGGACAGCAGGTATCAGGTGGTTCCAGGAAACCCCAGCGTCCCTCAACCTGGTCACAGCTTTTCTAAGACAAGAGCTCATGGCCAGTAGCCTCAGCCCTCCCAGGATGTTCTCGAGCATGCCAGCCGAGCAGAGCCTCTGAGAAATTGTGAACTAAAGAAACTCGCTTCATTTTGCTCCCTGCAGACGTCCCTGACCACGACGTCATTGCTTCCACGTCATCCTTCAACCTGGGGATCCCTCTGTGCAGAACACAGGAGCTGCCCACCATCGATGCCATAAATCCACACAGAGCAGGATGGAGGAGAGTTGCTTCCTAGCACAGTCACATTTGCCTGGGAGGCCTCTAAACCGTGTGTTTTAGAATGTCAGCATCTCTCAGGCGTTGTTCTTCATTGAATACTTACCAGTAAGCCCCAAGATTGACATTCTTAAAAATTCAAAGTTAGGGTTCTCTTTGCCCTCTCTGGCTTAGCAGAACGCAGGCAGAGGAAGAACACCTGTCTTTAAAACCTCCCACGGAAGGCAGAACTTTTCCAAACCCACGGTAACGTGTATTTTTAAGGACAAAGGTGGATTTGAAATGCGAAGTTGGTGATGACGAAGTCAACAGGCTGAGTTGGAGTGACCGTCTCCTCCTGCATCCCCATTCTGGACCATTCTCAGATGCTGACCAAGGATCGGGACACAGACTGAAGGTTATGGATCATCCCAAAGCACCTTCCTTTTATCTCCGGCTGTTGATGCTGATCTGAAGCTCCTCCTTGGGGCAGGTCCACAGGTGTTTCTTCTCTGTCGGTAATCAGCAAATTCCAGGAAGAAAGTGTGAGCGTGAGAAAGGCCGTGATGGGAAAGATGGCCGTGTCTGCCCCAGGCCCGTGCACTCCTTGGGGGATTCGAAGTGTCCCCCTCATCTCTGCCTCCCTGTCACACAGCTTTTCCCCACCGTGGATTTATGTCAGGGTCCAAATTTCCCTCCTCTTCTAAGGATGTCAGTCATTGGACTGAGAGCTCATCCTAGCCTGTGTGACCTCACCTTAACTTGACCACATATGCAAAGACCCTATTTCCAAATAAGACCACATTCATGGGTTCCAGGTGGACATGGATTTGGGGGTACATGATTCTACCCAGTACAATGGCTAAGAAGAAAAAAGACCTTTTCCAAGCAGCTAATTGGCACCCACATGACATGGTGATGGGTCAGGAGTCCGTTTGGAGGTCACTGGGCTGCTGGGAGGCAGAGGAGCCAGGAGGGCCCCAAGTTCCTCAGCAAGAAATGCTGTACAGGGGCCCATGGGTCCAGAAGGGGGGAGCCTGGAAGACGGGTTCAGGGGAAGTCCCCTCGGTGAGCATGGGGCATCGAGGTCACTCCATGCTCACCAGCCTCTCCCCCAGCATGGCACCGCGAGGCCCCATCAGCTCCCCGTCCCGCAGGGCCCACAGCACCTCTGTCCGTGCTGCGTCCCTGAGCAGAGCCCAGAACGTGCACGAAAATCCACGGAGGGTCACCACTCACTGCACACATGGTGCTTTCCTGCAGTGAACCAGCTCTATATGGACACTGGATGCATTTCAAGAATTTGATTTCCAAAATTTGACTTACATCAAGAAATTCCTAAAAATAAATTCATTACCTAAAGGAAGATGTACCCCAAATTAATTCCTTGTCTGTGAGTGCTCTCCAAATCATTCGGCTGAATTCCTGGTCCTTACTCCAGCTCAGAGGGGTCTGTGGAAGTCTGAGTTACAGTTCAGAAATCAGTGTTACTAGTAAGTAGTAAACTGGCCTAGAAATAAAACATCCCTCAAGGAAAGAATACCCATTTTGGGGTGAGGGTGTCATTTTGTCATATAAACTTTTTTTTTAAAGTGTGGAACAATTTTAAAGGAAGAATGGAAAGAAAACTTAAGTATGGGCCAATCTTGTGCTACATTATTTGAAGTCATATCAAGATCTTAGGAAGAAACATGTCCACCGTCCTCTCTGCTGGTCATTCTGGGATGATATCTGGAATATGATGTTCCTTCTGCAATCATAAATTCAAAAAGGGTGCTGACATTCAAAACACAACAGAAAAAGAAGCCAGAGAGTTTGGTGGAAACAGCCGGGGTGGTGAGAGTTTTGAAAATCACTGCAGGAGGCAGAAAAAGCCGTCCTCGGCATAGAGCACCACCCACAAGCTCCCTCTTCATCCACGCCGCCGCTGTCAGCCCAGACGTCACAAGGAAACTTGGCCTCGGCTGGCGTCTGGACTTGGTGGTGCGTAAAACTTTCTTTTTAAAATCCTAATTTTCTTTTTAAATCCTAAACTTTCTTTTTAAAATCCTAATTTAAATCTGAAGAAGGGTTAAGAATATTCTAATAAATTTTAAATTAGGAACACGAGTTTGGCTGTGAGGTTTTACTGTTTTGTTCAATGCTTCTAAATAAGGAGTCTTAACACCTCATACCCATCCGTTGACACCCCCAGGCGTTGAGCTCTGGTTGCTGTCAACAAGCCGCTTAGGGAGGAGGCTGAATATCAGGAAGGAAGACGAGAGGAGGAGGCAGGTCTCCATGGTCCACTCCTGGATCCCTGCGGCTTTGGGTACCTGTCAGATAGCCTTTCTCTAGAAAGCCTTTCTCTAGAAAGTGTATTTTAATCTGCAAAGACGCCTCCCACCTGCCAAATGGGGCCACCTTGAGTGAAAGACACGCACCCATTGGAGGGGACATTCGAGTCCAGTGGGCATAAGGAAAGGGGGCTGGGGGAAGAAAGGAAGTCCCATTTACTGAGCTCTTCAATGCCAGGCCCTGGGCAGGCACTTCCCATATGGGATCTCATTTGGCCGAGCCATTGACCCTGCGATGAAGCCATCGTGAGCCTCCCATCATTCCACCTCATGGGGTCCCCGGAGGCGTCAGATTCATAGAAGCCTAGTATGAATCTAGGGGGTAGTAGCCAGGGGCTCAGGGAGGGGACAGTGCAGAGGGGCTTGATGGTGACAGGGCTTCCATTTGGGAAGATGAGAATGCTCTGAAGAGCGTGGTGACGGTGACGGTTGTAGAACGGTGGGAAGGCCCTTACTGCCGCTGCACTGTGCACTTACAAACGGTAAATTATATGTTAGGTATCTTTTACTACAATTAAAATAGAGATATACAGAGTGAGCCCAATTCTACCCAGGATGAAGCTGTGGCCCAGAGAGCCATAAGGACCCACCCAGATCCACACAGCTGGTGGGAGGCAAAGCCCATTCTAGACCCAGACATGTGTAGTGCCAGGGTGTCTCTTCAGCATACACACTCCTCACAGATAAAGAAGGCACAGTGACATGAAGACGTCTCTATAAACAGAAAAGAGAGATCCGGCAGCAGTGACCTCGGCATTTCCAGAGTAGGTGTTGTTTACAAAAATACACGTGTGCAGAGTCTCAAGGCGCAGAATATGTGAAAGTCAAAGTCCTCAGAGACAGGAGATAAAGTGACGCTTTCTCCAGGTGCCGAGACTTCCCCACGGGGAAGCAAGGTCTGCACCTTCCCGGGGACGTGGCCCCACAGTGCGTCCCCAGCCCAGTCATGTCCTGGTGCACAGGGCAGCTGTCGCAGAGAAGCCCCCGCAGGCAGGACTGTAGCTGGATCACAGAGAAGCCCCTGCGGGCAGGACTGTAGCTGTAAGATTAGGACTGCCGGGGAGGCAGGGGAGGGGCCGCGGGCATCGATATTCCATCACGGACCACCTCCCTACTGCCTGCACCTGCTGCGCCACCTTCTACCACACCCTGTGCTACGCGGCTCGAGTCAACCGAAGGGAGTTGGCCACCCGCCATCCCCCCTTTCCTATTTTTAGAAAGAGCTGCAGAATTATGTGCTCTTCTTCCAGAGAGAGCTTCTGTGTGTCACCACCAAACACTGGCTGTGCCCAGGAGATACACAACAGCTGTTTCTAAACCAGAAATGTAGGCAGCATAGTCTGTCACCATCAGGTGCGGAGTGGATGTCTGCAGATGTGACATGGAAAGCCAGGGCCCTGGAGCCCAGGCACAGGGACAGCCACCACGGGAGCCCAGGCACGGGGACAGCCACCGCGGGAGCCCAGGCACGGGGACAGCCACCGCGGGAGCCCAGGCACGGGGACAGCCACCGCGGGAGCCCAGGCACGGGGACAGCCACCGCGGGAGCCCAGGCACGGGGACAGCCACCTTGGGAACCCAGGCATGGGGAGAGCCACCACGGGAGCCCAGGCATGGGGACAGCCACCGTGGGAACTGGCTCCCTGTATGGGAGGCTCAGCCAAGAGGACAACTCCAAAGTTCAGCCTTGCCTCTCCTGTCTGATGAACAGGCTGCCTTTCAGGACAGAGTCAGACACGAAACAGCTCTCCTGGCCCCCAGAGAGAGCACAAAGCGCTCGCTGAAGTCAGCAGGTGTCCCACTGGCATCGGATGTGTGTTGACTCTTATTGCACATCAACATTTTACCAAGAAAAAGGTGCACTTTCAATTTCTAGTTTCTGCTTTCTAAAAGTATTCTGTGATGAAGCCTCAGCTGGGGGGATATGTTTTCTCATTTCCAAATTGATAGGCTTGATGTAAATACAGCTTTTTATTATTTGGCATCTGTAGATCATAGTTCTTACTATGGTTAAGAAAAAATCCTGAACTTGGAACTGTGGAAGACCCAAAGAATTTAACGGTGTTTCCTTCCAACTGCCTGCCAGCCACCGGTGACAAGGCCGAGGTGCAGGAGAATGACAGTTGACAGCTGACTGTCACCGTGCAGGGCCGCCCACCACCCGGCACCAGTGGCTCGTCTGCCTGTCTGCCTGTTTGTCTGCCTGTCTGTCTGCCTGTCTCGCTGTCTGCCTGTCTGCCTGTGTGTCTTGTCTCTGTCTGCCTGCCTGTCTTGTCTCTATCTGCCTGTCTTGTCTGTCTGCCTGCCTGTCTGCCTGTCTGCCTGCCTGTGTATCTGCCTGTCTGCTGTGTCAGCTACTGCACTAGTCCAGGCAGGGGTGGGTGGGAAGATGGCAGGCCTGGATTCCACACCATGCACTGTCTCTGGGCAGCTTCCTTGATCAGCCCAGGATGACCACTGCAGGCATCACCATCAGCACCACCAGCAACCAAACCTCAGAGCATCCAGAGATGACCCTGGCCTGGCCCCGGTGGAGGGGATGGTCCTACACCACCTAATTTTTAAAAACATTTAAATCCTCCAAAGATGGCATCCGCTCAGCCCGAGCTGGTTCACGGCCCCCAGCTACTCACAACTGTTTTAATGTTCCCTCGGCATGTGGGAGGCAGGGCCCTGAGTGTCCCGGACAGACCGAGTGTCCAACAGCGGGGACCCTGAGCATCCAGGACAGACCCAGCATCCAGCAGCGGGGCCCCTGAGTCTCCAGGACAGGCCCAGTGTCCAGTAGCAGGGGGCCCTGAGTCTCCAGGACAGACGTGGCGTCCAGCAGCGGGGGCCCTGAGTCTCCAGGACATACCCAGCATCCAGCAGCAGGGGCCCTGAGTCTCCAGGACAGACCCGGTGTCTGGCAGCCTCTCCTTTCTCGTCAGATGTGTCCAGCCTGGGACCACGGTGTCTGCTCTGGGTCCTTGGTTACCTTAAGTGGTCTGGCTCCAAAAGCATGAGAATGTCCCCCAGTCCCTGCAGCTCCCTAGTGTGGGTGAAGACTCAGCTTGCTCATCATCCTGTTCCACCCCCTGGACAGTGACTGGTGCGAGAGGGAACCGTCTGTGGATCTCACTGACTCTGGAGTGAAGGGAGAGTCAGGAGGTTAGCGGGGGGAAATGACTTCAGAGGCTGCTACGTCACAGATGGGTTGATTTTAAGGCACGTTACTTGATTAAAGGGAAGCATGAGAGTTGTGTTAATTCTTAGGAATTAACATGAGAGTTGTGTTCATTCTTAATTTCTTAGGAAAAAC
The DNA here is from genome assembly GCF_000001405.40 of Homo sapiens. NCBI lineage: Eukaryota > Metazoa > Chordata > Mammalia > Primates > Hominidae > Homo > Homo sapiens. Next base: position 157,586,163 of record NC_000007.14, on the reverse strand, counting down.
TTGATTTTTCATTTCCATGATTGATAAGTACTTTAACCACATGCCTGAGACTTTCCAGGACATTGTTATATTTCAAAGGTTTGGTCTTGCTGGATTTTTTTCTATTCATAAATTCACGAACCTTTAAAGGTGAAAGAAACTGTTTCTCACGTTGCCTTATCTAAATTTTGGGTTTGAAACCTATGACCTCAAAGCTTGTCCATGGTTCTGCCTGGGACAGTGCAAAGATGGTCGGTCAGTCTCTCGCCGCACACATGCGGAATTTAAAATGGGACTCAAGTAGAAAGGACAGGTCCGGCTTTCCTTTCTGACTGATTCTTACTGCTCCAGCTGAGAACAGCAGGCTCTGCTGCTCCTGTGTGTGATTGGTTCCCAGCCTCCGGCCAGCTCCTCCCATCCCCACTCCTCCTCCCCTCTTCCTCTTCCTCTTCCTCTCTTGCTTCACAACTGGATCTGATGCATTTATGTCAGGTCCTGATCTTGAAAAGGAAAGGCCGCCCAGTGCAGCAGCTCCCCGCAAGGAGACCAGGCGCATATTTAACCGGGAACGTGAGCACAGGCAGAGGCCACAGGGAGTCTCAGTGACGCCTGTGCCAGGTGACTTCCTGTGCGGGTCCAATGCCTGATCACAAAGGCACCCACGGTGGTCACACAAAGGCCGGGTGGAGAGGAAGTCCAGTGTGTGAGTGCATTCCCACCGTGGGAACCCCTATGCGGCAGGATGGCCACACCAAGCCACACGGGGTCTGCTTGCACACAAGCAGGCTGAGTCCTTCCCGGAGAACACAGACCCGACTTTGGTGGAGTGGCAAGTCCTCATTCTGAGGCTTCCCCTTCCTCCTGGGCAGCAATACTGCTGGTGTTCTGAGGCTTCCCCTTCCTCCTGGGCGGCAATACTGCTGGTGGAAAAGTCCCAGAGGTTGCTGCAGCTGCTCCTCAGCCCTGGGATGGGGCTACAAGGCAGCACAGGCGTCGATCTGATAGCGGCACAGGGGGGTTCCTCCCGCTGCCCCCTCATCAGCCTTTCCATCAGCACTGCTGACGTGTGTGTGGGCTACGTCACCTCATCGTGTCATCCCTAAATGAATCCCACACTGAGATATTTGTTTACTAAAAAAAAGCCAGGTAGGTGCACCATGAGCTGGTCATGGACGGCATCACGAAGGTTTTGTCACCCTGCGTTGGGTTATATTACCGTGTCCAAATGTGCGTGCTGTGGCCTGGAGCCTGTGACTCTCTCGGAACCAGAGCCGCAAAGCCTGAAGCTTCATTTCTTAGGACTGTCCTCTGGGCAGGGTGAGAGCAGAGCTGAAGGTTTCCCCTGCAAAAGATGTCACACACACTATTTCTTCCTCTTTAATCTGTCTCAGACCACACAGTTTAACTTCCAGGCATCGGTGAGCTCCTAAGGAGTGAAATACGAGTGTTTTCCCATTAACTGACTCCTCATCCTTTTAAATTTAGCTGCATCTTCTTTATAAGTCTAAACCTCTGTTCAGCCCACGAGAGGACGCTCACAACAGAAATGAGCAGAAATGAGCTGTGCAGCAGAATTGCGTGGGCCCCGCACCTGCTCTGGAGGAAATGCATCTTCATGGCAACCGCTTCAGCGGGATGCAGTTACCATGCTTGTTTTTTTAAAAACTGAACACTTGTCTGTACATTTAAGCAAGTCCTGGAGGACTTCTGCCATGCAAGCCTTTGATAACATTTTCTTTCGGTTATCTTTTTTTTTACATAAATATCCAAACGGCCTCTTAGAAATGTGAATTGTTTTCAATGAAGCATCTGTTAGATGCCATGGAGGGTAGAAAAGGTAACTGGACTAGGATGGAGTCTTTAAAGAGATGATAGTCTGGTAGAGGAAAGACATACGGGCTAAAGACAAGACTAACACAGGCAGGAAGGGACTCATCACAAAAGATCTAAGTAGAAGGAGGAGAAGCTTTCCTCCTGAAGGGGCCCAGGGATGTTTTGTAGAGAAAATGGCCTGGCGTTTCACTATTTCAGTTTTTTGTTTTGTTTTTCAGAGATGGGATCTCACTATGTTGCCCAGGCTGGTCCTGAACTCCTGGGCTCAAATGATCCTCCCACCCACCTCAGCCTCCCAACTAGCTGGGACTACAGGTTCACACCACCACATCCAGCTCCAGTGTTTCACTATTTCAGATTGATCATCTTCCCTTAAATCAGGTCTCTGTGGGGCTTCAGGAGAGCTTATTTTAAGAGTGTGTGTGTGTGTGTGTGTGTGTGTGTGTGTGTGTGTGTGTGTGTGTGTGTTTGAGACAGAGTCTCGCTCTGTCACCCAGGCTGGCGTGCAGTGGCATGATCTCAGCTCACTGCAACCTCTGCCTTCCAGGCACAAGCAGTTCTCCTGCCTCAGCCTCCTGAGTAGCTGGGATTACAGCACCCACCAACACACCTGGCTAATTTTCTATTTTTAGTAAAGACAGGGTTTTGCCATGTTGGCGAGGCTAGTCTCGAACTCCTGACCTCAAGTGATTCGCCTGCCTTGGCCTCCCAAAGTGCTGGGATTAGAGGTGCGAGCCCCTGTGCCCGGTCGAGTTGTTTTTAATTGTAAATGTTTAAGGTGTACAGCCTGATGTTCTGACACACGCAGACATCGTGAATGATGACCACAGTCAAGCTAATGAATACACGTCTCCTCGCGTAGTTACCGTTTCTTTGTGTGTGGTGAAGCACCTGAAGCCTACTCTCCTGGCAAATCTCTGTGCCCAACACTCTTATTAACTACAGTCACCATGCTGAATGCCAGGTCTCCAGAATTCAGCTGTCCTCTACTGGAAGTTACTACCTTTGGATCAATTGCTCCCCATTCCACCCTCAGCCCCAGGCCCTGGCAGCCCCCCTTCTACTCTGTCCCTGAGTTCGTCCTTTTTAGGTGCCACATGTGAGTGAGATCATGGGGTGCCTGTCCTTCTGTGTCCGGCTTATTTCAATTTAACGTCGTGTCCTCCAGGTTCATCCATGTTGTCAAAAATGACAGGAGTTCATTCTTTCTTAAGGCTGAATAATATTTCATTGTGTATATACCACATTTTCTTTAGCCATTATCCATTGACAGACATGTGGGTTGTTCCAAATCTTGTTTATTGTGAATAGTTCTGCAATAAACAAAGGGGTGCTGATGTCCCTTCCACACACTGATTTTATTTCCTTTGGGTCTATACCCAGAAGTGGGATTGCTGGATCACACAGTGGTTCTGTGTAATTGTTTGAGGCTCTCCATACTGGTTTTATTGTTTTTTTTGTTTTGTTTTTTTTTTTTGAGGTGGAGTTTTGCTCTTGTTACCCAGGCTGGAGTGCAATGACACGGTCTCGGCTCACTGCAACCTCCGCCTCCTAGGTTCAAGAGGTTCTCCTGCCTCAGCCTCCTGAGTAGCTGGGATTACAGGTGCATGCCACGATACCCGGCTAATTTTTGTATTTTTAGTAGAGATGGTGTTTCACCATGTTGGTCAGGCTGGTCTCGAACTCCTGACCTCGTGATCCACCTGCCTCGGCCTCCCAAAGTGCTGGGATTACAGGTGTGAGCCACCGTGCCTGGCCCTCCATACTGTTTTCTGTAAAGGCTGCCCTCACTCACATTGCTACCGTATAGTGTGTAAGGTTCCGTCTCTTCCACATCCTCTCCAACACTTGCCATCCCCCTCTTTTCGGTGGCAGCCATCCCAACAGGCACGAGGTGCCAGTGCGCTGTGGTTTTGATTTGCATTTCCCTGATGGCTGATGACATTCAGCCCCTTTTCACATACGTGCGGGCCATTTGTCTGTCTTCTTTGGAGAAATGTGTGCTCAGATCCCTTGCCCATTTTTAGTTGGGTCATTTGTTTTTTTGTTTGTTTGCTAATTAAATACTTAGCACTCAAAAAGGACCTAGAGTGAAGAGGCCCTGTGTTCCTCTCCATCGGTGTTGATAGGAAGCGTAGGCGGGGTGGCCATTGTTCCACGCCTGTGGGTGATTTGATGGGTGAAGAAGAGAGTGAGGTTGCAGCGGATGCATCTCTTGCTAGGGCTGACATCACAAGGTGCTGCAAACTCGTTGTTTTAAAACAACAGGAGGGCATCCCCTCGCAGTTCTGGAGCCTGGTAGTCTGAGATCCAGGTGTGAGCAGGGCCACGCTCTCCGAAGCCTGTGGGGGAAGATCCTCACGGCCTCTGCAGTGTCCCGTGGCCGCCTGCCATGAGGGGTGTGGCGTGGGTGGCCACAACACTCCATCTCTGCCTGTCTGCGCGTGGCCGCTCTCCGTGTCTGTGCCTTCTCGAGGTGTCTCCCTCTTCTTCTAAAGACACAGTCACGTTGGATTGGGACCCACCCTCAGCTCAGTTGCATCTGCAAAGATCCTGTTTCCAAATAAGGCCACATTCATAGATACCAGGGATTAGGACGTCAATATAAGCTGTGGGGAGGACAGCGTTGAACCTGTAACAAACAACAATATGGTTTTTAAATCTACAGTCAGTAAACTTACTCAGTTGGGTCAAATAACAGCCGAAGTCTGCACTTCTTGTTCCTTGGGTCACTGTCCGAATCACTGAATTTCTCCACTTGCTGCTGCTGAACAGCTGTCAGGAGACCTCACAGCAAGCTGCTGTGTCCCTGCCGGGCGCGTCGAGATGGCTCAGGTTCACAGAGCCTGGCAGCAGGCTTTAACCCCTGTGTTTGGTGGTCTCTGAGAACCACTGGGCTGACCACTTCCATTCCTTCTGGAATCATAAACAGCAAAGCGCAACATTGCTCCCCTCCCCACCCCAGGCCCACAGAGCTGGCACAGCTAGAGCCTTCAAGGGGGATGCTGAGGCCTGGGGACGCTGCACTGGAGAAGAAGTATGTAAAACTGGGGAGTATCAGTTTTCCTCCAAAGCGTGGTGCCAGCCGTTCACACTCGGGATCCAGCACTTGCGGCTCATTTTCAGTCCATGTTGGTGACTTTGGTTCGATCCAGGGATGGTGGTGCAAGTGCTGGGATGTGCAGGGGCTCAGGTGTGCAGGTGCTGGTGTGTGCAGGTGCTGGTGTGTCCAGGTGCTCGGGTGTGCAGGTGCTGGAGTGTGCAGGGGCTCGGGTGTGCAGGTGCTGGGGTGTGCAGGGGGTGTGCAGGTGCTGGGGTGTGCAGGTGCTGGGGTGTGCAGGGGCTCGGGTGTGCAGGTGCTGGGGTGTGCAGGGGCTGCGGTGTGCAGGTGCTGGGGTGTGCAGGGGCTGGGGTGTGCAGGGGCTCGGGTGTGCAGGTGCCACGGTGTGGAGGTGCTGGGGTGTGCAGGTGCTGGGGTGTGCAGGGGCTGGGGTGTGCAGGGGCTCGGGTGTGCAGGTGCTGGGGTGTGCAGGTGCTGGGGTGTGCAGGTGCTGGGGTGTGCAGGGGCTCGGGTGTGCAGGTGCTGGGGTGTGCAGGTGCTGGGGTGTGCAGGTGCTGGTGTGTCCAGGTGCTGGAGTGTGGAGGGGCTCGGGTGTCCAGGTGCTGGGGTGTGCAGGGGCTCGGGTGTTCAGGGGCTCGGGTGTGCAGGTGCTGGGGTGTGCAGGGGCTGGGGTGTGCAGGGGCTGGGGTGTGCAGGTGCTGGGGTGTGCAGGGGCTCGGATGTGCAGGTGCTCAGATGTGCAGGGGCTCGGCTCGGGTGTGCAGGTGCTGGGGTGTGCAGGTGCCACGGTGTGCAGGTGCTGTGGTGTGCAGGTGCTGCGGTGTGCAGGTGCTGGGGTGTGCAGGTGCTGGGGTGTGCAGGTACTCGGCTGTGCAGGTGGCCATGGGGGCCGTGTTCTCTTACCCTTCACCAAACAGGAAGTGCCAGTAATGGTCATTTCTGGAATTCAGGCATACAGTTTTGTAAACTGCGCATTCCAATGAACTGCATTAAGATTAAATAAGGATCCTGGGTCATTATTTACTTCCTGAAAGAGACAGTTTTAGATTTCTCAAAGATTTGTGACACAAACCAATGTTAACTTGATTAAGTCTGAAAAATCCTGTATCCAAATGAGGTCACATTCACAGGTGCCAGGGGTTAGCACTTCCGTATTTCACCTGTCAGCAAAGACCAAGTCAATGAGAAAGAAAATAGTGAAACTTCTCCCCGATTAGAAATTGAACCTTACTCGACTGGGATTTTTACTGATTCTGCATTCATACCAAAATCCAAATTAACTTTTTGCGATGTATTCTGAGGTTATCTGGTCAGGCGCGCTGTTGAAGGCTGGAAACAGATGGAGAAATGCCATAGTTTTCCTCCTCGATTGAGTTGCTTTGTACCGATTCAAAGGAACACAAGATAATGTAATCAGTTCCATGAACAGCTTGTAATATTGGTACCCAATTGGGCTGCCTATTTGTTTGATTTAGTAAATTCCCCTCTCTGCTTTTATACACAGTGACCTAAAAAGAAATATTATTCCCCAGAGCGCCTTTGGGATTGCTTGTTTAAATTAAGTTTCATTTGGATTTAATCTTAACCAAATCTTCAGAGAGCCGGGAAGGCGCCCCATAATGAAGGGCGGACGCGAGAGCCAATGAGTGCGGCTTCCAGGCCGTCCGGGTCCCCCCAGTCGACGGGGCTCTGTAATGTCACACTTGGGTGGCACGGAGCCGAGTGCCGGATGATTAGTTTATGGTCTAGATCATTGTATTTTTATTACACTCATAAAATCTGTGTTTCTCCTCATTTTCGTAATGGCTTCCATGAGCTTCTCCACCTTCTGAAGGCACATTAAATTGTTATGTGATGGAAGAACCGATTTGGAGGAGCAGGTTTGAAAGCCTGAAAAGCCTGGCGTAAGAAACATGTTTTGAATTCTCATCTTGTTGTCGGATGGGCACTAAGGAAAGAGAAAGTGCACAAATTTGAGCATAATTCTTATTTATTTGTGGGCGTTTTGTAAATACTTCAGTTGGTTCCATTGGCTTCCGATGTAAATGTTACACAGTGAGGTGCCTTGAGGATATTGACTATTTCAGCCCCGTGAGAACATAAATCAATATTAAAAAAGGAAAATGTCGTGTTTGTGTCTGATTTTTAAAATATAAATGTGGAATTCAGTAACATGCGCTACGATGACAGCATTTTATATTTGGGATATGAGGGTTTTTAAAATAACAAGGTCTTAATTGGATTTTGTGTCTGTTTTTAAAAGAAATAGAAACTGTCTTGGATACCAAATTTACATCTAAATGCAGTTGCTTATAAACATTTCTGCCAAGTTAATGTAACCCATTGCAGAAAAAGCAGACCCCTCTTCACTCTATAATTTCATATGCTAATAAAAATCTACAAATGCCACATCAGTGTGCCCCACAGGATTAGTGGTTTTGGGTAGTTAGGCTGTAAATGTTAAGATGTGGGTTTACAGCCACAAGTAGCCAGTTGTGTTTGCAAAGAAACGAGGTCAGAGGACTTTGTGTCTTTGTAATTTCTGTGGGTTTAAATGTGCTTTTGTTTATTGTGTTTCAATGTGGCTAATAGGAATTAGTAAATCAATTTGGTATTTGCTTTAATCTGAATAGTGTTGCCATATTTCGGTATAAACAAATGAAATTGCAGCAGTGCAGTACTGCTTTCCGTGAAGTACTTTGAAAAGAAGCCTTTCGGAGGCTGCTTCTGACAGGACAGCAGCTTCACGAAGCAAAACGTTTCTCTAGGTGAGCAAAATGATGCTAGCCACCAGCAAGTGAGGGTGTCGGCACCGCCTCGAGAAGTGCTGGCTGTTATGTGTGGCGTTGTAGAAAGTTTCCTTTACAGATCAGAAGTTGGAAAACCACACAGCTGAACCTACACCTGAGGAAGCTCTAAATGGCATGGGATAAATTTGCGGGGTTTTTTAATATTTCGTGGAACATGCAAACTATGGGCCAGTGCATTCAGAGATGCTCAGGCAGCTGCGGAGTAAACATGTCTGATGAAAATGAAATAAATGTCCTGTGAATGGAATAAATTTGGACTGTGCTTCCGAGTGCAGTAATTACACATGTCACGCGGTGATGAGACAGTCACACCGCGGCCACGGGCCTTCTTTGTCCGCAGATGGTGTGGGAGAGCGGCTGCGTGGTGATCGTCATGCTGACACCCCTCGCGGAGAACGGCGTCCGGCAGTGCTACCACTACTGGCCGGATGAAGGCTCCAATCTCTACCACATCTATGAGGTACTCCGACCAGAGCCACCCAGGGCAGGACCCACCAGCCGGACGAGGACGGGCCCTGCTCCTCCTCCGAATGGGATTCGTTAGGGCCCCCCAGGGCCGCATGCAGGGAGGCTCAGCGCACCCCATGTTCAGGGGATGGAGGCTGAGCCACCCCCGAGGGCCGCATGCAGGGAGGCTCAGCGCACCCCATGTTCAGGGGACGGAGGCTGAGTCACCCCCGAGGGCCGCATGCCCGTGTGGATGGTTCACACGGCTGTGTGCTCATGAACCAGACCCTGGGAGTGTGGTGTGGTTTTTATCTTTTAGATTTTTCTAAATCCAAATGATAACAGAGTAGAAAAAACATTCGCCTCACAGCGTGGTCCCGGTCCCATATAACAAGCCTTTAAGTGGGGTCCGTTTTTAAGAAAACCTGGCGCCCATCCTTGATGCCAGTGCCTGAGCCGTGTGGCCTCCCCGTGGCTCTGCTTGGAGTTTCGTGGCTGGATCATGTGACCTTTTTATTTGAGGATAACCTGCTCACCAGTTTATTTATCTGGCTGGATTTTCTGCCCCCATCAAGAATGAACTAAATAAACGTGGGTGATTAAGCCAGCACTAGAATGCATGCTTTGATTCTGTTTGGCATTAAATGAGTGAGAATGCCAAAGCTCCACAGCAGGAAGCGAGTTAGAGGCTCAAGTGTGAACCTTAAACCACACAGCTGTGGCCTTGGGGTTCCTGCAGAAACGCTTAGGCCCGGAAGTGCCTGCGCTGGGGTTCACATCAGCGCGACTCCGTGAGCCTTTTGCTTTTCCTGCTCTAGACCCGGGTGTGCGCAGCTGCGACGGAGTCTCACTTAGAGTGGAACCACTGAGCAGAACATGTAGTCGTGTCGCTGCTTTTGTTGAAAAGTGTAATTTTTCTCTGGTTCCTTTTTTTGAGGGTTTATGTAACATGGACATGCAAAAGACAGAAAGTAGGATAGTTTTGGATTGTAACCTTTTAAAAAATTATTTGACGCTCAAGCCCCTAAATAACACTAAGCACACACACCCGCACGGAGCTAACTTCAGTGCGTTAACACTGGGAAGGTGGGAGGGGGCCGCGAAGCCGAGGGAACCCACCTGCGCTGTAAAATGTGCCCTCTTCGCAGCGCCCCCTTCTCTGGTCAGACGTGGCCCTGGGTTCCTCAGTGCCTGAGGTTCGGTTCACAATGTCCACACCTGTCTCTGTCCCCTCCCTCCGCTCCTCCCTGCCAGGTGAACCTGGTCTCCGAGCACATCTGGTGTGAGGACTTCCTGGTGAGGAGCTTCTATCTGAAGAACCTGCAGACCAACGAGACGCGCACCGTGACGCAGTTCCACTTCCTGAGTTGGTATGACCGAGGAGTCCCTTCCTCCTCAAGGTCCCTCCTGGACTTCCGCAGGTATGACGCGCGGCCCGCCGGCAGGGCAGTGCGCGCTGAGCGCGCGGCACAGGGGAGCGAGGCTTCGGTGCTCCTGAGACGCCCCTGGCGCCGAGGGCCGCGTCTGTGTCGGCGCCGCAGGGGGGAGGGGAAGGGAAGCGAGAGGCGGGAAGACTCCGTTAACGGCACGTGTTAATCGTGAGCGATTTTCTAGCTTCAGAGGTATTAAAATGTGAGGGGGAATAGGCATCTTCGAACTGTGGAAATAGGGCCATTATTTTTGATAAGGTTCTTCAGTTGACAAAGAGCCTAAAGTGTATGTGCCACAGGATATTGATGCATAAAGCTCGGATGTTCAGTTGGATTCTCATCTGGCTGCATGGGATGAAAGAGGTAGCGAGCGCAGGCCCAGATACCACCCTGCGTGATCTTGCAGGGAAGCCCGGAGACACTTAGCCCGTGGCTGTCTGTATTTTTAGGGCTATTTTGAAACTGACCCTCTTTAAAAAATTCAGTTTTTTGTTCATTGCTCCAGTCAGCCAGTCACCCAATACGTTGTCTGGTTTGAGAGTGTATTTACTGAACTGTTGAAGTGAATGCTAGACTCTGTCTTACAGGAAGAAATTGACAATGAAAAAAAAGCAGCATTTAAGACCACAGCTTTGATTGTGGTAAACAGTCGGTCCGCATTGGCTAGGTGGTGGTGCTTAGTGAATAAACCACCACAAGGAAAATGAAATTGTCAAAAGCATCAGTGACGAAGCTCTAAATTGTATAGAATATGTCTTACATTTAACTGATCAGAAGTCTACCTATTGAGGAAAAGAGACAAATATCCAAACAAGGAGAATAAGAAGAAAAAATGCATTTGAATCCAATGCCATGCCCCACTATCATAAAGTGACTTGATTCTTAACAGTTACTCATTCTCGAGTCTACAGTTATGTAACTGGAGGGAGGTTAACGAGACAAAGATTGTCATAAAGAAGCGATTTTTGAATTCTCTGTGGAATTCTTGAATTTGTGTATTACAGATTCTGAAGCTTATTATGATTCAATTTATTTTGCCTTTTAGTCTACATTGAAAAGCAAAATGCAGTTTTTTGTAATTTGAATCAATAGAAATCAATCAAGAGCCTCTGCAAGGAGACACTTGAATCTGGTGTCACAGCCACAACACACACTCAGTGGCCCCTGCCTGCCGTCACCTCCCCTGGGGACGCAGAGCGTAGATCCAGAGTCCTGAGTACATCCTAAAACAACTACTGTACACGGCTCCTTCCTCACCCACGCTAATTTCCTGGCCATTATGTACATTCTGTCAATACGGATTTATTTCTAAAGACATACTATGTAGAAATCTTACATAATTTCCTGAAATAGAGTCTTCAAAAAACAGTCATTCCTGGCAAAATGGATGTAACTACAAAGACGGCAATTCATCTTAACACCCCGTCTTTGCGTTCATCCAGTGTGTTTGCACGTATATGCATATGGGCACGTTGCTATGTCCATATCCATATATGGACGGGAACATGTACATCACCGACCCTCAGTGTTTATGATTCATCACCAAGAAAAATTGGATTCCCAAATTTCCCTTGCTCCAGGGTCTGAGGAGATACAGCCTAAGAAGGTTTTTGTTAAATTCAAAAGCTAATGAACCCCCAGACACGGTTTTGAAAGCCACGTCAGAGTAGAAAGCTTTTCTTGCCTGCCTTACCTGGCACCGCCCAGCGTTTCGGCCAAGGCCACCTTTCATGTGTTATCTGGACAGTGGGTTTGAGCGAACACATTCTCAGAAAGCTTCACACTTAGACAAGCATTGCCGGTGGCTGGTTTTCTGTATAAAATAGCCACCCCGATTTCAGCGACAGGAAAGGTGAGACCCCTTCTGAAGACACCGGCCATCTTCATGCTGCAGCGTTTCTTATCTTTGAACAATAGACGACGCGTTCTCACTCTGGCCTGGCGCGTTCGCCAGGCACCGAGATGTGTGATTAAATATTTCTGGAGCCCAGAGGGAGCGCATTTACACTTTAAAGAGAAACTGCTAAGAGATAATTAGCATCACATGTGAGGGCTTTGCTTTAAAAACTCTCTCTCTCTCTCTCTCTCTCATTATTACTCTCTCCCTTCTTGCTGTGTGCAATGGTGCTCACTAACGCTGCTCACGGTAAAACGGACAAACCCTTACCTTGCCAGCTAATTAGCGGTGGCCAGTGTCATTTTTGTGATGTTGCAGCTAGTAATATGAGCCCAGTTGCATAGTCACAAAAGTGATCATTGGAAACTGTGACTGTACTGCAGGGGCGATGTGGAAAGCCCCTTTTCTGAGCCTCTAACGACCTCTGACCTTGCTTGCTGGTGCTTTGCATGACGGTGCGCTCTCGCCCGGTGACCCCTGGGTTGGTTTGTATCACTAATCGTTCTTTCTCAGTGAATTCCTGTTGTGGAAGTTTCTATGATACCAACTTTTCTTACTGTTGGAGACCTTTTGCTCACTGATTCTTTGTTCTGATGGAGTCAAATGAGACGGCTGTGTCACCTTCCTGAATAACTCGTGGTCTACATCTTGGGTCAACCGGATGAACTCTTGTGTTCAATATGTCGTGGTTTTCCTCTCTATTTGTGATGCTTTGCGTGTAATAATACAACTGCATGATCCTTTGTAAATAAAGTCCTCAGCCATGCCACACCCTGTATCTACACTGCACATGTCCTTGACTGCCCGTGGGTTTTTGTAAATAGGTTGAGCACAAGGTGGGGGCTGGTACGGATATGAAAATTACAGCGAAACCTTCCCAAGGCCACCAGGCACAACATGTCAGAGAAAATGGTATCTTCCGTATACTGTGAGATAGAGACAGGAGTTTCGGGAGTGGGGAAGCAGGTTGAGGCCATCGTAGCCACAAATTCACTGGCTAGGAGCATTTCCCAGCCAAGGGGGTTATTACTGCATTTTGCCAAAGCAGGAGCTGACCAGCTATCCATGAGCCACCGCTGTCTACTGACTTCTTATGCTGGCCTTTCCTCAAACCAGCACACTTTCTTAAAGGGTATCTGGTTTGGGGTTTGGGGTTTGGTTTGTTTTACTGTCCCTTTTTTGGGTGTACTTGGTCTCATGAGGAAAAAATGAGCAACCCCTGGTGACTGGTGGGTGTGGACCCAGAAGCTGAGCTTAGTCTCTGCGTAGAGTGGACCACGAGGTGTGAAACACAGCAGGAAGCTGGAGGAGCAGAACTGAGGTCATTCCCATTTGCAAGATTCAGAGGCTGAGCCATGGCCAGTAAACTCCTCTGCCAAAGGCAAAAGGCCTTTCAAAGCAAAGCCACTCACCATTTGGTCTGATAGTTGAGCCTGCTTGATTCTACACGTGCACACGTGTGCACATACGTGCTCACGTCACACACATGCGTGCAGTCTCATGCACACACACATGGTCTTTACTGAGCTGGAGGGCTTCCCACCCCCATGCTGGGGTGCACCCCTGAGGCCTGGTATCCATTCTGTCATCAGGAGCCCTCGATGCTTTACAGCCTGAGTCAGGAATGGAAAATTGTAGAAGTAGACATAAGTGGGTCTGTTTTCCAACCTCTTTATTCTCCAGGGACCAAGAATGTTCAAGGCACTCTGGCATACAAGTGCTGTTGCCTCTAAGGAGTTCACCATTGCCTTCCCCGCCTCTCCCCAAAGCCTTCGCACCACTGTGTGCCCCGGAAAAACAACAACAAACACCTCTAACAGAAACGGTGACACGGCCCTGGAGGCCGTTGCTGGTTGTGCCTGTGTCTGAGCCCGCCCATTTTTGGGCATCAGCCTCGTGTTTCACAGACCAGAGGGCAGCACAGATCAAGTGCGTCCTGGCTAGGCTGTGGCCGCGGCCCATCTGCAGGTGGGCACGCCGAGTCCAGTCCCTGCAACTGCTCCTTCAGCTCCCGTGGTGCCCTCCAGACTGGGCATTCACACTCCCATCAGAAGGGCCTTGTTCTGGTAACTCCTCAGGGAATAGGAAGAGAGGAGGAGAAAGCTCTGTGGTTTGGGCTCCGCCGTATTCAAGCATCCCTCCCCTCATGCTCACTGGACACTCACCTCCCCTCTCCTTCCACAGCCACCCTGCCCCTCCTGGCTTCAAAGGTTTGTAGCAAAGCACCGGTTGATGGAATGTTTACTTTCCACGGACTCTTTGGTGCTGGATAGGCAAGGCTTTGCAAAGAAACGTGACATTTTCCCATTGATGGTCCATACTTCCATTTTTCTTAATTTGTTTCTTGTAGGAGTTCACGCAGCACATTGTAGAACACTCTCCTTCACACATGCTTTATTCCAATAACCCGAGGTTCCGCCTTTAATTTTACTTATTCAGAAATAGTTCACTGACAACTTTAATGGACTTCATAAACATGTTTCATTGTTTCACTGAATTAAAAAAAAACACCTGGATTTACACAGTGAATTTTAAATCAGTCCTCTGTTTTGATTTAGGGGTTGGTTATGAAATCTTAAATATATGCTCATTTCTAATTTTTACAACTTCTGATCTAAACTCTGCACAATGAAGTTGTTTGTATACTCAAAGTTATAAGCATGGAAGGGACTTGTCTTGGACTTCATAGAGGTTTCTCCGTAATTTAGATATCCTTACCAAAAGCTGACGGGTCACAAATGCCCTTGAAGATGCTGTTTTTAGACAGTATGGAAATAACAGTTTTCAATATGATGTCTGGACTAAGAAATTTTGAGCATAAATTGCAAAACTCAAAAATTTTAGTGAAGAATCAAGATGTAGTGTAACAAAAGGTCAAGTCAACATAAGCAGAAACAGAAAGAGGAGAGCCTGCAGGGGTGGGACGGGCAGGACAGGCCGGGAGTCCACTGGTTCAAAGCCTGGCACCCCTCCTTGGAAGAAGAAAGCAGTGTAGAGGTGTAACATTGGTTTTAAAGCTCCGATTAATAACGTCATGTTGAGAAGAAGAATAAATGTTTGATATTATGCGTATGATTTTTATTTTCTCCGTCAAAACAAGCGATTGCAAAATGATTTCAAACACACAGACCTTGCGCTTTGTTTTAATAGTTGTTTTGGATAACGCAAAGTCTTAGTACACAACGATAATTTTTATATCTCTTTTTATTTCAGAAAAGTAAACAAGTGCTACAGGGGCCGTTCTTGTCCAATAATTGTTCATTGCAGGCAAGTACAACTTTTAATGGATTAAGAAGTTTTGGCTACCTCAAAAACTAATCTATGCAATTAAATACAGAAGCTTAACTTTCTAATTGCTTAATAAATATAACTAACTGGCACTTCTAAAGGAAACCAAAAATATAAACTTACTTTTCTATGCCATTTGGGTAAATACAATTGGGCGTTGCTTGTATTATGTCTGTATAAACTGCACATGGCTTGCTTTTTTTTTTTTTTTTTTTTAACTCTGTTGCCCACGCTGCAGTGCAATGGCGTGGTCTCGTCAGGCTCACTGCAACCTCCACCTCCCGGGATCAAGCGATTGCGCCCGCCACCACGCCCGGCTAATTTTTTTTGTATTTTTAGTAGAGACGAGGTTTCACCATTTGGTCAGGCTGGTCTTGAACTCCTGACCTCAAATGATCCACCGACCTCGGCCTCCCAACGTGCTGGGATTACAGGCGTGAGCCACCGCGCGAGGCCTCACATGGAATATTTTCTAGCAGCCCACGGTGCAGTGTCCTGCCTTCTACTCACCCGTGAGCATGTCCTGCCACCTTGCTTGTTCTTAAACCCTGTGGTCCCATGACACAGAAACATCGAGACAATGGTTTCAGCCTGTTGCATTGTCTCAACCACCAGGACGTCCAGCAGAGGCTCAGAACCCTCTGCAGATGGTGAGAAATGCTTGGGGCCAGTTATGTACAGGGACGAAATCTGTCATTACAGGAGGTACAGCCACCTCCAGTTTATCATGTGGGTTCAGGCCTCTGGGTAAAAATTCAGTGACTCATATCCCTAAGTACGTTAAAACCACACCAGTAAGAATAGATTTTACGCAAAGAAAACTCAACCTAATAGTACTGTCTCTGCTGGACTTCATACCCAACTCCTTTTGGTGAAGAACTCATATTCCATTTTTCTAGAACTGTCTTATAGAATGTTCTTCCTGCCTGGAATAAAAAGGAAACCTGTCTCCAAAGAACAAACACCAAATCTGTCAAATCCAATCAAGAAGCATGTGTGTTTTGTGTGTGCATTCCTGTCTATGAGAGAGGAGGATGAAAATAGATTACGGTTTGTTATCCTTACAGAGTAGAGTAGAACATCTTTTTTACCCACAAATGTATCAAGACAAGCAACACTTAGTTGGAAGATTTTTGAAGTATATCTTAAAATATTCATGTGAATATATGCTGTGCATAGGAGACAAGTGAGAAAGGCACTCAGCAACCAGAATGCTCACCGTGGCCCTTTGAAATGAGCAGTGAGGGTTACGTGGCGGCCCAGGCCGACCGCCTCTCCTCCTTGGTGATGCAGTGAGGGTGTGAGGATGTGAACGTGCCGTTTTTTAAACATTTACCATCCCAACTGCAGCTTTTTTCAACCATTTGTTTGAGGAAACATGTTAAAGCCAAAATGCGCTGATTCTTTACCATCAAAAGATCACCTATAGGATTCCAGTCATTTCTTGGGATCACAGACGGCATAGAAAGCAGAACCGAAAGTGTGATATCTGCTGGGTAGTCACATCTTTCTTGAAGTCTTGAAATGGAAACATTTATTCGTTTTCCGGAAAGTCACAATTGATTTTGCTAGGATTATAAATGTAAAAGGTCCTCTGTTTAAAAGCCAGTCATGGGTGTGAACACGAGCCCTATGTACTTTTAAGAAGGTCTCTCAAACTCATGCAACCCAGTGACAGCGTCTGCACGGGGGCAGGAAATGGCTTCACACATTCCTCATAAGAAAAGGATGATCCTGAGGCTACTCTTCTTCCAGAAAAAAAGGGAAATTTTTTTTCCTTTGCTACTGTTGAAGTATTATTCAAAACATTTTTACAACTCTAGCCCAGATGGTAAATATTCCAATTATAGCTGGTGGGATGAGAAAGAGATGAAATGAGAGTGCTTTTTAAAGAGTAAGATTTAGTAACGACTGTTATGTCAATTTCTCCTTCTGAGACGGAGGACCTGCGTTTAGAAGGGGTGGCAGGCAGCCTAGGGGGATGTGCCTGAAGTGTCCCTGCGTGCATGAGCCAGCGGGGCCCAGCCGCCCAGCGCCCTCCCCTCTCCGCTCGGGAGGTTGCCCGGCAACACTAGAGAAGGCACCTTGCAGATATTTTCAATACAAATGCCATCAACTCTGACACAGTCAAACGCTTAGTTCATTTTGTTCTGGCAAAATTTACCACATCTTTGGCCAAAGAGGGGGGAACAAGCAAGAGGGAGTCACATCTGAGCACAGCAGCTCATCCCACAAGCTACAAGCTGCTCAGAGGCTCGAAGCCCCCAGGGGCCTCCCTTCTCCCCTCACTTGGATTCTCCCAGCCCGCGTCCTTCCTCCCCCTCTCACATCCGCCATCCTTTCCTCTCGCCGGCCCCCGTAAGCAGGAAGGAAATGAACTGTCACTAGCTTTGTTGTGGGTCGGGCTTCCGTGTGGACGGCAGCACTTTCATTTCTCTCCTTCTGTTGGCAGTGACGGTGCAGGCCGGAGCGGCACCTACGTCCTGATCGACATGGTTCTCAACAAGATGGCCAAAGGTGAGACACAGACACTGCCGCTTTGTTGCGGCTCAGAGCTGGGATGGCGTCGCTATGGCAACGTAGGGTGCCGTGTTCACGGGAGGCCCTGGAAAAAATTCGCTGCTTGTTGTGCCTCTGCTGGGCCGTAGGAAGGTGGTTTGCAGCAAGCACATCTGCTTCTGAGGCTGGTCGTTTGTTACCTGCCTCTGCGTGCCGAGCCTGCAGTGGGTCCTTTGTTACCTGCCTCTGCGTGCCGAGCATGCACTGGGTCCTTTGTTACCTGCCTTGGTGTGCCGAGCACACAGTGGGTCCTTGACAGGTGTTTGCTGCATACGCTGCAGCGTTAACCTCAGAGCCACGGAGAAGCCACCCTCGGGTCCTTCAGTGTTGTTGCAGTGCAGAATGCCGCTCCAGTATTTGGTGTAACTCCACTGTTGTCAAAACGGTATTCACACTAGAGGCACACTAAAAATATCCGTTAGTAATTGCCATCAAATGTCAATCACCCCCTCTCAAATGAGCCTTTCAGCCCTCTTTGTGAATGTCCTTCTTATCTAGGGAATCTCTGTGCGTGCTGTGGGAGGCGTTCCTCTCAGAGACGGTGTGGGGAGTCTTAGACTTGAGGCCTGTGGTGGGAGAAGGACAGGTTTGGCAGAGCGGCAGCATGCGCAGACGGCGTGGGGAGTCTTAGACATGAGGCGCAGGGTGCGAGGATGGGTCCAGCAGCAGCGTGGAAAAGCAGATCTGTGCGCGGGTCTGGCTCTGCCAGCAATGAGGTTTATCACTTTGGACAGAGCTTTTAACCTCTCTGGGATCCAATTTTCTCCTACAAAAGCATGGGGATTGAGCTCTGGCATTTCTCAAAAGGTGGTCTCCAGAATACCCAACCTCTAAGGTCATCTCTTTAAATAGGGGCCAGAGAGAAGGCTCCCCAGGCAGGTGAGCTTGAGAGGAGGCACACACTGAGTCTGCTCCTTGGGCATCACAGGGCAGGTGTGCATGGAGAGGTCCCAAGGAGTCCAGGGCAGAGAGATGTGTCCAGCTTCCCTTCAGTTGGCGCCTCCGACACTTACTTGAGAAGAGTCTGCATTAGCCTTGCGATACCCGTTAGCGTCCCATGGAAGGTGGGAGGCACCGAGGTGGTAGCATCCTACGGTCTCTTTCCCAGCTGTGAATAAACAATTCCCTTTGTCTCAACACACACACACGTATATGTGTTCATACAGAGACCTCCGCCTTCCGTAACATCCCATTCTCCATCACTGGCCCAGTGACAGGAGCAGCCATTGATTATAGAAACAAGTTTCTATACACTTCCACGAATGCCAGCAATTTTAAAATAAGCATTTTCCTTACTTCATTTTCTTCTGGTTAAAAAAAAAAAGACATAAATATGTGAAGATAAAACAACAGCCATGGCTTTACGCAGAAGGACTGGAGAGCCTGGGCAAGTTCTCCAGCGTCCTGCAGCAGAGGGGAGGGCTGCAGCCCAGCCCCACACCCCACACCTACCCAACACCGCCAGCATCCTTTGCTGGCTGCTGGGGAGAAATGAAATCAGTTTTTGTGCCACCAAATGTCATTTTAAACACCCAAGATTAGTTTAGTGGTGGGAATGTGCAAACAAAAACAAAATGCAAACACTCATAATATTTTTAATCCTTTTTTTGTTTGTTTTGGACATGACACAATCCTAACTTTTTGTCATTTAAAAGTCCATTTTTCCTTGTCCATTAATGCTGCTGTGTCTTGTCAAATATTTCTTTTCCTTTCCAAATTTACAGCTATTGGAGCTCAGAGCCATCCATGGAATTTGTATTTCTCCACTTATCATGGGCCCTCCCTTCTTTCCCTCTCTCAGACAAAGATTTTTCTTCTCTTAAACCAAAATGTCTTCAGAACGTTACAGATCATTTGATGTAAGTGTTTCTGACCAAGCCTATGTTTGTGAACGTGTGATGTGGTGAGTTGCTGGGGGCACCTGTGATTCCAATGGAACCTGCCCATCCAGGGACCAGAAGCACAGGCAGGCGGCCGGACGCAGGTGACCCCAGCGTGCGTCTCCACAGGGATGGGATGGAGCCTGGGTTCTGAGTGGCTCAGGTTCACTCCACAGAGAAGGAAACATGGAGAAGTATGTCCTGGGTTCGAGACCCCGGTACGGGGGGCAGGGCTGGCATATTGTCCAGGCACCTGAGCTGCTGTTCACTGGCTCCATTGTGGCATGTGATGTCAATTCTCCTTTGAGAGTGGGCTCAGCTTTGGACAATACGCATGCAGCCATGTGGAAATGGCCAAAGAGGGCTGGCCTGGGGCCTTTTCTGAGATTGGTGACCCTCCTCCTGTTCTTGACCTGCTCCTCTTTCCCTGGGGTGTGTGCGGTGTGAAATTCCCTGACCCGGGTCCCAGGCCACAGTCTCAGGAGAGATCAAAGGGCAGGCAGCCCCTCTGCCGGCTGAGGTGGGCCTTTCCCAGGCCTCCACACTGAGAGGCGCTGGGGTTTTGTTCTGGTGCAGGCTGGGCCCTGCCCGTGTGGCGGGGCGTCTTTGTCTGGCCTGAGAAGCTGGAGGCCCCCACTGCAGACCCAGCGTTTCTCAAATGATCAAAGGCCCAGAGTCCTGGACGTGAAACCTTTCTTCCCATTTCCCTTTCTGTAAAGGAATGCATTACAGAAGACCAGAGAATGCCCTTCCCAAGCTTCCCGGGCAGTCGGGCAGTGCCAACGCTGATGTTAGGGCCCTCCAGTCCTGCATGCAGGGCCTCTGCATGCTTTTAGCTCCAGCAGCTGCGGCCGCAGACAGCAGAGCAGCACTTGTCCACACAGCCCATCAGGGATTAAGGCCTTTGGGCCTAGTTGAAGGGCCTTTAAAAACAAACTCAGAATAGTTGAAGTTCTTTCTCTACTGTCCAGTTTAGCAGCAAGTAGACGATGATGCAGTTTGGAATGAAAGTCAACAGGCTCATGTTCTGCAATGGGTTTTGTGGCAGGAAAGTAGGCACCAATCTGGGAAGCGCTTACACGTGTCATTTCTGTGGCAGCAGATGCGTTTCTAACTCACCGATAATAGACGATTGTGTAGGAATCTGTTTTTAGGTAGCCTGTTCCTCTCTCATTGAAGGGCTTGGCTCACATGTAGCAAAACATGTTTTTTTCAAGCAAGATATTTTCCAAGGTTGTGCCTTTTACTTTTTTGTCAGTGACTTCACTTACTGAGGGTATTTTTCTACTTCCCCACAATTTTTTAAAGGGATGAGGAGCAACCAGCACTGAGGGGGTACTCCCCAGAGATGAGGTGGGCTGAGCCATGCTGGGTGGGGTCAGGCTTCACTCCCCAGGGGCCAGCACAGAAATGCAGTGGCTGAGAAGTGTGGCCAAACTTCCACGGCATTCCCACCAGGGTCTGCGCCTGGGCCGGAAGAGGGTGCCTGTGTGGCCCCAGGTACCATGGAGGCCATGCCAAGCAGACACTGTATGATCCCCCAGCAGCTGTGGCTGTTGACAAGGTGCAGAGTGAGTCTGGGGTGACTCATTTCTTTTGTCTGGCAGGAGCCACAGACCGGGAATTTTGTGTTCCAATATGAATCCCCACGGCTTGTGAGCCCATGCTGGAGCGACCTTTTAAACTTCAGCTGGCTAGGAGTACGTTCCTAAGTAGTCTCACGGCGTGAATGTGAGTGGACGGTGGGGTGTCCACACGGGCATAGACCCAGCTCTCAGACTCAGCGACTGGACATGGTACTATTTTGTGTGTGGATACACATCTCCTTGCCTACGGGGATGGATCACTTCCGTTCTTCTTTGTTTCCGCGAATCTGAATATACTACGCACCTCATCTAAGTGGAGTGATACCGCGTCTGCGCTTCCGTGACTGTTATATGTCACTTTGCATAATGCCTTCGAGGTTGGCCTGTGTCGTGGTGTGTGTCAGCACTAACTTCCATTTTATGACTGACTCATATTCCATGGCATGGATGGACCGCACTTTGTGGATTCATTTGTGTATTAATGGACAGTGCCGTTGTTTCCGGCTTTGGGCTGTTGTGAGTAATCCTGCTGTGAATGTGGATGTGAGGGTGTCCACCCACATCCCTGGATATGTCCCTGGGGCGGAATCGCCACATCGACCGTAATTCTCTTATCTCTTGGCTGTTTGATTACAGCCATCCCAGTGGATGTGAGTGGATCTCAATGTGGTTTTAGCATGCATCTCCCTAACAACTAGTGATGTTGAACATCTTTTAATGGCTTATTGGCCATTTGTATATCAACTTGAGCAAAACAGACATTTCAAGTCCCTTGCCCATTTCTGAAGTGGGCTGTTTGTATTTTTTGTTGTTGAATTCTAAGAGTTCTTTATATATTCTGAATACTACTCCCTTATCAGCTATGTAATTTGCAAGTATTTTCTCCCATTACATCGGGGTTTTTTACTCTTTTGATAGTGTCTTTGTTACACAAAAGTGTTCAATTTTGATGAAGTCCAGTTTACTTTTTAAAAAATATTTTTCTTGTGACTCACACCTGTAATCCCAGCACTTTGGGAGGCCAAGGCGGGTGGATCACCTGAGGTCAGGAGTTCGAGACCAGCCTGGCCAACGTGGCAAAACCCAGTCTCTACTAAAAATACAAACATTAGCCAGGTGTGGTGGCAGATGCTACTCAGGAGGCTGAGGCAGGAGAATCACTTGAACCCGGGAGGCGGAGGTTGCAGTGACCTGAGATCGCACCATTGCGCTCCAGCCTGGGCAACAAGAAAGAAACTCCATCTCAAAAATATATTTTTTTTTCTTGTGCTTTTAGTATCATACCCAAGATATATTGGCCAAATCCAAGGTCACAAAGACCTTCTGCTATCTGTTCTTAGATTTCCTCCTATATTCTCTTAACTTTTAAGGGCAGGCCCAAGTAGTAGATGGAAAGTTGCCTGTGGGAAGCGAGAGGGGCCATGGAGCAGAGAGCCTGCTGCCTCGAGCGTGTGCGGGAGCATGTGGTCCTGATCTGCTGTGTGTGGTGTGGTGATGTGGGAGCACATGGTCCTGATCTGCTGTCTGTGGTGATGCAGGAGCACGTGGTCTTGATCTGTGGCATGTGGTGACGTGGGAGCACGTGGTCCTGATCTGCTGTGTGTGGTGATGTGGGAGCACGTGGTCCTGATCTGCTGTGTGTGGTGATGTGGGAGCACGTGGTCCTGATCTGTGGTGTGTGGTGATGTGGGAGCACGTGGTCCTGATCTGCTGTCTGTGGTGATGCGGGAGCACGTGGTCCTGATCTGTGGTGTGTGGTGATGTGGGAGCACGTGGTCCTGATCTGCTGCATGTGGTGTGGTGATGCGGGAGCACGTGGTCCTGATCTGCTGTGTGTGGTGACGTGGGAGCACGTGGTCCTGATCTGCTGTGTGTGGTGATGCGGGACCACGTGGTCCTGATCTGCTGTGTGTGGTGACGTGGGAGCACGTGGTCCTGATCTGCTGTGTGTGGTGACGTGGGAGCACGTGGTCCTGATCTGCTGTGTGTGGTGATGCGGGACCACGTGGTCCTGATCTGCTGTGTGTGGTGACGTGGGAGCACGTGGTCCTGATCTGCTGCATGTGGTGTGGTGATGCGGGAGCACGTGGTCCTGATCTGCTGTGTGTGGTGACGTGGGAGCACGTGGTCCTGATCTGCTGTGTGTGGTGACGCGGGAGCACGTGGTCCTGCTCTGCTGTGTGTGGTGACATGGGAGCACGTGGTCCTGATCTGCTGTGTGTGGTGACGTGGGAGCACGTGGTCCTGATCTGCTGTGTGTGGTGACGTGGGAGCACGTGGTCCTGATCTGCTGTGTGTGGTGACGTGGGAGCACGTGGTCCTGATCTGTGGTGTGTGGTGATGCGGGAGCATGTGGTCCTGATCTGCTGTGTGTGGTGACGTGGGAGCATGTGGTCCTGATCTGCTGTGTGTGGTGAAGCGGGAGCACGTGGTCCTGATCTGCTGTGTGGTGATGTGGGAGCACGTGGTCCTGATCTGTGGTGTGTGGTGATGCGGGAGCACGTGGTCCTGATCTGCGTGTGGTGACATGGGAGCACGTGGTCCTGATCTGCTGCGTGTGGTGACGTGGAGCACGTGGTCCTGATCTGCTGTCTGTGGTGATGCGGGAGCACATGGTCCTGATCTGCTGTGTGTGGTGACGCGGGAGCACGTGGTCCTGATCTGCTGTGTGTGGTGACGCGGGAGCATGTGGTCCTGATCTGCTGTGTGTGGTGACGCGGGAGCACATGGTCCTGATCTGCTGTGTGTGGTGACAGCAGAACGTCTTTGTCGAATCGTGTTTTGTGGCTCCCCGGACTTTGAAGGTCCCCGGACTTTGAAGGCCAGCAGCCCTCCAGAGCCGCCTTGTTCCATACAGTAGCCACATGTGGTTCCTTAGAGTCACTAAAATTGGATAAAGTTTACAAGTCAGCTCTTCAGTTGTACTAGCTGCATGACAAAGCCACAGTGGCTACACCAGGCGGTGAAGCTGGAAGTCACTCCTTCCCCCACAGCAGGTCCTGGGGGCCACACGGCTCCAAGGTGGCACTACGGTGGCTCCTGACTTCACCCTCACCCTCTTCTCATCTCCCTGGGCCCAGCCCCATCACCCCTCGTGTGCTGGTCTCCCCGCTCCATTTTCTCCTCCTGATTAGGTGTCACACAGCAGTCAGTAAGATGCTTTAGACAGAAAGACCTTGGGTGCCTGCCTCGGCCCTGGAGCTGTCCCCAGAGCCCTGGGCGAGCTGTCCCCAGAGCCCTGGGCAACCTGGCCACTGCCGATCCCCCTTGGTGGGCCACTCTGCCTCCTTTGGCTCCAGGACTCAGGGCTTTGCAGGTTCTTTTCTGTGGCGTGGGGGGCGCACCCTTCCCCTCCCCAGGGTGCATCCCCCACCCTCTGTCCTCTCTGGAGTCCCACTGGTCCATTCCTTCTCTGGCAGATGCCAGGGTAAACCGTGAAAGTGTGGCTCCAGCTGATGGCAGGGCAGCGTCCACTGCATGCTGGATCCACGCTGATGCTGGTTTGGCACCTGCTGCCTGCCAGGCGTGGGTTGTGAGAGCAAAACAGAGAAGCCCCATCCTCCTGCTGCATCTTCCTGCTCTGCCGAGAGACAGGTAAGGAGTCTGTGGCTGCAGGGTGGTGGAGAGCAGACAAGGACACTCCCAGATGCAGAGATGGCAGCTTCACTCACGGGCTGTCCTGGGGCTCAGGAGGACCCACAGAAAGCTTTTCACTGAATGGAAGGGGGCCCAAGGGGCCCTCCGTTCTGACCACTCTGTTGCAAGCTGAGGAAGCAGTTCTGGGAGGTTGGGTGACTTGCCTCAAGGCCTCCGGTCAGCCAGAGTCAGATGCAGAACCCTGCTCAGTCTGCAAAGGCTCAGGGCCCCAGAGGGAGGATGGTGGAAGGCACACGGCCCCAGGGACGGCGCTCAGAGGCACAGCGTGGTGTGTTCCAGGGCTCCAGGGACAGAGGGGCAGCTTCGCTGGGGAGTTCCTTTGGGGCTCTCATGGAAACTACCGGAGGAAGAGGAAACTGAGGGCCAGTGGTGAGGCGCCTGGGCCGCCGAGCTCAGCTCTCTCTGGGCACAGCCTGGAGTCTGCAGGGAAGTGGGAGAACCCAGGCAGGTGCTGGAGGACCAGCCAGGCAGTGCAGAACCAGAGGGCGGGGAGACCGGCCGGGCAGTACAGGACCCGGGGGCCGAAGGGATGGCATGGCTGGGCAGTGCAGAACCAGAGGGCGGGGAGACTGGCCGGGCAGTACAGGACCCGGGGGCCGAGGGGATGGCATGGCTGGGCAGTGCAGAACCAGATGGCTGGGGGACCAGCCAGGCAGTGCGGGACTAAGAGGGCCAGGGAATGGAGCTGGAACTGAAGAACAGGCCAGCTCAGCCACGGGGCCCAGGAGAGGGTTGAGCCAGACAGAGCCACACATTTGGGCGCAGGCACCAAGAGAAGGAGGTGCAGGTGCATGAGGCTCAGCCTTCTGCAGATGAGACTTAGGGGGACGCGAGGGCTGGGCAGAATTGGGAAAGCTGAGCAGGAGACGTCTCGCTTTTATGTTTGGCTGAAACATGAAAACACGAAGGGCCAGTGGGAAAGGGACCTCACAGACACGTTGGGCCCGCAGTGTCTCTTGTCTCGCTCAGGCAAGTTTCAGGCTGAAAAAGTGCCCAGAATTGGGTGAGGTGGGAGGAGGGAAGGGGAGAGGGAGCCTGTCTGCACCTTTCTCTTCAAGGGAGAAGTTGCCTTCGGTCGGGCAGGAGCAGGGCCTCCTCTGCTGTGTGTTGTTTATTTTCTGTGCCTTTCCTTCCCCTGAGCTATTCTGGTGCAAGAGAAACAGTGAGGGATGTGGGGCGTGAGGTGTCCCCAGGTTCCCGGGCCGGTCTGCAGTGCCCTGTCCCGTGTAAGGGGCTGACGACGAACGCTGGTTGGAGCAGTGGTCCGGGGGCGTGGCTGACCCCACCCAGGCAGGGCACAGGCGGACCCTGGTGTCGATCGCCTGGTGGGAGCGTGTGGACAGCATGAGACCCGCTGGTCTTGGGGAACACGCTCTGGGCATCCGTGTGGGCAGCACTGCCCACCATCCTTCGATGGTCTCCTCGGGGGTCTTCGTCCCTGTGCATGGAGCCGTCCTCACTGAGTGTACCAGCTCACAGGTCTCCCACCTTCAAGGGGTCTCCCACCTTCAAGGGGTCAGGCTGACCCTGCTGAGCCAGGGTTCACATAGCCTGGCTGCAGGGGCTCCTCACCCACTCCTGGGTCTGATGTCCTCACCTGGGCTGTCCTCCGCTTCTCCTCATGGTCACGCAGACACCTCAGGCCCATTGGATGCCGCAAAATGTCGTTCAGGTCCCACCTGGCCGAGGGCTGTCCCTTCTGCAAGCTCCCTCCTTGGTCCCGGGTGCTGGCACCAGCCCATCCAGGCCCATCCAGGCCCTCCCCTCCCTCCAACACAGGCCTTGCTGGCACACATTTAGGGGTCAGACCACGCCAGCAGGAGCTGGATGAGGCCACAGCGAGGGAGCTGGCAGCAGGCGGCCCCTGAGAATGTGGGAGAGAACACAGGAGAGAGACGGGGCGGGGGGGGCCACAGCCCTGTCGGGGCAGCTGTGTCGCTGTCAGGATGTGCCCGAAGCACTGGTCCCTGAGTCCACATGTTTCTGTTCAAACTCCTGTTTGGAAATTCGGGAGGGGATCAAAGTCCTGCCCTCCAAGGTTCCCGTTGGAGACACAGCTCCACGGTCCAGGCTGGCCCGGCCTGCGCACTTGCCTGCCTGATTCTGCTCCCTGCTGCCGGGCAGTCACTCCTTCATCTCAGTCCCTGGGTCCTCTCCGTCCTCTGTGCGCATCTTGCTCACAGCCTGGTTGCTCCATTTCCTGCGGCACAGCTGCCCTCCCCACACAGTCTGTGGTCCCCCCTCCATCTCCTCTGCTCTCGCTCCCACCCACTCTGTCCTTCCCTCATTCCTCTGCTCGTCCAGCCCCCGCCAGTGTGTTCTGCCACTCCCTATCCTGGGTTTCCAGGGGCCCATGTGGAGGGCTGCAGGGGTCTCCCTGTTGTCCTGGAGGCACCTCCCAGAGCATCATCCCTGCCCAGCCCGCAGGCCCAACATCCTCCGTCCAGACCCTGAGGGGCTGTCCCCAGAGGCAGCAGGTCCCAAGCGTCCGTTCCTAGCGCCTGAAGTCCAGGCACATGCAGCCTGGCCTTTTGGCAGTGGGGCTCCCTCGTAGTGTTGAGTAGGATGCTGGGGGTCCCCCGATGGAGTCAGGGTGCTGCAGGGGGTCACACGCTGTCCCGTGGAATCAGTAATCCTCATGCAAGATTCTTCCAAATGCACAGCAACTGCGTGAGACAGAACGTGCGTGTGGGAAGGGCAGCGATCCCGTGCAGTGTCACGCGGCCCCTCGGCTCCCTCCTTGGCCTGTGCTTCCGTTTCTCCTGTTTCCGAGGTCAAATGATGCAAAGTGTCCTTGACCATGAGCCCACGGGCATGGGACAAGGTCTCTGTGTTTGCACTGTAAGCCACGGAACTGAGTCAATGCGTAACTGGCCCTGTCCCCAGCCCAGGCACTTTCTGAACCCAAAATAGACTCAGAGGGACCGAGGCAGCTGCCGGCCCTACAGGAGCAAGGGGGAGGAGAGCCTGGGCTGTGCACCTGCAGGAGGGATCCTGCCAGACCCCCGTAAAGGCCAGGCCCCCGGAAGCAGCAGTACCAGCAGTCAGTGCGGCCTGGGAGGGGAGCTGGCTGCATGCTTCACGCATCCCCGCTGGACCAGTGCATGAGCACCTTTTGGGTAAAAGGTGCAAGTGGTGTGTGCGTGTTCCAGGCAGCATGAGAAGGTTTGCCCTGGGTGAGCCCAGCTCCTGTTCTCCTCCACCTGTTCAATATTCACAATTTGGTGTGATTGTTACTCAGCTGCAGACGGCCTCCTGAACGCCATTGACCGCACATGCTTGTTGATTCTGACATAGGTGTTGAGGACCTAGCCACATCGTGGAGGCCCCCATGTGGGTGTGTGTGCTCTGCACTGATCTGGGAATGACTGCGTGTGCCCCATCACACGGATGCTCCAGGATGTACCTCAGCAGTCCCCTGCCTTGGGGCTCTCGTGCTGCTCCCAAACCTCTTCTGTCAGCACAGACGCTGCGTTTGCATCTCGGTCCTGCCCCGGTGCCCTGGCACTGGTTGTGCAGGGCAGGTAGGTGGGATGGCAGCAAACTGCGGTGGGCACCGCGTCGCACCAATGTGCACGTGTTCACACACAGATAGGACTCGGAATTGTGGAGCCATCGTATTCGTCTTTCCCTTTTAACAATCCCCCCTTGAATTGTGAAGCTGTGCTCGCCTGCACAGGGGTGCAGAGGTCCGGTGTCTCCGCGTTGATGCTGCCAGCACCTCAACAGTATTATGGGATGGTCCAGCAGTCGATAGAAACTTACCAGGATATTTTGCACAATTCCCTGTCCTCCTGGAGTATTGGGGATGGTGACTTTAAAATGACAGTACTCATTCATACACTTCTACATTTTCTTTAACTTATATTTTTAATAAGGATCTGGAGGCATTTCAGTTTCTCCAAAAGAAGGATTTAGAATTTGTTCAAAGGAAAAAAAAACATAAGAAATAGCTAGTTTGTTATGATTCTGATCTACTTGATTTTCAAGTGAATAAGATGCAGATTTGCCTCCTTTGATCCCAGCAATATGTTACAACATAGACAATATAATTTATCTAGAAGGTCAGCAAAAAAAAACCTGCTTATAATTTTCATAAGTCTTTAGTTAAGATCATCCAGGAAAGGTGTGAAGTAAAAACTCAGCACTGAAGGCCCAGGAGAGTGTGTGTGTGTGTGTGTGTGGGAGTGTGTGTGATGGGTGTGGGTGTTGTGTGGGCCTATGCATGCCGTGTGTACCTGTGTGTGCATGCACATAGGTGTGTGCATGTGTGTGGTGTATGAGTGTGTGATATGGGTGTGGAATGTTTGTGTGCAGTGTGAGCTGTGAGTGTTCTGTGTGTATGCATGTGTATGATGTATGTGTGTGATCCTGAATGTAGGTATAAAGGATGTGCATGTGTGATGTGGGGTGTATTGTGTGAGAGTGTGAAGTGTGGGTGTTTGTGTGCACATGTGATGTAGGATGTGAGTGTTGTGTGGTGTGTGCATGCCTGTGTGTGTGTGTGCATATGTATGACCTATGTAAGTGGGGTGTGTGTGTTGTGTGGTGTGTGCATGCCTGTGTATATATGTGTGCATGCATGTGAGTATATATGAGTGTGGGTGTGCATGTTGTGTGAGCATGTGCATGCCTGTGTGTATATCTGTGTGTGTGTGTGTATGTATGATACATGAGTGTGGGGTGTGCATCTTGTGTGGATGTGTGCATGCCTGTATATATGTGTGTGCATGCATGTGCATATGTATGACATTGTGTGTGCATGTGTGTGCATATGACATGAGCGTAGGGTGTGCATGTCATGTGGGCATGTGCATTCCTGTGTATATGTGTGTGCATGCATATGTATGACATGTGAGCATGGATATGTATGTTGTGTGAGTGTGTGCATGGCTGTGTGTATATTTGTGTGTGCATATGTATGACATGAGTGTGGGATGTGCATGTTGTGGGCGTGTGCATGTGTGTGTGCATGTGCATATGTATGAGTGTGGGGTGTGAGTGTAGTGTGGGCATGTGCACACATGTGTATATGTGTGTGGGCATGTGTGTATGTGACATGTGAGTGTGGGGTGTGCATGTTTGTGTGAATGTGTGTGTGTGCATGTGCATATGTATGATGTGTGGGGTGTGTGTGTTTGGATGTGTGCATGAATGTGTATGTGTGTGCATGTACATATGTATGACGTGAGGGTGGATGCGAGTGTTGTGTGGTGTGTGCATGCCTGTGTGTGTATGTGTGTGCATCTGTGTATGTATGACATGAGTGTGGGTGTGAGTGTTGTGTGATGTGTGCATGCCTGTGTGTGTGTGCATGTGCGTATGTATGATGTGAGTGTGGGTGAGTGTTGTGTGGTGTGTGCATGCCTGTGTGTGTGCACATGTGCATATGTATGACGTGAGTGTGAGTGTGGGTGTGTGTGTTGTTTGGGTGTGTGCATGCCTCTGTGTGTGTGCATGTGCATATGTATGATGTGAGTGTGGGTGAGTGTTGTGTGGTGTGTGCATGCCTGTGTACCCATGTACATGTATCTGCATGCGTGTAGTGTGTAGTCAGTGCCAAGTGGCATCCCTGAGACCCAGGTCTGGGGAGGGCTTGAACCGTGTGGGGCACCCAGAGCATCCCCAACCACAGTTACCTTGAGCCGAGTTTTGCTCTGCCAGACGTGAGGGGCTCTAGCTTGACCTCTGCACCCAGTCCAGTTCTGGGGTCACCTCGGCTGACATGGAGAGCTAGAAAGATGGGGTGTCTGTGCCCTTCAGAGCCCAGTCCTCCCACAGCGTGAGCTCCAGACAAAGCAGAAACATCGCAGCCTGGGTGAGTGAGGAGCTCTGCGCTCCTGGGGCACGGGAACTGTTCCACTTCGTTCCTTATCTGGATTCTTAATAATCACCATTCGTCATGTATTTGAATGCATTTAGTTAGGACCAAGCTTTTCTTCAGTTCTTCCAGAGGGTAGAGTTGAGAAAATTTTCTCCTGCAAGTAAAGGCCTCTCTCTCTTGAACACTTGGCACACATTGTCGTTTTTACTTTCAAGAAAAAAAGAATACATTGCATCCCTGCAGTTTGCAAAACCTCTGAGTAAAATTGTAATAAAACTTACCTGCGCTCATGCAGTCATTATCCATGAACAGGCTGCCGGAAGCCATGCGGAAGAATGACGGTCAGGAGACGGCGACGATGGCCCTCCCGGCACACCCCATCCGTCCGTGTTCACTGTTTACTGGGAGGATGTGGTCTAGGGCCATGAGCTGAATCACACAGCTCGGTCAGCCAAGAGCCAGAGTCCAGGAGAAATCAAACAAGCCTTGGAAAGAGACACCGGTGGCATATTTGCTTGGTTTTCTTTAACTTCAAATGGATTCTTTCATTGTGACAGATAGTTTTAATACTTTAATACTAATATTCTTTTAATGGCTTTTGTTTAATGGTTAACATTTTTTATCTAAAGCTAAAAAAAAACCCTCTGTTGTCTTACAAATGTATTTAACCAATGTATAAACTTTTAACCCAATGAGCCCTGAGTGAATTAGAAAATAACAATGAGAGCGATTTACATTTGCTGAGCTTGGCACGGGATGGTACCCAGTGGCCATTCGGGTGCCAGCGGAGCACGCAGAGCCTGGTGTCTGTGGCTGCCTCCCTGGTCCACTAACACGAGAGAGGTGGGTCTTCCTGGGTGTCCCAGGCACGAGGGTGCAGCCCAACCCAAACTGACTTGGCCGGTGCTCACCACACTGGGACGCCCGCCACACTGGGGCGCCCGCCACACTGGGGTGCTGAGCAAGATGGCAGCCTGCGTCACTTCCCTGTAGATTCCCGACATGGACAACTCGAATTAAACCTGGTCAAGTAGCAGAAAGTGGCTCCACTGAGTCCATTCATTTCCCTGGTGTTTGAATCACCATGATGCTTCTTAGGTGGAAAACGCCTGGGACTTCTCCGTGGACCCCACGCTCTGTCCCCGGTAGACATCGTTAAGGTTCCTTTCTTTCCTTCCATCTGGATTTTCTTTGTGTGTGCGCTGACTCCTCGACTGTTTGCAGGCTTTTCGATGTCAGCGTCACACCACTGGGCCTTTCTGTTTCCCTGGAATTTAACTTTCGTTAGCTGCTCCTTCACCTTGTCAGCAAAATTGGATTTTTCAAGAGAGAATT
Organism: Homo sapiens; assembly: GCF_000001405.40. NCBI lineage: Eukaryota > Metazoa > Chordata > Mammalia > Primates > Hominidae > Homo > Homo sapiens. The sequence continues at coordinate 157,554,577 of NC_000007.14, read as the reverse complement.
CTATTTTAAATGCACTAGAGGGAGCTTTCTATGCAGTGGAGGCTTTAAATGAATCCTTTGACACTAAGAAAAGCCTTTTATCAAGTGAAGGGGGACACACGCCCACCCTATCCCACCCTACCCACCCAGCAGGTGCTTTATCAATGCCAACGTTGTGCCCCTGCCCGGCCTGGCCACACCCATGCTCAGGAGGGCACAAGAGCGGGCAGGATCCAGCGCCCGGCCTGGCCGCACCCATGCCCAGGAGGGCACGAGAGCGGGCAGGATCCGGCGCCCGGCCTGGCCGCACCCATGCCCAGGAGGGCACGAGAGCGGGCAGGATCCGGCGCCCGGCCTGGCCGCACCCATGCCCAGGAGGGCACGAGAGCGGGCAGGATCCGGCGCCCGGCCTGGCCGCACCCATGCCCAGGAGGGCACGAGAGCGGGCAGGATCCGGCGCCCGGCCTGGCCGCACCCATGCCCAGGAGGGCACGAGAGCGGGCAGGATCCGGCGCCCGGCCTGGCCGCACCCATGCCCAGGAGGGCACGCGAGCGGGCAGGATCCGGCGCCCGGCCTGGCCGCACCCATGCCCAGGAGGGCACGAGAGCGGGCAGGATCCGGCGCCCGGCCTGGCCGTACCCATGCTCAGGAGGGCACCAGAGCGGGCAGGATACGGCGCCCAGCCTGAGCCTGGCTATCCAGGGTCTGTCCCTTATGAAAGATCTCATGCATGGGCTCTATGAAAGCTTCTGTCTCCACCACACTTGAAGTAAGGAGTTAGTCTTAATCCTGGCATGCAAGAAGCAGGAGCCGTCCACAGCAGACAGTTGATTTTCCTGCTACATCATTATGGACCTAATGCTGGTGCTGCACACTTTTTAAGCGTTAACTCCGTTTCCTCCGCTCTTCAGTTTTGGTCTCGGGCTCAGCGCGACTCGGAGGCACGCTCCCGTGTCATTTTGTATTTCCGCCCGGTTCTCCCCATGTTGTCTGGGGATGGCCCGGCAAGTCTTTCTCCTTCCCTTTTTTCACTTTTCCTCACAAACCACAGCCTGAGAGGGAGCCACGATGTCATGAAATAAGAGAGACTTTATCCATCACATTTTATGTGAGGACGACGACGCCACTCTGGGAGACAGCCGCCAGCAACAGCCATCTCCAGAGATCAGTGCACGCGGAGGGAGAGCCCCTTCCTCGCCCACACCTGCTACAGCTCCTGACGGCTTCATGGCTCCGGCCAGAATTCGGGAGGGCGGTTGCCAGTGAGGGACAGTCTCCCAGGATTCCCACTAGCACCATCATACACACAGCCCTTCAGATGACATTGCTGTTGACAGTCGTTTTAAAAAAGAAGTTTCAGGGACTGAAAGCAAGTACCCTAAAGCCACCTAACGGAGAGAGGCTTTAACTCTGTGGCCCAGATGAACCCTCAACGTGATGTCTCAGGAGGGCTGAGAGCTCCCCGTCTCTTGAGTCAGACTATTTATACCACACTTGCTTCTCCTGAGGTTCATGACTCCTGAGACAGAAAGCTGAGGGGTCCCCGTAGAAGCCGCTGCTGTCCTCGTGCCTGGAAGGCTTCAGAGAACATAACTGATTGGATTTCACTGTCTCCCAGAAGAGTTTGCTCACGAGATCTGTGAGGTTGCCTGAGCATCAAATGTGTTTTGTAAATTACACGTAATCATGCGTCATCTCACTGGACCCTCACTGGACCCTGGAAACGGGAGGAAAGCCCCTCCAGAGGTGAGGCTGGCCCATCCAGCTTCCCGGCCAGGCCCAGCATAGGCACGCGGAGCGGAAACCCACACCTCAGCACTGTAGCCCGAGCTTCCCCACGTCATGTGACACAACTCGACGTCTGTCGGCAACCCCAGCACTCCTGCCTTTAACTCACCTTTTTTGGTTTTGGGAAAATTTCTTAAAAGCCAATAGACATCTTACGTTTTTAATTACACAAGACTGGTTGTAATACATTTTGTGTATTAGAACCCGGTTTCCAAACCCAGCAGCGTATGGCCAAAGACAAATAGCGTGCTCTAAACGTGGGTGTGAGGCCCCAGCACATGGAGCCTCCCTCATCCTGCACCTCGGCCCATCCCCTCCCCACGTGGTCCAGGTCAGCATCTCGCTGAGGTCAGCAGTTGGGGTGTGTGAGGAGTTACGAGACCCAGTGTTAGATGGAGCCTGTACATTTCCCCGTTTCTGAGCTATTATTCACACGGCCAGCCGCTTTGCACGATGACTTCCCTTCTAAATGAGAGGGCAGGTTTCCCTGTACATAGAAATATGTAAAAATACATAGAATTATTTTTATCGGGAAGCTATTTAGTTATGTTATTGTTTTTTACACGTGGTAATTAAACAGCAAACGTCTTGCCATTTCTTCTGGATGATTTCTAAAGAGCCAATCAAGCAGAATGTGGTGCGTGGTGGCCGTGGGGTACACGGTGGCTGTGGGGTGTGTGGTCAGTGACCACAGGGTGTGCAGTGGCCATAGAGTGCATGGTTCCTGTAGGGTATGTGGTGGCTGTGGAGTGTGTGGTGGTCATGGGGTGTGTGCCAGCTGTGGGTTGGGTGCTGGCTGTGGGGTGTGTGGTGGCCGTGGGTTGTGTGGTGGCTGTGGGGTGCGTGGTGGCTGTGGGTTGTGTGGTGGCTGTGGGGTGCGTGGTGCCCATGGGGTGCATGCTGGCTGTGGGGTGTGTGGTGGCTGTGGGGTGCGTGGTGCCCATGGGGTGCGTGCTGGCTGTGGGGTGTGTGGTGGCTGTGGGATGCGTGCTGGCTGTGGGGTGCGTGGTGGCTGTGGGGTGCGTGCTGGCTGTGGGGTGCATGGTGGCTGTGGGTTGTGTGGTGGCTGTGGGTTGTGTGGTGGCTGTGGGGTGTGTGGTGGCTGTGGGGTGTGTGGTGGCTGTGGGGTGTGTGGTGCCCGTGGGGTGTGTGATGGCTGTGGGGTGTGTGGGGTGCGTGGTGGCTGTGGGATGCGTGGTGGCTGTGGGTTGTGTGGTGGCTGTGGGGTGTGTGATGGCTGTGGGGTGCGTGGGGTGTGTGGTGGCTGTGGGGTGTGTGGGGTGTGTGATAGTGGGGTGTGTGGGGTGCATGCTGGCTGTGGGCTGCACAGTGTCTGTGGGGTACATGGTGGCCAGCGGCCTTCCTTTGGGTGAGCCCCAGCTGGGGTCTGTGTTTAGCTTGAGCCTCTATACCAACTTGAGATGCTTGAAAGATGCTGTGAATTGCAGCTTATTTATCCTTCTGCCTACAGTTGTGGTATTTTTCACATTTAAATTGCAGCACAGTTCTGGGTTCAATGTGTCCAGAAGCCACAGCTCCTACCAAAGGTACAGTCACGGGTGCAACAGACAATATGGGCATTTCTGAGTTGTTTTGGCTCAAGCACGAATGTTTGTGCAGTGACACTGAGACTAACCTGGCGCTCTCCATGCAGGGACTTGACTTTCATAAGACAAGCTTGTCTCAGAGAGGCCAGTTCCCCTGCGTCGTTTCTGCCATGATTCTGCTGTGTAGGCACCAACTGCAGGAGTGTCCGTGGGAGGAGGAGGAGGAGAGGAAGCGGCTTCCTTGGCCGCCACAGTCATGGCCGCAGGAGGGGTCCTTTGGCTTCCTCCCTTCCTCTCTACCATTTCACAAACTCACCCGTTTGTGTCAGGCTGTTTTAAATTTATGGATTTCTTTTAAAACAAGATTGTATTTACTGTAGCCTTGTCGACTTTTTAGGCCTTTGGAGACCCAAAAGGAGCAATTAAGCAAACCCGTGCACCTGACCCCGCCTTCCACCCGCGTGAGCTGCCAGCTAGTTCCCTGGTGGCCGAGCTCACGGGCTGCCGCAAAAGAAAGCCGCCTTTTATGCCTGCAGAGGCTCTGGCTTAAAAGGTGGTGGCCCTCATGGTGTTCCCTGCCCAGGAGAATGGGGTCCTTTAACCAGGGGATGGGAGCTGGAGGGACGGCCAGCTTAGCCCCGACAGTGGCTCCCATCACCACGAGCCCTGTTCCTGCCAGGAAATGCCAGTGTCTCCATCTTCTGTGCTCAAAGGTGGGGAGACCCACCAGCCAGGCAGGGCAGGTGGGGTGGTCATCTCGCGCCCGGCCTCCCTGGTGGAGCCGCTGTGGGGCTGTCCTGACAGCCAGATTCTCCACACCACCTGCTTTGTTCTCCCTTCATGCAAACATGACATTTGGTTCCAACGTGTGTCCTCCCCAGGCCTCCCCGCCACCCCTGCCGTTCCCTCCTAGCTGCCCGCAGTTCTGACTTGGAGGTGCTTCGCAGGCACCTGCTGTGACTTGGAGGTGCTTCGCAGGCACCTGCTACCCTGCTGGGATGATCCTCCTGGAGCCTGAGCCCCCACTGGCTTCACAGTTGCCACCCCATGAAGCCACAGAACCACAGGGAAAGGAAATTGAGGAACCTCGGGAATTTTAAAGCTTCTCTCCTGATTCGCTGGGCGAGGAATGTGGTGTGCACTCAGGTTGCGGCCGGAGAGAAAGGCCTGGGGACCACCTGACTCTGGGCCACCCGGGCCTCCTCAGGTCTTCGGCCAGCGCTGTCCTGCCCACGGTAGTTGGGGTTCCAATGGCTGCGGCTTCTTCCTGTCTGTGGCTTGGACATGCCATTGGCCGCGTCTCTATTTCCTCATCTGCGACTCGGGTGACCACAGTTCTCAGTTCACCGTGTTCGGTAGAGGTGACATGAAGTGCCTGGCACCCATGTGGGTTTCCCTGTGGGATTCTGACCCGCTTCGGAGCTGCCTCCTGCTCCTCATCCCACACTTCTCTGTGTTTCTCATCCTGGCGGCTGTGTCCTGTCTGCCCCTCTCAACTGCAACACGCTGGAGAGGTCGGGACCCTGTCTTGCTCATTATCTGTCTACTAAAGAACCTAGCAAAATGGAAAAATAACAATATGTGCTGAATTAATTATTAGCTTAAAATTTAAAACTTAAGTAGCATGATTTGAGTGCAGCCAGCATCACCTGCCGTGAGATCGGTGCTGTCTACAGGAGGATGGAGCTTTTGGTGAACCACTGAGCTGGGAGTAGCTACGGGCACCTTTACCCAGTCCCAAAATGTGGAACATTTGAGTTTAAAAAGCAGAAAACTCTACAGTTAAAAGCCAATATTAAGGTTGAGTCCATTAATCTAAATTAATCTGATTTTTTATTTCTTTAAATAAAAAAGTAATCCTATGCAATCAAAGTTAAAGTTCGTATATGGCTCCCTATGAGGTACTACATTCCCTGAAGTGTCACAAAAAAAAAAAAAAAGAAAAGAAAGAAAAGAAAACCAGTACAGCTTTGGTTTCTGACGGTGACGGCCTGCTGTTGGTAAGCATCTTATAACAATTTTTCAGCCCAGCTTTCTGGAATTAATGCTAATGAAAGCTGCCCCTGCCTTCGTCTTCTACATGAACACTGAAATTGCAGCCGCCTGCCAGCCGGCTGAGGGATGAGCGTAATAATTTTCAATTGGCCTCTCAGCCCAGAGGGAACGTGGCTAGCAGGAGATTGACAGATGTGGCATGGATTATCTTGTGCTCTGAACTCAGCCCAATTTGTGGTTTGTTGCAGGTGCTAAAGAGATTGATATCGCAGCGACCCTGGAGCACTTGAGGGACCAGAGACCCGGCATGGTCCAGACGAAGGTACTGTCAGTCTCTCCTCCGGGACGCAGACCCATTCAAGGTGCCTCTCTGCGGCCGTGTTCCTGAGAGGAGCACGGGGAGGGCCTGGTTTAATGTGAGCCGCACACCGATTGCTCTGCTCTGACCGGCCTCGTCCATGCCGGCCTTGCATGGGCGGGGTCACTTCTGGGCCCCCAAAGGTCCACTGGCGTTTCCTGCAACACCTCCAGATGCAGCCACATCTCAAGTCCTAGGAACTCGATCCACTGGCTCTTTCCATTCACTAGATTTGGGGGTGGGGGGAGAACGCTGCATTTTTGTAGAAAGAGGTTGACGATAAATCCCAGAACCCTCAGGAGGATGTTCTGAGCTCTCTGAGCGCTGCCCGGCCTCTCCGGGGCCTGCGCTTTGTGGAGGCCCCCAGGGCACAGCATCCTTGAGCACCCAAAATCCCTCATGCTTGCTGAAGAGGCCCAGTTTGCAGCAACAGAGGTCAAAACAAAAAAAATTCTGGTGAGCTTTGGCTCAACAAGAACTGGACGTGAGGTTGACGTGTGTCTGGTCTCTCTGGCCCTGAGGCTGGGGTTGGTGTGCCTTTGGCCTCTCTGCTCCTTGGTTTCATTTCGCCCTCTCTGTGCAACTGGTAGGACCATCACGTGATTTTGTGAAAGTTCTTTGTAAGTCTTGGGACACTATATTTTATTCGGTTTTTGTTGTTGTTGTTGTTTGTTTGTTGTTGTTGTTGCTTTCTGAGACAGAGTCTCACTCTGTCACCCAGGCTGGAGTGCAGTGGCACGATCTCAGCTCACTGCAACCTCCACCTCCCAGGTTAAAGCGATTCTCCTGCCTCAGCCTCCCAAGCAAAAAATATAAATAAAATGCAGAAATAATCCACCAACCCTCCACCAAGTTTCCCCAAATGTGAACACCTCACATAACCACAGCGCAGTGACCAAACCCAGGAAGTCAGCACCGATGCAAACCACTGACCAACAGGCCCAGCGATGCCCTACGCGCCCCCCCAGGGAGCTTCCCCTGGAGCAGGACACGCCCAGGGCGGCCACGCGAGGGGCATCATGGTTCCTCTGCTGTCCGGGACGCTTCACGGCTGTGAGGTCTTCTAGAGCGCCAGCGGCCTTGCTCTTTGTGGAACGTCTCTTGTCTAGGCGTGTCCCACGTCCCCCATGGTCAGGGCAGGGGGCAGGACTGTCCCTCACGAGGGAGCGGCACATCTACACCCACTGAGGCGTGTGTGTCTGGAGGCTTCTGCGTGGCTGCGTGATGATTTTTCCCTGTGTGGTTACTCAGTGTCCCGCGGGGAGAAGCTGGGACTGTGCACATGTCTGTCTTTCCTTCTGCTTGTTCACAACAGCATTCGGCATGTGTTGCGAGGCTGTCGAGAGAGGAGGTGACACGGGACAGCTGCTGTTCCAGCAGCAACAGCCATCAAAACAAAAAAGTTCTCATGAGCTTTGGCTCAACAGGAACTGGACGTGAGGTTGACGTGTGTCTGGCCTCTCTGTACCAAGGAGTTCCAGGTTTTGTGCCATGGAAGGGTCCAACCTTGGAAGGGTCCATCTTGCCGCACTGACCATCCTCCTGTACTGGCTGCCTAGCAGTAAAAGAGGTGGCCTTGTCAAGGCTGGCACATACCACCTTCTGGCTGGCCCTGCATCCCGTGAGCTTCAGGTGGCTCTGAACTGGACAGAGGAGGCCATGGAGGCTGGGAGAACGGGGCACACATTACCAGGAATGGTCAGCGAGAGCCACCTCAGGCAGGTGTGTTCGTGACTCCACAGTGAGGCCCACTCTGGGATAAGCCCCAGGAAATCTAAATTCAAAGTAGTTTCCTCCCCACACCTCTGCCTGCCTCTCAGGCAGCCTCTCCCTCCAGACGGGTGAGTTCACCCAGAACACCTGCCTGTCAGGCAGCCTCTTCCCTCCAGACAGGTGAGTTTGCCCAGAACACACACTGGCTTTAGGATGGGTCTGGGCAAAATCATCGCAAGGGGATATCTTTGCCAAAAGTGAAAAAAATCACAAGGAGCAAACCCTCCAAGCCTCCCATTGTATGTATCCTGTTCGCCAGAACAAGCCCTTCCTGGCACACAGATGGCTGAGGTGCACAACGGTGGTCCCAGGACCCTTCGTGAAGTGAGGTGCTTTGGGACTCATCAGAGAAAGAGGAAGCCACAGTCACAATCATTACATGCCAGGTCTTCCGTTCTACTCCATTTTTAAATGGCAAGATGGCAGCAAAGACATGGAACCAACGCAAATGCCCATCAATGATAGACTGGATAAAGAAAATGTGGCACATATACACCATGGAAGACTATGCAGCCATAAAAAGGAATGAGATCATGTCCTTTACAGCGACATGGATGGGGCTGGAAGCCATCATCCTCAGCAAACAAACACAGGAACAGAAAACCAAACACTGCCTGTTCCCACTTATAAATGACAGCTGAACAATGAGAACACATGGACACTGGGAGGGGAATAGCACACACTGGGGCCTGTCAGTGGGGAAGGGGGATGGGGAGCATCAGGATGATAGCTAATGCATGCGGAGCTTAATTCCTCGGTGATGGATTCATGGGTGCGGCAAACCACCATGGCATACGTTTACCTATGTAACAAAGCTGCCCGTCCTGCACATGTATCCCAGAACTTAAATATAAATAAATAAATAAATAGCAAGATGATAACACATACACACCCCAGCCCTGTTGCCCAGATCACTTGGTGACCCGAAGCTCCGTTTTCTGCACTCCAGATAACAGAGTCAGCTTCCTAGCTGCTTCCTTCTTGGACTGGGCGTCCGGAGGAGTTCACCCTCTTCCTCAGGGTGTGTGTTCAGGAGCTGTCTTGGAGCATGCACATAAATTCAGCTCCTGGAACTTCAAGGCATAAGGAAATGGAACCATGCGAAAGTCACCATCACATCTTAATCCGTGACTGCGCTGCCCAACATCGCCCCGAGACTAAACTTCCCCTACAAGTTCAGTTTCACAAAGATAGAAAAATTATTTGGGCAAAATGCTGCTGTCCAATCTGAATGCTTGCTTCTACGAAGCCAAGAGGAGGCGCCTGCAGCTCCTTTGAACGGAGGAAGTCACGTCGCCTGGTTTGGAACTGAAGACAAGGAAAGAGCGAGCCGTCGAGGGTGAGCACCCGGAGACCATGACCAGGATGACCGCAGGCCCTGACAGCAAAACATCATCGTTGTGGTAAAAAAGATGCCCCTCAGGAGAGCTGTTTCCTCCCTGGAATTTGGGTCGAATAGAAAATGTTTCACCAGCGCCCACCTGAGCATTTGGCAACTCAGTCCCCGACCACAAACTCCATCATCTTAGAAGAGAAGTCCAGGCACCCAGGGGCTGAACGGCAGTGCGGGCTTTGACACCACACGAGCCGCCAGAGAGGCGGCACACTCAGCCACACACACTGTGTACACCCACACACCTGCACACTGCGCACACCCACACGCAGCCAGGGACACTGCACACCCACACACCTGCACACACCCATGCATACATCCACACACACCTACACACCCACTCACGCAGTGCACACCCACACTCAGCCACACACTGCGCATCCCCATGCACACACCCAGGCACACCCCCCACACACACCTACACACCCACGCATGTGGTACACACCCACATACAGCCGTGCACACTGCTCACACGCACACACCTGCACACAGTGCACACCTACACACAGCCACGGACACTGCGCACACCCACACATTGCACACACACCCACAGACACCCACAAACACCACTCAGCCACACACTGCACACACCCACACACCTGCACACACCCATGCATACACCCCACACACACCTACACACCCACCCACGGGGTGCACACCCACACACACACCCATGCACACTGCACACACCCACACACCTCCACAGGTGTACACACAGTGCACACCCACACACAGTCATGGACCCTGCACACCCACACACCTGCACAGCTGTGCACACCCCCACACACATCCACACACCCACCTGTACACACCCATGCACACCTGCACTGCTGCACACACCCACACACACCTACACACCCACACACGATGCACATCCACACACAGCTGCATGCACGCACACACACCCGCACACATTCCCGTGTGCACACACCCTCAGCAGACACAAGGGATGCCAGACAAGGCTGAAATCACCCCTCTCTCCCGTCCATGCCTCTGTGGTAGATGATGGGTTCTTCCCTTCCTTCCCTCCACACGTCTCAAGAGTTTCCCATTTCACCAAGGACCTTAACACTTTCCTGCCCACAATGGTGTTTCCTCTTTTACATCTGTCAGTTCCAGAAGTAGAGCCAGTGATGAGTGTGTCCCACACCCAAGAAGCCCCATGCCCTCCTCACTGGACGGGAGGCCCCGCCCCCTCCTCACTGGACGGGAGGCCCCTCGCATGTCCACGTGCTGCCCGTGCGTCACTCTCCCCAACCTGCCGTCTCACATCTGCATTTTAGTTTCTTCCCCATTTTCTTCTGCACCAGCCCCTTGTCCTAAAGCCTGACCTCAGCCTCCTCCTCAGACGTACCCGGTGTTGTCCTCCGTCCCAGAAGCAGGGCGTTGCCCAGACATGCTCCTATCTTCCCAACCCAGCACAGCACCGGAGTGACAGACACGGATTCTGTCACGCGTAGCGCAGTCCACGCTCACACATCAGCTCCAGGCCCGCAGCCCACTTCTCCCAAGGCCTCCCGTGCCATTGAAACTGTTCATTTCCGTAGCTCTCCATCTCTCTCCACCTCTCTCCGTCTCTCTCCACCTCTCTCCGTCTCTCTCCGCCTCTCTCCGCCTCTCTCCATCTCTCTCCACCTCTCTCCGCCTCTCTTCACCTCTCTCCGTCTCTCTCCACCTCTCTCCGTCTCTCTCCACCTCTCTCCGTCTCTCTCCACCTCTCTCTGTCTCTCTCCACCGCTCTCCATCTCTCTCCACCTCTCTCTGTCTCTCTCCATCTGTCTCCCATCTCTCTCCATCTCCGTCTCTGTCCCTCCGCCCTGGTGTACACACACACAATGCCTAGTCCCTAACTTGGGCAGGGCTCAACTCTCACGGTGTGGCTTGGAGCTTGTCTACTTTTGTGAAAAGAGAAGCTGAAGGTGACAGACACAGGAAGGTGTGTCATCCTCACCCCCTTTTGAGAGGTGCTGGGGGAAGCTGCCCCGCAGTTATGTGTGCAGCCTCCTGGAGGGCACAGGTGGCTCAGAGACACGATCACTGAGGTCCTCTTTAAGGTTCCTATTTGTACATCTCCACCCAGGCCTTTGTTTACACCTGAAGGATTACAAATATAAACATAAGCACAAATAGAAATCCAAGCAGCCTCCACAAAGCTCCACGGCTTCCAGCCCTGGCTGACCCTTACCCCAGCAGCGGGTGTCCGAGAGCCATGGCAGCTCCTGCAGCCTCCATCCCTCCACCAACTATGTGGGCACCCCGTGGTTGTCCCAGGACAGCCTGAGAAGGGGCGTTCCCACTCGCTGTCCAGCGTGGACCCAGGGGTGGTGACCAGACAGCCTGACCTGGCCTGAGCCTGGCTCGGCCGTCCCACCTCAGCCACTTCTCCACCGGGTGCAGTTCTACTGGAAGAAGCCGTGGGATCTTTCTCCAACAGGCCTCAAATTTTATTGTAGTATGTGTTCAAAAATGCTTTCTTGCTTAGAATGTCCTGACTCGGCCTCTCGAATGTCCTGTCTTTGCAAACCCAGGAGGCTTTGCACCCCTCCTGTTCAGACTGCTGGCACTCAGATGCAGTTTAGGCTAAGATGGTCATCTGGTCATCTGTTGCTGTTGTATTTTACTCCTTTGAAATAAACTCCTATCATAAAAGTTATCCAAATGCTGGGGTTTTCCCAGCCTACCCGGGATCTAGAGCATGGTTCTAGGTGATACTTGCTCAGCGGATTCTGCTCAGAACGTGGCCACAGACCTTCGAGGACCCACAGGGCTTGGGTGCTACATCCCGGCGCCGCATGCAGCTGACACTTCACGATAAAGGACAAGATGATCCACAAGCCCCTGTCCCCTCAAACGCCAGCTCTGAGGCTCACAGCACCCCTCCGGGAAGCACCCCCTCCTCCTGCCAGCCGACGCCCACAGGGCCCAGTGGGCTCTGAGTAAGGTGCACGGCACACACCAGCCCACACGCCCGGTGGAGCTTCTCCTTTGAGCTAAACAGTGCGGTAACAATTGCCAAACATGGCCAGTGAGTAGAGCACCTGTCTCTGTGGCCCGGTTCCCTTCCTGCTGCTCTGTCCGGTGACTGTGCAGTGTTGGAAACAGTTATGATCCAGACCCTGGTGGAGTTCCCCCTGCCCGTCCCCTCCCCCATAGCATGGATATTGGGCTTTCCTGTTGGATGCCGCAAGTGGCTGCCTGAGAGGCCGCTGGGCAGCTCTGCAGGATTAGCACTGGCCCTGGGGGTGGAGCGCTTTCCAGCCTCCACTGCATGATGGGGCTGCGGGGCGGCAGCGCTTCTCTATTCTTCCCTTTAAAGATCATTTCTCAGGCTAGATTTCCAGTGTGTCGGAAGATGTAAATAGATAGATGACACTTGCATTTCGCTTCCCAAAAAGCCACGCTTAATTTTTGGCATCTCCAAGCCCTCACAGAGCCTCAGGGCACTGGCAGCCCAGCACTGGGGAAGAAATGGTCTGAATGGCTGTTGTGTATTTAGCCTGGATCCCCTAAACAGCACCTTCATCGAACACACTTGGTGTGGGAGGGGCAGGAGTCAGCATTTAGACAGAACGTTTGCGGACCTTCCCGGCACAGCCCGACCTGAGCCCCTGCCCCCACAGGGGCAGCTCCCACGTAATTTCGAGGAGCAGAAAGGTGCCCTCTGGCAGTGCAGAGGGGAGAGAGACGGGGCGCAGGCAGACACATCTCCCCGGGTCCCACCCTGAGGTGGCCGCCAGGCTCAGTTGACTCCTTTAATAATAGGTTCTAACACGTACACTAAGAGGCCGCGTGGCCACACTACCAAAGGCAGGTAGAGTCCAGCAGACCATTCCGTCAGCATCAGGGCAGAAGAATATGAAAGGAGAAACTGTCTTTTGTCTCAGAATGAGCATCACGTTATTTTGACTTTCTGATGTCTCGGTTCAAGCTATTTTCCATCTTTCTGTTATGCACTAAACATTCAAAACTGGAAATTAATCATCGTTTTTGGCTTGGGGCTGCCCTGTTCCTTAAATGATCAAGTATTGGAGCTGTCAACAGGGCTTTCCTTCCAGAAGTTGTTAGCTGGGTAACAGTGTTGTTTCCGTCCACGCGTTCTCAGCTGTAGCTGGAGTGCTGCTGGCCTGCTTTGGAGTTTTCCATAGCAGTGTTTTGAGGTGGAAACTGAAGAGCAAGAGGAAATGAGCATTTATCCACCTCATCTGTGGGAGAGGAGGCAGATACGCTCTCCGGCGCTAAGCCCTGGTCTTTGGAGGAGCGAATAGTCCTGGCATCGTGAACCCGTCCCTCGTGCCCACTGGATGCTCTCGGCAGGCTGTCCGTGGAGGGAGGGGTGCCCCTCAGGTGTGCCTGCCCAAGTGGCTGTGGACGCGCATGCCCTGAGCCAGGAGGGGTGTGGACAAGGGGAGGTTTCTCAGCATGTGGAACGGAGTGGGTTTGGTCTGAGTAACAGGTGGATTTCAAAAGCGATGATAACACCACACTTCCGAGGACAGGAAACGCCCAAGCATGGCCCTCATTGTGAGTTTTAATGGCCACGTCTTTGTAGTGTCTGCACCTGCCCCTCACACCGTCCACCAAGGCGGGTGGCTGTGAGGAGGAATCGTGGAGTCGTAGGGTCAGAAGGACAGGGCAGTACGCAGGAACCGTTGCCTTCTCGCTGCTTCTGTGGGCAGCTTCTCCCCGCAGGGGGAAAGATGAGGCTTTTCTAGTGCGAGAGAAGCTCAAACATGTGTCACTGTTGTGTCTCCCAAACCGAAGGGTACACTGTCCTTTCTAAGGAAATCTGAGCCTTTTGCTTTTTTTTGCTAAACAATTTCTTTCTGCGAAATGGCCCGGGGAGCTGATGCTGCGTTGGGAAGGGGGGACGCCGCTTTCATCTGCAGGGAGCCGACGCTGTGGCAGGAGTCGGGGGGACGCCGCTCTCATTGGCACTTCTCTCGTTTCTCGCCCTGCAGGAGCAGTTTGAGTTCGCGCTGACAGCCGTGGCTGAGGAGGTGAACGCCATCCTCAAGGCCCTTCCCCAGTGAGCGGCAGCCTCAGGGGCCTCAGGGGAGCCCCCACCCCACGGATGTTGTCAGGAATCATGATCTGACTTTAATTGTGTGTCTTCTATTATAACTGCATAGTAATAGGGCCCTTAGCTCTCCCGTAGTCAGCGCAGTTTAGCAGTTAAAAGTGTATTTTTGTTTAATCAAACAATAATAAAGAGAGATTTGTGGAAAAATCCAGTTACGGGTGGAGGGGAATCGGTTCATCAATTTTCACTTGCTTAAAAAAAATACTTTTTCTTAAAGCACCCGTTCACCTTCTTGGTTGAAGTTGTGTTAACAATGCAGTAGCCAGCACGTTCGAGGCGGTTTCCAGGAAGAGTGTGCTTGTCATCTGCCACTTTCGGGAGGGTGGATCCACTGTGCAGGAGTGGCCGGGGAAGCTGGCAGCACTCAGTGAGGCCGCCCGGCACACAAGGCACGTTTGGCATTTCTCTTTGAGAGAGTTTATCATTGGGAGAAGCCGCAGGGACAGAACTGAACGTCCTGCAGCTTCGGGGCAAGTGAGACAATCACAGCTCCTCGCTGCGTCTCCATCAACACTGCGCCGGGTACCATGGACGGCCCCGTCAGCCACACCTGTCAGCCCAAGCAGAGTGATTCAGGGGCTCCCCGGGGGCAGACACCTGTGCACCCCATGAGTAGTGCCCACTTGAGGCTGGCACTCCCCTGACCTCACCTTTGCAAAGTTACAGATGCACCCCAACATTGAGATGTGTTTTTAATGTTAAAATATTGATTTCTACGTTATGAAAACAGATGCCCCCGTGAATGCTTACCTGTGAGATAACCACAACCAGGAAGAACAAATCTGGGCATTGAGCAAGCTATGAGGGTCCCCGGGAGCACACGAACCCTGCCAGGCCCCCGCTGGCTCCTCCAGGCACGTCCCGGACCTGTGGGGCCCCAGAGAGGGGACATTTCCCTCCTGGGAGAGAAGGAGATCAGGGCAACTCGGAGAGGGCTGCGAGCATTTCCCTCCCGGGAGAGGAGATCAGGGCGACCTGCACGCACTGCGTAGAGCCTGGAAGGGAAGTGAGAAACCAGCCGACCGGCCCTGCCCCTCTTCCCGGGATCACTTAATGAACCACGTGTTTTGACATCATGTAAACCTAAGCACGTAGAGATGATTCGGATTTGACAAAATAACATTTGAGTATCCGATTCGCCATCACCCCCTACCCCAGAAATAGGACAATTCACTTCATTGACCAAGATGATCACATGGAAGGCGGCACAGAGGCAGCTGTGTGGGCTGCAGATTTCCTGTGTGGGGTTCAGCGTAGAAAACGCACCTCCATCCCGCCCTTCCCACAGCATTCCTCCATCTTAGATAGATGGTACTCTCCAAAGGCCCTACCAGAGGGAACACGGCCTACTGAGCGGACAGAATGATGCCAAAATATTGCTTATGTCTCTACATGGTATTGTAATGAATATCTGCTTTAATATAGCTATCATTTCTTTTCCAAAATTACTTCTCTCTATCTGGAATTTAATTAATCGAAATGAATTTATCTGAATATAGGAAGCATATGCCTACTTGTAATTTCTAACTCCTTATGTTTGAAGAGAAACCTCCGGTGTGAGATATACAAATATATTTAATTGTGTCATATTAAACTTCTGATTTCACATTCAGGTGGTCTTTATTTGGGGAGGAGGAACAATTGTTTCCATCCGTCTTTTTGTTTCCTAAGCCACTGGACTGTAGATGCTGAAACAAAGCGTGGGCGTTTCCTAGAACTCCAGGTCATGTTGCTACTTTATCTGCAGCATTAGATGTGTACTAAGGGCCAGGGTGTCGCTGAGGTTTCATCTTTAAAACAGGATTAAACAGTCTCAGTAAGGAGCCGCAGATCGCATCCATGCCACACACGCCCTCCGTGCCCCTCCGTGCACTGGCACCACCTGGATAGGGCACCCTGGGGTGGGAGATGCCCCCTTCCTCCCCATTCTCAGTCCTAGATGCTAACAACGGGCCCTGACCCAGTGAGGCTCATAATGTCTCTCACCTAGCACTCCGATTCCATCTAGGGACTGTCCTTCTGTCCTTGGTGGGAAGGGAGACCTCGTCCCCACCAGCCACACAATCACACCCCTCCACCTGGCAGGAAAATGCAGCGGGAATATTCAAACTGTAAGCAAAGAGGCAGGCACTCCGGGGCGTGGTGCAGCGACCAACCTTCCGTCCTGCCCTCGGCTATCTCCACTGGCAACAGTGAGAGACCGAGGACAGCAGAGTGGGCTCGTCCCAAAATCAGGTAACTCCTAAGCAGTGCCCTCCAGCTAGAGGAGCTTGGTGTTTAAGAAACAAATATTGAATGATATTTGTTAATGCACAGGAAGGAAAACTTGATTCAGGACCAGCACAATTGGTACAGGGAGAGTGCCGGGGGATTTTGCAGTGGGGGAGAGAGACTGGGCTCGTCTCCGTCCATTTCACATTGCTCTGAAGGAACACCTGAGGCTGGGCAATTTATAAGGAAACGAGGTTTTTGGCTCATAGCTCTGCAGGCTGTATAAGAAGCATGACGCCAGTGTCTGCATCTGGGGAGGCCCCGTGTGTGTGCAGAGCTCAGATGGAGAGAGAGGAAGCAGGAGATGGCATGGAGGGAGGGCCAGGCTCTTTTTAACAACCAGCTTTCATGGGAACTGCCAGAGTAAGAACTTGTCCCCCACCCCAGAGCATTAATCTATTCATGAGGTATCCACCCCCATGACCCAAAAACCTCCCATTACGCCCTACCTCCAGATTTCAACATGAGGTTTGCAGAGTCCAATACTCAAACCCTAGCAGGGCTCAGCTCCAAACACCACATGGGCAGCGGGGCTTCCCAGCCAAGGAGTGGGCTGGGATGAGTGGATGGAGAGTTACCAAAAGGAAGCCTCAGGGTCAGGGGATTCTGGCTAAACCCACCTAACAGGGTTCTTGCTGAAGGCAAGCCAGGGTGACCGCCATCACCTGGGGATGGTGGAGGATGAGGGACCCAATCCGATATCGAGGGTGAAAAAATATCAAGGTGATCAGATATCAAGAATTGGGGGGGATGGCTCTTGCTAAACTGACTTTGCAGGATTCTTTGCTGAAAATGTCATTTTACAAGGACATGCACAGACCGGCCTAGAAGAAGGTTCCAAAGCCCGACTAAAGGTTGGTCAAGCAGAGAATCTTTACACCTTTGTTCTCTTCTTTCCTTTGAAAAATATAAGTTCCCGTTCTTGTTTTGTTGCCTTTTGTTCAGTGAGGACTGGCAGAGTCACCAGCTGGGGCTTGGTGGTGGAGGAGTTCAGCTGGGTGGTATGAGGCATCAGGGCTTTAGTGAGGGGAATTTAGTTTCTACAAAAAGAAAAAGAAAAATAGTTGGGACAAACTATGAACTCCGATTCTGAGCCCAGAGGGCAGGCAGTCCAGAAGCTTTCTAGATGCTGGGCTGGTGCATCTCCGGCTGGAGGGGAGCGGGCCGTCCTAAACCACAGGCTCCCTGGTTGGCAGTTTGGATGCCATGAAAGTTGTCCCTATGAGTGCTGAGGTTTATATCAAGTCGTCCAGCTCCAGCTTGCAAGGCTTCAGGAAAAAGGCAACAATTCCCAATTTGAAGAATGGAAGAAAATGGGAAATAATAGTTTGGAAAGTCGTAGTCAGATGTTGGAGGGAACAAGAAGAATTCTGGATCCATTTCAGATTGCAGGTAGGTAGTAAAACCTCAAAGAGGCCAGAATCTAACAGTAGATGTACTATAGTTTTCTCCTGAAACATAATTTTTCTCTCTCAAATCGCCTTCATTTCTAACCAAAATAATCAAAGTTAGACTGATTTGTTTGCAAAATAAGTTTAGTGTCATAAACTTGTCTTGATTATTTGTATCACCGCAGCAAGAATAGTGATTGACAGGCTTTTTAAAGTTTGCTTTGCTGGAACTTTTGACAAAGAGTCTCAGATTGGACCGGTAAAGACTCTTGAGGCTGTGAAAACACACCAAGGCCTTGCTTCAGGCTGTATGTGTAGCACCTATAGATTTGGGCGAATTCTCTCTTCTCAAGGTTCCCAAAATATCCTGTTTCCTGGGCCTGCCAAGAAGTGACATCCCTAACCACCTGTAAAACTGGAAACAGGGAAGCTTTTCCAGTGGGGGCTTTACTGGCCCCATAAAGTCAACCTCAGTTTCTTAAAGTTGTCTAGTCATATCTGAAAATATGACATAGCAGTCAAAGCCTTGGTAATATAACCAGCATTTCTAGTGATGTCTTAGTACAAGGACAACAGATTCTTACTGAACTTATGCAAATAACTATATTGCCACAAAAATAAGAATACTCACAGTTTCTGAATTCTAGATGGATCAGGTAAGTAGAAAAAGTAATTGTTTCAGTTTTTATTCACAAAAGTTTACTGAACTTCTGTAAACTATAGATAGGGTTAAAAAATCTTAATTAAAATAAAACATTTAAATCAATTAATACAAAAAATTTAAAGAACCACCAATATTTCCAGCAAAAAATCATTCTAAAATATCCTCATCGGTGTAGTTAGTCCCATGTAATTAATTCTGTCCTGCTTGATCTTAGTTAGCAATTTTATGAACTCATTGGTTTCTTCATTAGAGTTCTGGAAATTCTTACCCAGCCCAGTGGCATCTTAAATTTATCAGAAGCCAGTATTTCAGAGTGCTTGTCAGAGTATTTTCCATGATTTTTTGAAGAAGAAGTAATCTTGGACTGTAACTAATGGCAAATGCTTTTAGAGAAGAATTAAAATAAAAGAATAGCTGTCTATGAATGACAGAGACTTAAAACAATCATGGTTAAAAATCTGATGAGAGTTTATTTTAAAAATGATGTGATTGGCAAGGAAATTTGGTTATTTGTGTAGTACACAACATCTTAGTATAACCAAAATTTTGACTGATAACACATTAGATTTCTAGAAATCTCATACAATTTTTGGAACACTCATATCAGTAACATACCCATAAATATAACTCACAGAAGATTTATTTGGAAATGCTTCCTATATAATTTAACATATAAAATAAGAATAATTGTTTAATATTACTCTATTACAAGGTGAGAGACACATTTTTTGACCTTCCAGGGGCCCAAGTGGAAAGTCCCAAAGTTAATTTGAAGTCACAAAGACTTAATTTAGAATTTGATTTTGGGAAGTTTGTACAAAATGTCAAAAAGTTTAAGACACTTTATTAAATATGATATTGATTAATCAAAGCGATAAAATAAAGGCAAATGCAGAAGGTTACATAGTTGTAGACAAGAACTTAGTTCTTTTAATACTTAGAAGATCTGCTTTTCTTAAGTAATCAAAGACCTAATAAAAGACAACATGAAACACAAGAAATTATCTTGATAAAACACAAAATATTTGCTTCCTAGGTCAATTACTTAAAAGACAAGGAAACTCCTTCATATTCTCAGATCAATACTCCAAGAAAAATTTGTCATTTTAACAGATAAGACCAAATTCTACTTTTGCGTCAATGTACAACTAAAACTAATTTTTCATAAAACCTTATAAGTGAAGTTATCCATTTTTAGTCAGTTTTGACCACACAAGATAAGATTTTCACAACACTTTTACAGCCTCTTTTTTTCCTTTCACAACTGACATGCGTCAAGCAATTAAGCAATTCATTTTTAGTATGCATTCCACTGTACGGTGGGAGTTATAATTTTATGGCCTGAAACATCTAACAGAGACAACACAAACCTGTCCGGCAAAAACAGACAAAATTGTATGTCTGTATTATATTTAATGCTGACAATTTTGAAGATATTTCTGTTTTTATTTTTATCAGTAATTGTAAAACTAGTTTATTTTTAAAGAATTACTCAAGTCACATGAGCTAAAGGGCAATTAAGTTGGTTTCTATTTTCTGAGATAATACTTTATATAGTGCTTATTTTAAGCTAATCAAATAGAGCTCTTTTGTGTATGTTGGCAGCATCACCCAGAGATAGAAAAATATTCCATACCCATAACATATATATATAGATCCACACTTAAATGTACAGATGGATGCAAGCAGATCTTTTAATTTTTCAAAATTTTAGTCATGAGGCAGTAAAACAGACTAATACATACAAACTCATTGGTTTATCTCCACTTAATATTTTTATACAAATTGTGTTTCTGATGAAAATGGAACAAGCTGAGGATACCTACTTAATAAGGGATACAGCTATTTACCAATATTTGTCGAGAAGGCCTTTAAGATTTTTCACTTGCCCAGTTCCAAAGAGTTTCTTTTTCCTCTTTTCTGCCTCAAGTGGAATTTTCAAGACACTCTTGAGTCCCTTGAGCCTCCAGTGGATCCCTTTAGACCCCAGTAGGAGTCTAGAGTTCAAGTGGGTGAGGGGCTGGAGTAGGGAGGGAGAGGAAAGGGCCTGGCAGGGGTGGACAGAGTTAGCAGAGCTCAGAGTCAGCTGGGGTGCGGGAAGAGGGATTCCAGGTGACAGAGAAGTCCCCATGGGAGAAGCAGGAGCTGGTAGAAAACAGACAACAGAGAAAAGAGGGGGGCCTCACAGAGAGCCAGGAGGAAGGTACTTCCAGCCCAGGGAATGAGAGACAAATCCCCACTCAGGAACGAGAGCCAGGAGGAAGGTACTTCCAGCCCCACAGTTACCTTCCCAAGGAAGCCTGAGATTCACCTAGCCTCAGAGAGATATTCATACCTGAAGAATCTAAATCTGTGCTGACTACCTTCAACAGACATTTGGTTCAAGAGTCTGACTCACCAGTGGACCCCACTCAGTCAGGAGTGAAGACAAAGTTTCAAAGGCGTACACTTAGGGTCCTGGATAAGGGCCCAGGGGTCCCATGGTCAATCTGATTCTGTCAGATCACAACACCATGATTGTTAAAGAAAAAATTATTCAATGATACCTGTTAAAAGCACAATAAGGAAGACTTTATTCAGAGCCAACACGATAGGTGTAGGGGCCATGACAATGGGGCCTTGCAGTAGGGAAGAGAGGCTGGCTCAGCTCCAAACACAGCACAGGAGGTTGGGGATCCATAACCAAAAAGCAGGGTAAAGGTGAGTGGATGCAGTGTTACTAAGAGGAAATGTCAGGGTCAGGAGATTCTGGCTAAACCCACCTAACAGAGTTCTTGCTGCAGGCGGGCCAGGGTGACCGACATCACCTGGGAGGTGGTAAAGGATGAGGGACCCGATCAGATATCAAGGGTGACCAGATATCAAGGATGGGTGGAGGCACAGTTCTTGCTAAACTGACTTAACATGGTTATTTGCTGAAATTGGATTTTACAAAGAAGGGCACAGATGGGACTAGGAGGAGGTTGAAGAGCTTAACTAAATTTGGGCCAGCAGAGCAATCAGGCAAGATAAATAAAAGGCAAAAAATCAGTAGCATTTCTATACACTAACAGCACCCAAGCCATGAGCCAAATCAAGAATGCAATCCCATTCACAATTGCCACAAAAAGAATAAAATATCTAGGAATACAGCTAACCAGAGAGGTAAAAGATCTCTACAATGAGAATTACAAAACACTGCTTGAAGAAATCAGAGATGACACAAACAAATGGAAAATCATTCCATGCTCATGGATAGAAGAATCGATATCGTTAAAATGGCCATACTGCCCAAGGCAAGTTACAGATACAGATTCAGTGCTATTGCTATCAAACTACCAATGACATTCTTCACAGAAGTAGAAAAAACTATTCTAAAGTTCACATTGAACCAAAAAAGACCCCGAACAGCCAAGGCAATTCTAACCAAAAAGAACAAAACTGGAGGAATCACATTGCCAGATGTCAAACTATACTACAAGGCTACAGTAACCAAAACAGCATGGTACTGGTGCAAAAACAGACACATAGACCCAATGGAACAGAATAGAGAACCCAGAAATAAAGCCACACACCAACAGCCATCTCATCTTTGACAAAGCTGACAAAAACAAGCAACAGAAAATGGACTCCCTAATCAATCAATGGTGCTGGGATAGCAGGCTGGCCACATGCAGAAGATTGAAACTTGACCTCTTCTTTATACCACATACAAAAATTAACTCGAGATGGATTAAAGACCTAAATGTAAAACCTAAAATTATAAAAACCCTGGAAGATAACCTAGGAAATACCATTTTGAACATAGAAACTGGCAAAGATTTCATGACAAAAATGCTAAAAGCAATTGCAACAAAGGCAAAAACTGACAAATGGGACCTAATTAAACTAAAGAGCTTCTGCACAGCAAAAGAAACCATCAACAGAGTAAACAGACAACCTACGGAAGGGGAGAAAATATTTACAAAATATACATCTGACAAAGGTCTAATATCCAGAATCTACAAGGCTCTTAAACAAACATACAAGCAAAAAATAACTCCATTAAAAAGTGGGCAAAAGGCATGAACAGACACTTTTCAAAAGGAGACATACATGTGGCCCACAGGCATATGAAAAAATATTCAATATCACTAATCGGAGAAATGTAAATCAAGACCACAATAAGACACCATCTCACACCAGTCAGAATGGTTATTATTAAAAACTCAAAAAACAACAGATGCTGGCGAGGCTGTAGAGAAAAGGCAACACTTACACATTGCTGGTAGGAGTGTAAATTAGGTTCAACCATTGTAGAAAGCAATGTGGAGATTCCTCAAAGACCTAAAAACAGAACTACCATTTGACCCAGCAATCCCACTACTGGTAAATACCCAAAAGAATAAAAATTGTTCAACCATAAAGACACATGCACACATATGTTCATTACAGAACTATTCACAGCAGCAGAGACCTAAATGCCCATTGACCGTAGACTGAATGAAGAAAATGTGTACATATACACCATGGAATACGGTGCGGCCATACAAAAGAATGAAGTCATGTCCTTTGCAGGAATATGGATAGAACTGGAGGCCATTATCTTTAGCAAACTAATACAGGAACAAAAAACCAAATACCACATGTTCTCACTTATAAGTGGGAGCTAAATAATGAGAACACGTGGACAGAAAGAGCGGCGCATCAGACACTGGGGCCTACTTGAGGGTGCAGGGTGGGAGGAGAGGCCCAGGGCAAAACAAAAAACA
Source organism: Homo sapiens (assembly GCF_000001405.40). Classification (NCBI taxonomy): domain Eukaryota; kingdom Metazoa; phylum Chordata; class Mammalia; order Primates; family Hominidae; genus Homo; species Homo sapiens. Next base: position 157,531,607 of record NC_000007.14, on the reverse strand, counting down.
AAAAAAAACTGTAGGGTACTATGCTTAGTACCCAGGGGACGAAATCATCTGTATACCAAACCCCCGAGTCAAGAGTTTACCTATATAACAAACCAGTACATATACCTCTGATCCTAAAATAAAAGTTAAAAGATTCTTTAAAATATAAATAAAGTCGGGCCAAGCGAAGGGTCTTTGTCAGTGTCCACCAACATGCTGGTGTTCCTTTCTTAAGAAGCCCAATTCTCAGTCTCAGTGGATTGACTCTCAGCTTCGCTCCTGTGGGTGCAGTTTCTCAGGCTTTCCTTCTTGAGTGTGAGCCATGTCGGAACCCTGCCTACACCTCCGGGAAGCTTCTGCTTTCCCTGTGTCGTGAGAGGTTGCTGAGACCCGGCCACCGAACATCTTATGTGAGGATGTGTGACAATATGGAAGCTTCTCATGATGAATGCATTTCAGAATTTAGGTCCGAGGACAATAGGGCAGGCTGAAATGCCGTGTAAATATTCCACTCCTGATACGATTATTTAGAAATGCTGGACAGAATGTACTAAAGTAACTTTTAAAATGTGTAGCCAAGCTCTAAAGAAAGAGAACTCCTCAAGGTCTTATTCCAAAGAGGGAGCTGGAGGTCAGTGTGGGAAGGGTGGTCAGGACTGAGCCCTACAAGGGCAGGTGACCGGGTGCTAAACATGTCCACTTGGCATCTGCATAAATGGCTTCGGGGAATGTTTAACAACCAGCTCCCCCAAACAGCAGACTCACAGAGATTGTGCGATTTACAGATAGACGATATGTAGCACACAGCTTACAAATAACAGCACACACGGTGCTCTATTTTCAATTTCCTATAGCCCACGGGTTCTCACAGAATGCTCGCTCCGATTTTCATGGAGCTCTTGCATCTGTATCCAACGTATGATTGCAATCGGGGAACGAGTGTTGTTCCGACGTGGTGTTGGTTAACATCACTTACCTGAACAGGCAAGAAGAGAAAACAGAATACGTCAGAACTTATTCCACGTCACTCATGAATGGCCTGAGCACTTTTTTTGCCAAATGGGATGATAGTTGCCAAATCCTGAGGGAAGATGGTCTCTATTTCCTCATTGCTGTTCACAATGGAAGGGCTACAGACACCATAGGCTTAAGTTTAATCAGCATTAGGAATGTCTTCTTCATCACTTATTAAAGTCTAGACAATCAGCAAAGCAAAAGCAACGCCCCCGTCTGTCGTGGTTGCCGACTTCTGTGGTGTCAACGCGCCCACTGTGAATGATTTCGGCGCGATGGGACAGGCAGCCGGCAGCCTGCCGTTAGCACTTCCACCGCACAGGCTCAAGAGCTGGAAATAACCAGAGGATATACAACCACTAGGGATGATGACAAGTGTAAACAAAAAACATCATGTTTATTATCTGTGTTTTAATATAATTTGTCGGTTAATATAATTAAATTTTTAATAATGGCTGTATTTGACAAGCTGCCTACAAGACTCCTACAAACTTAACAACCTGCCCTGCAAGTCGGTCCGAGCCGGCTGCCACACACTCTGTCTCAGGACCCTGTGACAAAGGGCAGAGTTTGGAGGACAGCCCCGTCCCACCGTACAGGAAAAAATAAGTCCTACATACCACAGGAGGGTGTGGCGTCTAGCTTACCCTCCCCACGTGGCCCAGGAAAGCCAAGACGAAATATCAAGGTTGAAACTGATCCAAGCCCCGTGAAACCCTTGGGTCCCCAAGATAAGTAAAGGCAAAACCGCTCAGTGCCCTTCTGCAACCCCCAGAAAAGACGCCCCCTGAAGATGAGCTCCTAATAAACAATCACAAAGCCCACGGGGATGGACTCTGTCAGGGACAGTCGTCCAGTGTGAAAAAGGTGATAAAACCGGTTTTACCATTTTAAATGGTATATAAAAAGAATAGCTGCATTTAAAAAGAGAACAACTAGACTTGAACCAAACAAAACTTCTAGAAATGAAACCGAAAAGGAACAATTATTTTAAAGTTAGAGGATATGTGTTCACATGATACAAGCTGACCATAAAAACTCAATGTCTGTGTAAAATGGAAGATTGGCTAGGTCTGGAAACTCAGTGAAATGGAAGACAGATCTGAGAAACCCACTCATAAAACAAAAATATGCAAGAGAGGTTGGGGACATACAGAGGGCAGGAGTGGGCACCAAAAGAGGAGGGCCGTCGGTGACGAGGCCCTTTAGGAGTCCCTCTCACAGCCCAAGTGGGCTCTGTGGGCCTCCTGTGCCCCTCTCCACAGTGGGTCCTAGCCAGGGACAGCTCTTATTTCAGCATCAGTCCGCATGTCCAGCTCCAGTTCCAAGTGGGCGGAGGAGACTTGTCGGCAATTTCTATTACCCAGACCAGGCTTCCTTCCTGACTGCTGCATGTGGCCTGGGACGTGCACCCTGTCCCCGGTCGAGAGGGCATTGAGACAGTGTCGAGACCCCAGCCACGAGGGGGGCTTTCTTCCACCAACACGGCTCTACACTTGGATTTCTAGCATGGCCTTGACTGGGAGGCCACAGACGCAGAGGTGCCTCGAGGGGCTTCAGGATGAGAAAACGCAGACACCCAGGAGGCAATGGGCTAACCAAGGAGTGGGGAGGGCACAACCTTGTCACCCCACTTTACAGTGTGCAGGCCCTGTGCTGCAAACCTTGGCCATGCAGCTTGTGTGGACGTATCACAGGCAGGGCAGGCTGGCGCCCTGAGTTCACAGCGGGACACTCCGCAAGGTGCCAAGATGATGGTCTCCTCCCTCCCACGTGTCAGCGGGGCCTGGGGCTCGTGTTAGGGGCTCTTAACCATTCACTGTTTCAACATAATGGGGCTGCTCAGCAAGTGATTCAGTGATGATTTTTACAAAGTTGTTGCTTAAGACTGATTTTTTTTAATTTGGTGAGACGTGATCTTACAAAAAGAAAACGAAAGATCTGTGTATTGTAATTCTGTGCATAAGAAATGCACCAGGCCAGACACAGCGGCTCACACTTTGGGAGGCTGAGGAGGGAGGATCACTTGAGCCCAGGAGTTCAAAATCATCTTGGGCAACATGGTGAAACCCTGTCTCTACAAAAAAATAGAATAATAATAATACAAAAGTTAGCCAGGCATGGTGGCGCACACCTGTAGTCCCAGCTACTGGGTGGCAGGTGGTGCTGAGATGGGAAGATTGTTTGAGCCTGGGAGGGAGTTTGAGGTGGCAGGTGGTGCTGAGATGGGAAGATTGCTTGAGCCTGGGAGGGAGTTTGAGGCTGCAGTGAGCTGAGATGGTGCCACTGCCCTCCAGGCTGGGGAGCAAGGCCCTGTCTCAAAACAAAAACACAAAAAAAGAAATGCACCAACTTAATAATGAGACCATAAATCTGTTTTTCTCAGGGTCTTGGAATGGGGTTTATTGGAATTCCCTGGAAATGCACAGACATGCACAGAGGCCCACACGCCTTGTGGGTAGATGAAGTCTCATTAAAGATTCCCACCTCTCGTGGGTGTTCTGAGCCCTCATGTGTGAGGTTCCGGGGCCTAACCCTGAATCTGGCCCCTTTGGGGCCATACTCGCCTCTCCTGTCACTCTTCCAGCCCCACTGCCCGCACCACCAGCTGCAGACTACCTTGGGAAGGAATCACTTCCCGACACCGCACACCTGCTCTCGGGTGGAATCGGTGCGAGTACGGAATTTTCCATCCTCCTCTGAAAGCCCACGGTCACACTCCCGACCTGGGAGCCCCCGCAGCCCTGCCGGTGGGTGAGTGGGCTGTCCGAAGCCTGTCTGCCTCCGTGGCCGGGGTCCTGCACACATTGCTTCGGGGCAGCTGGGTGTGGTGGCCCCGAGCACCGTGCTGCTGGGTGGCTGGAAAGCATCTAAAGTGAATGCGGCAGGTCAGAGCATTGGTCCTCAGACTCTGCAGAGACCAGCATGTCCACCATTGCGTAGGTGTGGGGTCTTTCCTGCTGAGACCTCGGACTGAAATGGATGCTGTGAATATATGTTACTGGGCTGTGTAAACTAATAGGGCAGCTCCCGGAAGTTTTATTCTTTTTCTACAAAATTAACTGAATACTTTTTAAAAGCAGACCTGCACGCCCACTGCCTCTCTCCACTCCGCTCCCCACTGTCTCCGTCTCTGCTGGGTTCCTCCCCCTCTGGCTGCTCCCCTCACGCACGAAGCCAGCCCAGGGCACCCCCTGGGGAAGCACCAGCCACGTTAGACGGAGCCTGTGTCTTGTGCGTTAGTAATCAGGGAGAGCACGAAGAAAAAACCCTCATAATGAGCGGAATAGACATTAATTCAAAGACTTTATTGGAATAGAAAATGAGGATCTGATTATACCTTTGTTCCTAAACAATGGCTGGGTTTCATTTTGTAAAGGCATTTGTTTAGAAACTGGTCTTAGCCATTTATGTCGCTCCATTTATTAGGCACACGTGATGGTTTAGGGATTTGCTTTTTTAAATTGAGTGCAGTTGGTAAATATCACGGTGGGTTTTCTGGCCATCAGGTCATTTCTCTGTGGTCACCTCCAAGGCCAGTGCTCAGGGGAGCCGGGAGCGTTTGGCCTGCACCACACAGCTCAGCCCTGGGGGCGTCTGTCCTGCAGCCCAAGATGTGCGCCCTTCAGTCTGGAGGGGACGTGCTCCGCACGTGAGGGGCCAGGCGAGGTGGAGAAGCTCCCGTGCTCTCTGTGGCTCTCCTGCTGCCGCCTCTCTGGGTACAGAAAGCCTGCTGCTGTGCGCACCCCACTAGCGGCCGAGTGGTCTGCAAGAGGCAACGCTGGCTGGTGGCCTGGTCGGCACAGAAGTGTGAAGCGGTCTTGGGAGGCCTGCAGCAGCCAGAGGTGCCCGGGATGTGGCCATCGTCAACCCCACCACGCAGCTCCTGAGGGCTCGCAGGGACTCTGAAGGAAGGCTGGGAATGGCACGGGAGTGACGTCAGGCCTCAGCATCAAAGGAGACAGGAGGAAACGCTGGCCTCATCAGCTCCGAGTCTGATTCCACTTCCACGGCCCAGCTCGCCCTCTCTCTCTTCTCGCTCTCCTTTTTTTAATTGGCACACAATAATTGCACCTGTTTCTGGAATACAGGGTGGTGTTTCGACGCCCGTGTATGATGTGGGATAGTCAGATCAGGGCGGTTCACGTGCCTGTCACCTCAAACCTTTGTCAGTTCTTTGTGCTGGGAACATTCCAAAGCCTCTCTTCCAGCTCTCTGAAAACATACAATAAATTGTTGTCAACCACAGTTGCGTGGAGTGCCAGGAACACTAGAGCTTATTCTCCCGTCTGGCTCTAACTCTTACCCCCTCCCCAGACTCTGGCAACCAGCAGTCCATCACCACCGCCTTGAGTTCGGCTTTTTTAGCTCCCACAGATGTGTGAGATCCTGGGGTGTTTGTCTTCCTGCACCTGGCTGATTTCCCCAATTCCTCCAGGCTCATCCATGCGGCTGAAATGACAGGATTCCTTTCTTCTCTGGCTGAACAGTATCCACTGTGCCTACGCACCACATTTTTCTTATCCGTTCGTCTGTTGATGGGCACTGAGGTTGATTCCAAATCTCGGCCATTGTAAGTAGTGCTGCAATGAATAGGGATGTGCAGATACATCTTCGATATACGGATTTCCTTTCTTTGGGGCGTATGCCCAGCAGTGGGACTGCTGGATCCCAAGGTGGCTCTATTTTTAGTGTTTTCAGGAAACTCCAGGGGCTCTCCATAGCAGGCATCCTCACTCACATTCCCTCCGACAGTGCACATGGCCCTCTTTTCCCTCCCACAGTGCGCACTGCCCACTTTTCCTTCCGACACTGCACACGGCCCTCTTTTCCCTGCGACACTGCACACGGCCCTCTTTTCCCTGCGACACTGCACACGGCCCTCTTTTCCCTCCGACAGTACACACGGCCCTCTTTTCCCTGCGACAGTGCACACGGCCCTCTTTTCCCTCAGACGGTGCACACGGCCCTCTTTTCCCTGCCACAGTGCACACGGCCTTCTTTTCCCTCCGAGAGTGCACACGGCCCTCTTTTCCCTGCGACAGTGCACACGGCCCTCTTTTCTCTCCGACAGTGCACACGGCCCTCTTTTCCCTCCGAGAGTGCACACGGCTCTCTTTTCTCCACCTCCCCGCCTCTGTGATCTTCTGCCTTTCTGATAAAAACCATTCTAGCAGATGTGGGGTGGTATCTCATTATGGTTTTAAATTAGCATTTTCCTGAGTGATGTTGGGTCTTTTCTCATATACTTTCTGGCCACTGGTAGGTCTTCTTCTGAGAAACATCTACTCTGATCGTTTGCCCATTTTTCTTATTTTTTATTTTTTTAGTCCATGACCTGCTGAAATTTGCCCATTTTTAAATCAGATTATTTTTGTTGCTGTTGAGCTGGGTGAGTTCCTTGTAGATTCTGGGTATTAGTCCCTTGTTGGATGAAGAGTTTGCAAATATTTTTTTATTCCTTTTGCTTCTCTTTCAAGGGAGAGTGTGTTACACACACAGTCTCTGCCTCCCTCTCTGTGTCCATCTGTCTCTTCTCTCTGTCTCTCTCTGCCTCCTCTCTGTCTCTTCTTCTCTCTCTGTCTCTCTCTGCCTCCCTCTCTGTCTGTCTCTTCTCTCTCTGTCTCTCTCTGCCTCCCTCTGTCTCTGTCTCTTCTGTCTCCCTCTGCCTCCTTCTCTGTCTCCGTCTATCATCTCTCTCTCTCTCTCTCTGCCTCCCTCTCTTTCTTCTCTCTCTCTCTCTGCCTCCCTCTGTCTCTGTCTTTTTTTCTCTCTCTGCCTCTCTCTGCCTCCTTCTCTGTCTCTGTCTTCTCCTAGCAGCCCTGAGCCTCTCTCTTTCTTCTCTGGGGTATCTACTTTGAAGGAAGCCATTGATACATAACTATTGTGGTCTCGATTTTCTATTTAAAAAAAAAAGTAATCCCACTGCTTTGCAGTCATCCTTCTGTTTTTTAGGATTAGACGTTCCCTGTGAAAAGGTGGCTGTGAACGAAGGGAAGTCAGAGGAAATCATAGACTCTGCAGCCTTGGGCCACGCATCAGAGGCCAGGAGCCCCACAGGGACATTGGGGCTCCCAGTGGCTGGCAGCTGGGCTGCTGAGGGCTCACAGCCAGGCCCCTCTCCATGAACTGCCCTCAGCCACATGCCCCCTGCCCCATGCCAATGCCCTTCCCAGGGACATGGCCCACCCCATGACTGGTCTAAGAGGGCCACGAGGCCCTCCCACTGGCCCCTTTTGGGACCACCCGGTGGGGCCCTCCAGTCCCAGAGCTGCCTCGGGGTTCCACGGAGGCCTTGCTTGCAACTGTGTGGCATCTGGACACACAACATCTGGACTTCGCCACCCCGGCATCGTGCTCCCTCACTCACCCCCTGCCCCGAACCCCCACGATTGTCACAGCCAGATGGCAGGAGTCGGGGCTCCTCAGGCCAGGCCTGGGGACCCTCCCACTCACCCTCAGAAGAGGGCCCCTGAGCCAGAGCTGCTCCCATGGGGCAGAGCAGAGGAAGGAGTAGCTGTACACACTGAAGAGTGAAGAGAGAGGAGCGCCCCGCGGCCATTCCTGGAGATGCCAGGGTGGAGGCCAGGGCAGAGCCCAGAGGGACTGCAAGGGGGCCCTTCCCAGTCTCTCCGCACCAAGGTGGCGTCCGGCCTTCTCACCCTGAGCTCCTGAGCACTCCAGGAGGCGGCTCTGCACACTCCAGGCTCACTCTCTGACCCCTGCAGCCAGGCGCTGGCCCATTATCCAGAACAGAAGCCAGAGACGGGCAAAGTCCAGGCAAAGCTGCTGTCCCCAGGCCCAGGCTCGGCACCCACACAAGTCCCCAGGGCCCCTCACTCCCTTGCAGGGTCCTGACCAGACCCTGGCCTGATGCATGCCCTTCAGTCTCTAGGCACAGACTTGGGGTGCAAACCCAGCCCGGTCTAGGCACAGATTTGGGGTGCAAACCCAGCCCAGGCATCTGTCTGGGAGCCCCGACAGCCTCCTCAGCTCTGTGTAGCCCCCAGCACCTGCACATCCCAGCACGGGCTGGGGCGGGCCGAAGTCGGTTCAAATGGTCCATCCAGCCATGTGGCCACAGGGACCTTCCTTCCCCTCTTGGAGCCCGAGTTTCCTCTGCTGGAAAGTGGGACGGTGGCCGCAGTGATCGCAGCCATGAGGAGCAGCACCTCGCAGAGCACTGGGGCTGGAACCGCTCCACGCCCTCACCTTCACTCTTGTGCAGCTTGAGAGGCAGCTGGAATTCTCAAGGCAGCAGTGAGGCTCCACCAGGAAGTGCACTGTTGTCTCCATTCGTTTTAAGCAGCCAGTGTTTGCAGAATGCTGGTGCCGGGCAGGGGGCTGGTAAGGGGATGCCAAGCCTCCTGCTGCGGCACAGCTTCCAGCTCTGGGACCCCACGTCCTTCCCCTCCCCAGCCCCCCACCATCCCTGCTGCCCACCTCACAGCCTCCCACACCTGCAGCCTTAAGCCCTCATCCTCATACAGGAGGCCAGGCCCTGTGCTTCTGTGGACAGACAGCAGCGTCGAGGCCTCTCTCCTCCCCGTGTGTGTCCATCAGGCCTGACCTGGACTTTCCCAGCAGAGCAGGAGCTGCCGGAGGCTGCGGGTTTCTGAGTGTGCCTCAGGGCAGTGTTTCCTGGAGCAATGCAGCTCTCAGCAACCTGCTGACATCTTTCTTACCTCTGGTCTTTTACCTGTTTTGCAAACTTTGTCTCCAAAGTTTTTGTCAAAAGAAGAGAAAGAAGAGAGTGAGATGTTCAGCAGACATCTGAACTCCTTGGAGTGGCAAGAGGGAGGGAGGATGAAATCAACAGATTCTCTCTTGGCCGGATCTTGATGGGGCTGAGCTATTTCTTTCCTTGGAAGAACCTAAGTCCTTGGGAGTCTCTTTGAGACTCTTCTGGGGCCATATGGGGTTGTATTTAATTGACACTTTCAAATCCTGGATAGATCTACGCATGCGTCTGTAGACGTGGTGGTACATGTATGCCCACACAGTGCACACGCCCACACGCGCATCTCCGTTCACGAAGTCTTACGTCTGTGTAGACACACGAAGCATGCACACACATGCACCTGCAGAAATGACCAGTCTCTTGCACGCCACTGTGCACGGTTCCTAATTCCACGTGTCTGGATCTAGTGGTCACGTGATTTTCAACATCCTCAGCCTAAAGCCAGATCAAACTCCGGGTTCCCAACCACATCCAAGGTCGGCCGCACCAGTGAGGCCACGCTCAGCCCCCTCCATGGCTGCTCCCTGGGACCCAGTTCCAAAAGCCCCATGGGCGGGTGCAGGGCCTTCTCTGGGCTGGGCCTGAGGGCGTCTTTCTGAGCGCCAGCCCCACCCCCTAGGTGCTAAGGGGCACCAAGCTGGCCCTCGCGTCTGAGACCCTGTGAAGAGCTGAGTCGCTGGTGGAGAGTTCTGCTAACTTCTCTCTCATGGGTTATGAGACGTAAATGAGGTGAAGGATTTGATGTTCGTTTTTATTTACAATAGGCCAGGGAATAAAGAAGAAAATAGGGGGTGAGGACATTCAGATGCCCAGGGACCACTCGGCCCGTCACGCCAAGTCCCTCCTGTCTCAGGAAGGTTCTGCAGCCGCCTGGGGCCTCCTGTCACTCCTGAGCAGGAATCGCGGCTGAAGAGGTCGGCGCTGTGGCTCCATTCGCTGCCAACTGCAGCGTTCGAAACGCCCAGCTCCTCATTCAAAACCATCTTTTTTGTACATGCACACTCATCTCTATTTTATTTCCCGACATAATTACAATTGCGATATAGGAATAACTTGTTTAATTCATCAAGCCGCTGGAAACAGCTTCTTCCGGATACAGGCGCTGCCTTTGCCCCCAACCCCCTGCTTCCATTTTAATAAATCCAGCTGCATGATCATTGGAGCTCTTTTCCTTTCCACTCCTGCTGTATTACCCTTGGAGATGAATCACCGTCTCTGAAGGCGTGGGAATGGCTCTTGGGGAGGCAGGCACCACCCTCTGGCCCGCGGCTCCCACCAGCCCTCGCCACACTCAGCCGGGAGAGGAGCGCCACCATGCAGACCCTGACTGTGGCCTGTGGCCTGGCCCACACCTCAGGGCCCTCCTCCCACTCACTGCCCTGCGACTCTCGCGCGCCACTCCACATCATCCTTCTGCCCTGTGGAGTGGGGGCAGTATGGGACCAGGTGCTCAGGGTCGCTGGGAAGGTCGGAGCAAGCTGTTCTGTTTGGGGCGAGAACCAGGCCTGGCCTTGGTATGGTGTTGACGCACTAGTGACGTCCCCCCGCCATCAAGCCATGTCTGCCCGAGCGTCTCTTGGCTGACAACGCTGAGCCCTCCAGCTCCACAGAGATGGGGTCACTGTGTTGCACCTCCTGGGTCCAAGGCTGCCGCACAACGTCACAGACACAGGGGCTGACCCAGCAGGAGGACCCAACGCTGGCTCCACCGAACCCTCGCCAGGCGCCCACTCGCCTGTACCTCTCACATCTGCACGGCCAGGCCCACCTCCATCCCAAGAAGGAAGGGGCAGCAGGTCCAGCCACATGCATGTGGGAGAAACTGCAACTCATGGTTGTCTTAGCAGTGCAGACCCTTCAGGAATTCCACCCACTCTCCCTCCTCGCCCCTCCCTCTTCCCCTCTTCAGCCCCTCCTTCTTTCCACCCTCCTCCTCCCCAGTCTCCTTCCCTCTCCTTCTCTTCCTCCCCTCATGGCTGTTGGGGTATCTGAGGAAGCCCCCAGTAGATAACACTCCTTTTGTCCACCCAGGTTGACCAAGTTAAGACAAATCAAGGCCAGTTTGTGGTGGCTCACACCTGTAGCCCCAGCACTTTGGGAGGTACAGGTGGGAAGACTGCTTCAGCCCAGGAGTTCAAGAACAGCCTGAACAATATAGGGAGACCCCTTCTCTACAAAAAAAAAAATTAAAAATTAGCCAGGCATGGAAGCATGTGCCTGTGGTCCCAGCTACTCAGGAGGCTGAGGTGGGAGGATCACCCTAGCCCAGCGGTTGAGGCTGCAGTGAGCCAGGATCTCACCACTGCACTCCAGCCTTAGCAACAGAGCGAGACCTTGTCTCAAAACAAAAAGGAATAGAAAAAAGAAACCGAGAGCAAAGACTGCAGCCAGGATATCTCCCCAGGTGCTGATTCAGCTCAGGGGACTCGGGGCCTCAGTGCAGCCCCAGCATAGGGAGGGGACAGCGAGCTGCAGGCGGTGGGAGCTGTCTGCCCTGCGGCAGCCACCAGCCTGGAGCAGGTGCACCCACCTTTTGAACTTTGTTGCCCCAGGGGTGACTTGGAGTCAGCCCTTGAGCTGCTTCCTCCTGGAGGCGCCTGGGGCCCTCTCCCCCAGGAGAAAACTCCCGTTTCCTCACTGACAGCACAGGCGAGTTCTTCCCCACCCCCACCTCCCCGCCCACCACCGACCTGCCTCACGTGCACTCATTTTCTTTTCCTTTTCATGGAAATCCAAAAAATTTATCTGGGAGCAACAAGACCAGCCAGTTCCTGCAGATTCGAGGCCCAGCCCGCAGTCCAGCCCGTCATCTCCCTGGGGACCAGGCGCCAACACCTAGCTCTGGAGGCAGAAGGCCCCAGGGTAACGGGATCTGATACAAGAGCTGGGGTCGGGCTCCTGATATGGCCTACAAAACAAGATGGCTGGAAAGCAGTTCGCTGCCTTAGGTGACAGGGGAAAGGGGGCAGAACTGTGAACCGTGAGCTCAGCCTGCGGCCTCTGCAGCAGTCACCACCGACCCCCGGCCACCTACCCCAAACAGGAGGCAGAGATCTCTCACCGTCCCCCACCTCAGGATCCTGAAGCAGGAGCCCTGGAGCCCTCCCAGGGCCGGTGATCATTTTCAGGAGGAAGCTAAACAGAGCTGTCTTTAGTCCAAAGGAAGGGCGTGCTGACAGTGGGAATTCAGGCTTCATGGAGGGTGAGGCTGGAGCAGATAATTATTATCTTCTTCTAATTCTCAGAAAATAAACAGAATACAGAAAGCAACAGAGCAGTCGGCCAGAGATCATGTTGGGTTTGAAGACGGTGGTGGCCACAGCCATTTGAACGGGCCAAGGCCAGCAAGACCCAGGTCCCAGCACTCAGAGTGCCCTCATGCCACACCCCACCCAGGGGAGGGCCCAGGCATGCACTGGGCTCGTCCAGCCACCCCTGGTGTCCCTCACTGCAGAGCATCACGTCATCCCAGTGTTCCCGCAGAGGAGCCTGGACGTCAGGGAGGCCCGGGAGCTATGGGGTCCCAGCCAGTTACATCCCGACCCTCACACCTTGGGAAAGACGGCTGGGGTGGGAGGTTGTGGAATAGTATTCATGTAAACTTATTTTTACAAGTTCAGGTGTATATTGTTTATTGTTTTAAAACAAAATAGAAACTTTGGAAATACTGAGAAATAAGTCCATTTTGGTAAACTCCAAAATTCTGAAATCAAGATTTAATTTAGGGATGACACTCACTGTCTCATGTCAAATGGGTCCCAATCAAAGGTGTCTGGGTCCTGACCCACCTCCCCAGCTCCCCAAGCTCCCCAGAACCAGGTCTGGAGACTGCAGGGCTGAGGGCTGCTGGTCCTGAATGCTCTGCGGGAGAGGGGACAGTCCTGGTGCGAGGCTTCCAGAGGGGCTGAGAGACGCCCACTCCTTCAAGGCCTGACTTCACAGGACCCCTCTCTGTGTCCAGGCAGGGCAGTTGGGAGACCTGGGGAAGGTGGTATCAGGGGCTAAGGGAAGCAGGCACAGCAGAGACAGCAGACGAGGCTTGGGGTGTGCAGGGTGTGTGTGTCTGTGTGCACATGCTGTAGCATGTGTGTGTGCATGTCTGTGTGTATATGTGTGCATCTCTGTGCATGTATATGCATGTGTGTCTGTGTGCATGCATGTGCGTGTGTGTGTCTGTGTGTTCATCTGTGCATGTGCATGTGTGTGTGTGCATGCATGTGTGCATGTCTTTGCATGCATGTGCATGTGTGTGCGTGTGTGTCTGTGTGTTCATCTGTGCACATGCATGTATGTGTGTGTGCATGTGTGCTTCTGTGTACACATTTGTGTCAATGTGAGGGATGGTAGGGTAGAGAAGTCCCAGAGATGAGGCCCTGGGGGACAGCAACGGGATGGTGGAGGGAGGCACCAGCAGTCTCTGACCATCTGGAAGGCTGGGACTGCACAGAAGAAAGTGATGAAGCCACCTTGCAGCTCTGAGCAGTGAGGGCCCAAGAGGTCAAACCAGCCCACAGTAGTGTCCGAGGGACCAGCTGACAGCAGCTTCCGGGTGTTGGGCTCGGCTGCACAGTGCATGGCGCTGGGAACTTGCAGGGCCCTCCTCTGTTCAAATTCCTTAGCAACGACCAAGGAGGTGTCCTCTTTGTGTCAAGAGAGAATTCAGACCCAGAGATGCCACATGGGGCTCCAGGATCTCTCTCAGGCTGAGCAGCTGCTGACCAGTGCAGCCTCCATATGCTGTGTGCAGCCCACAGGGCCATGCCATGGCTGGATTTCAACTCCAACTTGGTCCTCTGCCAGGGCCCTTGTGCAGTGCACAACATGTACAACTGGACTGGGGTTGGGGGAAGTGAGGACGTCTGGCCTGCATGAAGAAGCACAGAGAAACATCAGTGTAGACTCCTGGTTCCCCCTGGCTTGGGGATGCTGAAGCCCTGCTAGCTGTAAGGGGATGGGGAGGCCTCCACCCTTTCCAGGGGATGTGGAAGGAACACACTCCCCAACTCCACGCCTCAGATCCTGTTCCCTGGAGCCAGCCCTGTCCTGATCGTCCGAGAGGTCTCATCCTACTCTCTTCCTGCCCCAAAGCTTCTGGGCAACCCCTGCCCAGACCCCGAGGCGGTACCAGAGGCAGTGCCAGGGCTCAGGGGGCTGGCACTGGGTTCCTTGTTAGGGTGGGTATGGTAAGCAGGACCACACCCCAGGGAGGAAGCCTGGGTCCTCTGGGACGTCAGGTGCTGGCACCCAACAGGGCTGGGCTCAGAGATGCTGGAGGAGTGAGAGAGCGGCTGGGGCCGACCACAAGCCCTGCCCCAGGCACTGGCTGACCATCACCTTTTCCCAGGGAGGCCCCTAGCAGCCACCCTGCCTCTGCACCACCTGCCTGGGGCAAAACACCAGCCGGGCCCCGCAGAGGGCACGACCCAAAGAGCCTGGACCACCCAGTCTCCTGGGCCCGCCTTCTCCCTGTCGGCAGCTCCCCCGACCCACTCACCTTCCAGGAAACCCCCAGGATGCAGGTGAAGCCCCTGAGCAGGTGAGGAAGTTCAGACACCTGAGGCTATCGTGGGAGACCCGGGTCCTTGTAAAGAGCCCCCACCCTCCCCAGCTTGGAGGCCCTCACCTCTGCCTGCCAGCTCTCCAATACCCAGGCCCACAGCAGGAGCCCAGGCTTCCCAGACTGGCAGCACCCTGGGTGTCAGAGACACCCGCCCTGCCTGCAGCCTCAGGACACGTGGCTGGCATCGTTCCTGCAACTCCCATCACAGGACTCGCCTGGGGCACTTGCTGGAAACCCAAGTTCCGGGGCCCAGCCCAAGCCCACTGCATCCAGGTCTCTGCGAGCAGAGCTGGAAATCAGGGTTTTTAATGGGTGTTGTGAGGCTCGGGGCCAGCAGTTTCGGGAGACGGACTCACCTTCTGCCCCACCGCGGCCACAGCAGCACAGCCAGCACAATCGGAGACGTCCACGCGGCCGCTGACCTTGCCACATGCTCCACTCTGTCCTGTGGGCTTTTTCTTAATTTTCCCTTCCCTGACTCCCTGAACTTTGTTAACCTTTGTAAACTACTCCAAATCCTATTGTGAACAAGACAAAAACCAGAAGTAACACCACCGATGGGATCACATCACACCAAGAGCTCGGCTCAGGAAGTCATCAGACTTCCCAGTGACTGCTGGGATTTTCTAGGAACTTACTCTTTGCCCAGGACAGACCACACATTCAAGCCTGTTCCCAAGCCAGGTGGGGTTGGCGTTAGCCAGCAATGCTGTCCAGATGTGGACACAGGCATCTGCTGCAACCCTCAGGCCTCACACCCCTGCACGGCTTCATCCCCCAAACCCAAATGCCACAGAAACCCACCCTCCCTGTCAGCACCCTGCCCAGACACACATCTCCGACGGCTTCATGGACGTCCCGTGCACATCCCAGATCTCATGAGGCTGATGCCGCCTCGTGTCCTCAGACGGCCCTCTCAGGTGGCTGCTGCACCCGCCCAGGCAGCCAAGGAAAGCATGTGGGGCCATCCTGGCTCCTCTCCCTCGCATCCCACACCGACACGGGCTGTAGCCTGTGGGGCCATTCCAGCTGCTCTCTGTAAGAGTTAAAGAAAGAGGAAAGAAACGGGAAAGCAGCTCCACAGTCAAGGACAGGTTTATTTCAGAGAATAAACCTGAGAGGGCCTCCTGGCCAATTTTGGTCAGGAGTGTTCTTTCTTACAGATTAAGGACATTTAAGGGTTTGGAAGCAGGGAGCTTATCATAGGTTCGGAATGTTTCTATGTCCCAGCTGCTCTCCCCTCCCACCCCACACCAATAGCTGCCGCTGCCTCTAGTCTGGAAATACAGAGAACCCGGCCTCCTGCACCCACCTCCACAGCTGTCTCCAAATCCCAGCCACCGCGCCTCCTCCCTGGGTGGCTGGAAAGCCTCTGGGTGTGTCTCTCCACTCCAGGGGCCCCGAGGGCCCCTCCCAACACGGCTCCAGGAGCTTGTGAGTCGCTTCTTCTGCCCCTTCGCTTCCTAAAAATCTCAGAGCTGTTGGGTACAGCAGAGCAAGGCAGATATTTGTACCAGGTGTGGCGGAGCTGCAGACACCCAGAACAGGGCAGGGTGGGTGGAACACAGGAGGGGAGGGGAGGCACCGGAGATGCAGCCCCGTGGGAGGGATATGCCAGGAGCCTCAGAGCTCCAGTGGTTTAGGAAGCCTGTCCCGTCACCCCCTTGGGTGGGTGTCCACTCCCTCGTCCTCCCCCACACTGAGGGTGGCGCACCCGCTCAGGAGCCAGGGTCCCAGGCCCTGGAGCCACCCCCAATGCCACAGCCCCCAGTCTCCATGCCACTGTCGGCAGGCGAGGAGGTGCCTTGAGCTGACGCTGGCCAAGAGGGTCTTGTGTCCCCAGCAGTATCAGCGTCTGTCACGGTTAGGAATTCCGCAGATTCTTTTAAACGGTGCCAGTCACCACCAGAGGGAAACAGACAGATCTCACTCTGTAAATAAAACTAATCCAACTGTCTAAATTTCCAATTTCTACTTCTGTTCTTACTAAACTGCATAAAAATTCCTTGATTTGTTTGCCTTGTATTGAAATAAAAGCTTATTAAACATACTGAAGCTTGTGATCATTTTAGGTGCTTGCCTAAGACATGCTGTGGTAATAAACGCCCTGTTACCCCTCAGCAGGCTCCCGTCCTTCCAAAGTGGTGAACGACAGCGTATGCTGGGACCTACCCTGCCTCCATCCCCTGCCCTGCTGTCTGGGCAGGGAGAGGCCACAGCCTCCACCCTCCTTTAACCTGAGGGTCCTCTGCCTGGCTCCATTCCCTGATTTCTGTGGGAATAATGTTTTCTCCTGCTTGTCTGCATGTCTCAAGGACCGAATGTTTGTGTTCCCCTGAGTCCATCTGCGGCAGCCCTGACCCCCAGGGCAGACCCCAAGGTCACAGATGTGGCCTCTAAGGGACTCACTAAGGTTAGATGAGGTCGCGAGGGTGAGACCCATGGTGGGATCAGTGCCCTTATCAGAGGAGACACCAGAACTCTCTCCCGCACGTGAGGGCACAGCAAGAAGATGGCTGTGCAGAAGGGCCCCCACCAGAAACTGAATCAGCCACACCATAACTTTGGGCCTCCCACCCCCACAGCTGGAAGATAAAAGTCTGCTGTGGTGGCTGCCCGAGCAGACTAAGACAGTGTCTGCTTTGGGGCAGCTTGGTCAGTTCCATCTCGGGATTAGGATGTTACAAGCCTGCCCACGCACCTGCCCCTTTTCCCTCACTGGACGGACTGCCTGCTGGGCTACCCCAGGGAGGCCGCAGTGCTCCTATCTGTGGCATTCATCGTGGAAGCCACCCCCTTCGAGGCTGCCACAGAGCCCAGGGGCTGCAGGACTCAGATTGTTACAGATCAAAATCATCTGAAACAGAAGGTCAGGAAGGCAGAGCCCCAAAGCACAGGGCGGCTGTAGGAGGAGACCCCGCCTGGCCGAGCCCACTGGCCTGGAAGCTGGCCCAGCCGGGAGCTGAAAATCAAAAATTGCCTCTTGTAATCTCAGCACTTTGGGAGGCAGAGGTGGGTGGATGACCTGAGGTCAGGAGTTTGAGACCAGCCTGGCCAACATGGTGAAACCCTGTCTCAACTAAAAATACAATAATTTACCGGGTTAAATCTCAGCTACTCGGGAGGCTGAGGTAGGAGAATCGCTTGAACCCGGGCGGCAGAGGTTGAAGTGAGCCGAGATCGCGCCACTGCACTCCAGACTCCAGCCTGGACGAGAGGGCGAGACTCGGTCTCAAAAAAAGAAAAAAAAAAGAAAAGAAAAGAAAAGAAAATTGCCTCTTGTGCTGTTGTTTTCCAGGCTCCCAGCTCCCATGGAAGTTGGAAAGGGGTCCTCAGGACATCCGAATCCCTCAGAAACAGCACGAAGGGAGGTGAGGTGCGACCCACAATAATGAAACCGTTCTTCCCACAGTGCGCGTCAGGCAGAAGCCAAAATGACGGAGGCCTTTGGTGCAACCGAATCAACTTTGATTTCAGCACAAAACCGAAAGGGGCAAGAAGCGTTTGAGCGGGAGACAAAAGTCGCTTTAAAGGTCACACCTTCAAACGTCGTGGTAACAAAAACATGAAATCAAAATCATTTTCTCTGATCTGGAAGTAAAGGTCGAATCGACAAGCCTTTGAGTGAGTTTGGAAAACAGCGATCTTTTCATTGTTTGCCAGCCCCGGCCTCCCAACAGGTATTGGGCCCCACCTCCATGAGACGCAGGTCTTTATTCTCCAACAAAAGGAAGGAAAGGTCGAGAGAGCGGAGCAGGAGGACAGGGGCGTTCACGGGCAGGAGAGGGACGTTCACGGGCAGGAGAGGGACGTTCACAGGCAGGAGGAGAGTCTGGGACGTTCACAGGAAGGAGAGGGACGTTCACAGAAAGGAGGAGAGGGGCGTTCACAGGCAGGAGGCACCACGGCTGCCAAGCCCAAGGGCGAGCTCACAGGCAGGAGAGCGGCGGGGATCCCTCTACAAGCTCAAATGTACCTTAGAGTTGAGCCAAAGTCTGCTCTGGGACTTCCTCCTCAGAAGGCCAAACTCCTCCCCAACCAGCATCTCCAGCAGCCCCAGGCACGTGTGTGGCCGCCGTGATGTCATCTGCAGGTCAACATCCCCTCCTCAGCCTGATGACACAGATGAGACAGGCCTTTGTTGTGACATTGCGGACATCCAATCATTGACTTTCCAGCGGTGAATGTGACGATATCAAATCCTTTTGTAGTCAACATTTATAAAAATGTGAATTTATTTTATTTTTTTAATTATACTTTAAGTTCTAGAGTACATGTGCACAACCTGCAGGTTTGTTACATATGTATACATTTGCCATGTTGGTGTGCTGCACCCATCAACTCGTCATTTACCTTAGGCATATCTCCTAATGCTATCCCTCCTCCTTCTCCCACCCCACAACAGGCCCCGGTGTGTGATGTTCCCCTTCCTGTGTCCAAGTGTTCTCATTGTTTAATTCCCATCGATGAGTGAGAACATGCAGTGTTTGGTTTTCTGTCCTTGCAATAGTTTGCTGAGAATGATGGTTTCCAGCTTCATCCATGTCCCTACAAAGGACATGAACTCATCCTTTTTTATGGCTGCATAGTATTCCATGGTGTATATGTGCCACATTTTCTTAATCCAGTCTATCATTGATGGACATTTGGGTTGGTTCCAAGTCTTTGCTATTGTGAATAGTTCTGCAATAAACATATGTGTGCATGTGTCTTTATAGCAGCATGATTTATAATCCTTTGGGTATATACTGAGTAATGGGATGGCTGGGTCAAATGGAATTTCTAGTTCTAGATCCTTGAGGAATCGCCACACTGTCTTCCACAATGGTTGAACTAGTTTACAGTCCCACCAACAGTGTAAAAGTGTTCCTATTTCTCCACATCATTTCCAGCACCTGTTGTTTCCTGACTTTTTAATGATCGCCATTCTAACTGGTGTGAGATGGTATCTCACTGTGGTTTTGATTTGCATTTCTCTGATGGCCAGTGATGATGAGCATTTTTTCATGTGTCTTTTGGCTGCATAAATGTCTTCTTTTGAGAAGTGTCTGTTCATGTCCTTCACCCACTTTTTGATGGGGTTGTTTGTTTATTCTTGTAAATTTGTTTGAGTTCTTTGTAGATTCTGGATATTAGCCCTTTGTCAGATGAGTAGATTGCAAAAATTTTCTCCCATTCTGTAGGTTACCTGTTCATACTGATGGTAGTTTCTTTAGCTGTGCAGAAGCTCTTTAGTTTAATTAGATCCCATTTGTCAATTTTGGCTTTTGTTGCCATTGCTTTTGGTGTTTTAGACATGAAGTCCTTGCCCATGCCTATGTCCTGAATGGTGTTGCCTAGGTTTTCTTCTAGGGTTTTTATGGCTTTAGGTCTAACATTTAAGTCTTTAATCCATCTTGAATTAATTTTTATATAAGGTGTAAGGAAGGGATCCAGTTTCAGCTTTCTACATATAGCTAGCCAGTTTTCCCAGCACCATTTATTAAATAGGGAATCCTTTCCCCATTTCTTGTTTTTGTCAGGTTTGTCAAAGATCACATAGTTGTAGATATGAGGCATTATTTCTGAGGTCTCTGTTCTGTTCCGTTGGTCTATATCTCTGTTTTGGTACCAGTACCATGCTGTTTTGGTTACTGTAGCCTTGTAGTATAATTTGAAGTCAGGTAGCGTGATGCCTCCAGCTTTCTTCTTTTGGCTTAGGATTGACTTGGCAATGTGGGCTCTTTTTTGGTTCCATATGAACTTTAAAGTAGTTTTTTCCAATTCTGTGAAGAAAGTCATTGGTCTTGATGGGGATGGCATTGAATCTATAAATTACCTTGGGCAGTATGGCCATTTTCATGATATTGATTCTTCCTATCCATGAGCATGGAATGTTTTTCCATTTGTTTGTGTCCTCTTTTATTTCGTGGAGCAGTGGTTTGTACTTCTCCTTGAAGAGGTCCTTCACATCCCTTGTAAGTTGGATTCCTAGGTATTTTATTCTCTTTGAAGCAACTGTGACTGGGAGTTCACTCATGATTTGGCTCTCTGTTTGTCTGTTATTGGTGTATAGGAATGCTTGTGATTTTTGCACATTGATTTTGTATCCTGAGACTTTTCTGAAGTTGCTTATCAGCTTAAGGAGATTTTGGGCTGAGACAATGGGGTTTTCTAAATATACAATCATGTCATTTGCAAACGGACAATTTGACTTCCTCTTTTCCTAAGTGAATACCCTTTATTTCCTTCTCCTGCCTGATTGCCCTGGCCAGAACTTCCAACACTATGTTGAATAGGAGTGGTGAGAGAGGGCATCCCTGTCTTGTGCCAGTTTTCAAAGGGAATGCTTCCAGTTTTTGCCCATTCAGAATGATATTGGCTGTGGGTTTGTCACAGATAGCTCTTATTATTTTGAGATACGTCCCATCAATATCTAATTTATTGAGAGTTTTTAGCATGAAGGACTGTTGAATTTTGTCAAAGACCTTTTCTGCATCTATTGAGATAATCATATGGTTTTTGTCTTTGGTTCTGTTTATATGCTGGATTACGTTTATTGATTTGTGTATGTTGAACCAGCCTTGCATCCCAGGGATGAAGCCCACTTGATCATGGTGGATAAGCTTTTTGATGTGCTGCTGGATTTGGTTTGCCAGTATTTTATTGAGGATTTTTGCATTGATGTTCATCAGGGATATTGGTCTAAAATTCTCCTTTTTTGTTGTGTCTCTGCCAGGCTTTGGTATTAGGATGATGCTGACCTCATAAAATGAGTTAGGGAGGATTCCCTCTTTTTCTATTGATTGGAATAGTTTCAGAAGGAATGGTACCAGCTCCTCCTTGTACCTCTGGTAGAATTCGGCTGTGCATCCATCTGGTCCTGGACTTTTTTTGGTTGGTAAGCTATTAATTATTGCCTGTTATTGGTCTATTCAGAGATTCAGCTTCTTCCTGGTTTAGTCTTGGGAGAGTGTATGTGTTGAGGAATTTATCCATTTCTTCTAGATTTTCTAGTTTATTTGTGTAGCGGTGTTTATAATATTCTCTGATGGTAGTTTGTATTTCTGTGAGATCGGTGGTGATATCCCCTTTATCATTTTTTATTACGTCTATTTGATTCTTCTCTCTTTTCTTCTTTATTAGTCTTGCTAACGGTCTATCAACCTTGTTGATCTTTTCAAAAAACCAGCTCCTGGATTCATTGATTTTTGAAGGGTTTTTTTTTTTTGTCTCTATCTTCTTCAGTTCTGCTCTGATCTTAGTTATTTCTTGCCTTCTGCTAGGTTTTGAATGTGTTTGCTCTTGCTTCTCTAGTTCTTTTAATTGTGATGTTAGGTTGTCAATTTTAGATCTTTCCTGCTTTCTCTTGTGGGCATTTAGTGCTATAAATTTCCCTCTACACACTGCTTAAAAATATGAATTTAATACTGAAAGGCAGAAAAACAGAGACTCGATCGTATCACAATTACAATCTCTGTAGAATCATCTGATGTGAAGTGTATTCAAACAAAACAACTTTTAAGAATTGTAAATCGTTTGCTTGTACTTAGACCATTGTCTTTCCCAGTCCCGTTTTGGGAGCACTTTTCAACCTGGGCAAGTTAAAAGGTGAATACTAACTTTGCTGTTTCACAGTTTCACAAATAGGAAAAAGACCAGCTTAACGTCCACTTATATCCAAGAAAACATCTTTGATTCAAATGTAAAAAATAGTGAAAAGAAACATGAGGAACCCAAAACTATCTTGCTTTTCCACCAACCTCGACTGGAAGAAAACATCATGCTATCACCATGAGCAGTCCCTCCCCATCTCCATTGCTCTCCCCACTCTCCGTCTCCATCACTCTCCCCCCCCAACTCTCTCTCTTCCCCTCTGTTTCCCTCTCCCCTCTCTCTCCCTCTCCCCTCTCTCTCCCTGTCCCCTCTCTCTCCCTGTCCCCTCTCTCTCCCTGTCCCCTCTCTCTCCCTCTCCCCTCTCTCTCCCTCTCCCCTCTCTCTCCCTCTCCCCTCTCTCTCCCTCTCCCCTCTCTCTCCCTCTCCCCCCTCTCTCCTTCTCCCCATCTCTCTCCCTCTCCCCCCTTCTCCTTCTCTCCCCCCTCTCTCCCTCTCCCTCCTCTCTCCTTCTCTCCCCCCTCTCTCCCTGTCCCCCTCTCCCTCTCCCCTCTCTCTCCCTCTCCCCTCTCTCTCCCTCTCTCCCTCTCTCTCCTTCTCCCGGTCTCTCTCCCTCTCTCCCCCTCTCTCCCTCTTCCCCTCTCTCTCCTTCTCTCCCCCTCTCTCCCTTTCCCCTTCTCTCCCTCTCCCCTTCGCTCTCCCTGTCTCCTCTCTCTCTTTCTCTCCCTCCTCCTCTCTCTCTTTCTCTCCCTCCTCCTGTGTGTCCCCCAGCCTGAGCTTGCATCCTCTGCACCGTACACCTGGCTGTACCCATGACCATTCCCAACAGAAGGAAGCAAAGCTGCCAGTGCCCTCAGCTCTGGGCTTGGAAGTCTCAATATGTCCCTCCTGCCGCACTCTACTGGTCGAAGCTGCAGCCTGTGGGCAGGCCGTGCCTTGGAGGGAGTGTCAGGAGGTTGCCCCTCTGACCAGCCAACTCCAGCTTTAACAGAGTAGCATCCGGGAGCCCCTGCAGACAGCACGCAGCTCAGGCCAGGCTCTAGCTCGCTCCATCTCTGTGCCAGACTGGGCAGGCAGGCACCACCACGTTGGGTTTCCCACCTTCCCAGGGGGACAGAGCAGTGCGCACATGGGACGCAGGAGGCGTGGGCCTGGGCAGGAGCCCGAGGACATGGGTCCTAGAAGGTGGTGATCAGGGCCTCCCAGGGCAGACCCCTGAGGTCTACACTGGCCCTGAGCAGGACTCACAAAGCTGCCTGTGAAACAGCCATTCTAGAAACAGCAGCAAGGGCTCTGCTGGGCTACACAGCAGCTCTCGCGTGGCCATGCCTTTCTGTGGCATTTAATGGCTCCCCTTCTCTGCCTCTCTCTGTAGCCATGTCTCTCTCTCTCTCTCTCTCTGTCACACACACACACACACACACACACACACACATCTCATAATTTAAAACCAGCCCATGCACCATCAGGACCCCTGGGGCTCCTTAATAGCGTCCTGGTCTCTGCACCTGCCTTGTCCCCCGCCCAGGCAGTCCCTGCGGTGCTCACAGACCCTGATGATGAAAGGCCGCAGAACCTCCTCCCAGCCCACCAGGGCTGGCCTCATCCCCAGGAAACAAGCAGCGGGTGTCTGTAATGACTTTCCACACCAGTAAGTGGTCAGCTCCAGAAATAATTACCCACATAAGCAATTTCCCTTTTTATCTAAAGGAGGGAGGGTGTCTTTTGGGTTTGGGGAACAAAAAAATTGCTTTTCATAAGTACTCAATTTAGAATTGTTTGCTAAAATTAAGCGCTTGTTCACCAGACATTTTTAGACTGAGTAATTTTTAACCCATGCCATCTGATAAGTAATCTGTTTGATTAGTTAAAAAAAAAATACTTGCCATATTTCTGCGTGGAATAAATTAAACTTTCTCTGGTCACTGCTCTTGTAGGGAAAGTCAGTGTGCACAGCTTCTGCTGCTGTGTTAGACAATGAACAGGGCTGGTCCTTGGATGGACAGAGACACCACACCCTGCAGGGTCAGCAGGCATGAGGACTGCAGCTCTGCTCTCGGGATTACAACCCAACTGTGGAGGTGAGACCTGCGCATTTACACAAAACCATTAGGAATGGAGGGTGTCAAGAAGAGGGAACCCTTAGAACTGTTAGTGGGAATGTAAATTGATACAGCCATTATGGAAAACAGTATGGAGATGCCTCAAAAAATTAAAAACATAGCCACCATATGATCCAGCAATCCCACTTCTGGGGATATACCCAAAGAAAATGAAATCCAAATCTCAAAGAGATGCCTCCACTCCCGTGTTCACTGGCATATTATTCACAATAGCCAGGATATGGAAACAGCCTAATATCCATGGACGGATAAACAGGTAAAGAGGATGTGGTGTATACCTGTCCCCAGTGGAATTTTACTCAGTCTTTCAAAAGAAGGACATCCTGCCATTTGCAACAACATGGATGAACCTGAAGGACATCATGCTAAGTGAAATAAGCTGATCACAGAGGACAAATACCACAATATCTCACTTATCTGTGGAATCTAAAATAGTGCCACTCATAGGAGCAGAGAGTAGGATGGTGGCAGCCAGGAGCTGGGGTGGGAAAGTTGAGGAAGTGTTGGTCAAAGGGTGCAAAGTTCCAGTTATGCAGGGGGAATAAATTCTGGAGACCTCATGTCCACCATGGTGACTATAGTTCATAATACTGTATTTTATACTTGAAATTTGCTAAAGCGTAGATCTTAGGTGGTAACACAGAACAAGTTTCTCATTTCTATGGATTTATCCTAAGGGTGTATTGTAGTTGGTGCTGTAGGGGCAGCTAAAACCATAATAGAAGTTGTCCTTGCCTGAAGACTGGATGCCAGAGTTCAGGGAAAACACAGCCTCTGGAAAAGGAGGAGAATTTTGAGAGAGAAAGGGAGAGAGAGCCATGAACTCTGCCCAGATCTCTGGCTAGCTCCTGAAACATGCGTGCACAAGGAAGACACAAAGCACACCAGTGGAGAATTTACAAATTTTTCTGAGATTTGAGCTGCCACCCAATAAACAGTTTGCAGTTTGAGATCGATCAGGTTAAACAAACAAATGAACAAATAAACAGGGGTAGAGCAAAATCCAGAGTCTCCAGTTAGGCAGACTCTGGGCGGACTCTAGCTGGTCAGACCCCTGAAACTTTCCCAACCAAAAGGAGACAGGGGAAGTGACACTGTGGTACTCCCAGGCCAGGTCGCCACAGGCAACATGACTTCTGCCTCCAACCCCCGTGCTTGCCCTTCAAACCCAGCCACTGTGTTGTGAGGCAGTCCTGGCCACACGGAGAGCCCACACGTGGGTGTTTGGCCAATAGCCACACTGGGCCCTCAGCCCTCCACTTGCCAGATGTGTGGGTGAGAGCACCTTCAGATGACTCCAACCTTCAGGCTTCAGTATTCCAGCTGAAATGCCAGGCATCCCAGGAGAGACAGTCTGTCCTCACAGTGCCCTGTGTGGATTCTGGCCCACAGAAACCACAGACAGGTAATAAATTATGATTATTGTTTAACCCCCAACTGTTTGGGGGGTAATTTGTTATGCAGCAATGGATAACTAACAAGAACCTCAGGAACTTGAAAGACCACATCAAATGTTAAACATCCATGGAACTGGAGTCCCATAAAAAGAGGAGAGAAGGGGGCAAAAAATATTTGAAGATGTAATTGTCCAAAAATGCCCAAATTTGGTGAAAGACATAATTTTACAACTTTAAGAAGCTCCATAAGCCTCAAGATCAATAAATACAAAGAAAAACAAGCCAAAAAAATCTGGAACACAGCAAATGAAAAATGACACATTATATAGAGAGAAGTAGCAACTCCAGGTACTACTGACGTCTCATCAGAAACTATGGAAGCCAGAATATGGTGGAACAACCACCCAAACAAGCTAAAAGAAAAAAAATAGTCACACAAACTTATACAACCAGTAAAAAATGTCTTTTCAAGATAAATGTAAAATTAAAACATTTTCAGATAAAAGAAGGCTATAATAATTCATTGCCAACAGATCTGGACTACAAGAAATGCTAGAGGAGGTTTTTGAGGCTAAAGAGAAATAATACCAGATGGAAACTTGCACCTTTGGGAAAGAATGAAGAAATCTGAAATTGTAAATAGCTGGATAAATACAAAAGACTAATTTTCCTTTTAATTTAAGACTGTTCAAAGCATGTGACTGTTCAAAGCAAAAAGTAAAACATTTTCTTGTGAGGCTTATAAAGTATGTGGATGTAATACCTATGGCAACTATAGCATTAAAAAACGGAGGAAGGGGAAGCAGATGGACTTATTTTGCTGCAAGGTTTACAAATGTACATAAGATGTTACACTATTAACCCTAAGAAAACTCTAAGGATGTGCACTGGAATTCCATTAGCCGCCACTTAAAAATGCCGAGAGTATTTATAGCTAAAAAGTCAATAAAACCAGTACAATGGAATTCTAAAAAACATTAACATAATTCAAATGAAGGCAGAATAGGAGGAACAGAGAACCACAACAGAGGAAACAAACAGAAAACAAATAATAAAAGATGCTTAGCTGAGTGTGGTGGCACGTGCTGGTAGTCTAGCTACTTGGGAGGCTGAGATGGGAGGATTGCTTGACCCTGGGAGGCTGAGCCTGCAGTGAGCCATGATCATGCCACTGTACTCAGCCTGGGTGGCAGAGTGAGACTCTGTCCCCTGTCTCCCAAAAAGTAGGCCTAAATCCAACCATATGAACAACTACATTGAATATGAATAGAATAAACACTCCAATTAGAAGACAGATTGTCAGACAGTTTTTGAAAGCAAGATTCAACTATATACTATCTCTAAAAGATTTGCTTTATTTTTTGTCTAATTAGATTGTAGTGTTCTTAGAGATTCACTTTAAATATGAAGACATATTGATTGAAAGTAAATGAAAGGAAAAGAAAATACCATGCAAACAGTAAGTATACGAATACTAGAGAAGCTCTGTGAATATCAGATAAAATAGACATTTAGACAAAATGTATTATTAGAAATAAAGAGGGACGCTTCATAATGCTGAAGGGAAGGCTCTTCAGAAAGACCTGACAGTCGTAGAGTTGAACCCACCTTGTAACAGCTTCTGAACACATGATGCAAACATCCAGAGTTAAAGGGAGAAATAAATGATTCCACAATCATAATTAGGGACTTCAACATCCCTCAACAAAAATATCAGTAAAGACAAATATCTGAACAACACCATCCATCACCTTGACCCAAATGATGAACACTGCACCCACCGCCTGGAAAATACACATTCTTCTCCACTGCACGTGGCACATTCCACAAGAGAAAGCAGATGCTGGGCCAAAAATGAAATCCAGTGACATTAACAGCATTAAAATAAGGGTGTTGGGACCATGCGTGGTGGTTCACGCCTGTAATCCCAGCACTTTGGGAGGCCAAGGGAGGGCGGATGACCTGAGGTCAGGAGTTCAAGACCAGCCTGACCAACATGGAGAAAACCCGTCTCTACTAAAAATACAAAATTAGGCGGACATGGTGGCGCATGCCTGTAATCCCAGCTACTCAGGAGGCTGAGGCAAAAGAATCATTTGAACCTGGGAGGCAGAGGTTGCAGTGAGCTGAGATCGTGCCATTGCACTCCAGCCTGGGCAACAAGAGCAAAACTCAGTCTCAGAAAAAAAAATAAAATAAATGTGTTGGACTTGGATGGTCTCTAAGATTTACCATGTTAAACTTCAAATGAAGTGGCGTAACTCTAAGTACTAAAAGAGCTTGAGAGCGAGAGAGAGAACAACAGAGGGAGAACCCATTTCTTTATAGGTGCCATTGAGGAGAAGTTGGAGAATTAAAGCATCTCATGGGAGGAGTAAATCAGATAAAACTTCAAGGGCCTCCTCTGGCCCCATGATTCTGTGATTGTGTGTGATTTCCAGGCGCTATGCTGGGCACCTCATGCACGTGGGCTGTTTCATGCCCACAGCAGCTTTGGGAGGTAGAAAGCATGATTTCTGTCTTGCAAGCTGTTTGGAAAGATTAATTTTTCCTTCACCAGCAGTAAGTGGCAGAACCAAGGCAGGATTACAATCTCACATGATCTCAAAGCTCAGATGATTAACCACAGTCTGTATTTTTGTATTAGACCAATTGAGGCTCACAGGCAAAACTTTGATGCCCTGAAGATCCTAGAATGACTTAAAAATGATCGAAGGATGCTTTCACTTTAGCACGATTCCCCCAGCACACCATTGCCTCATTGTCTTCCTGTCCTTGCAGCCTCTGCTCCTGGAGATGGGGGGCTGGGTTTACCTGGTTCAGCAGCACTTCCCTGGAACAAACTACGTCTGGTACACAGAATAGGCAGTTAATCCATGTGAGTTAAATAAGTAAATAGAATTAACAGATAAATTGCATTTTAATGTAAGGCAAATCCTGAAATGCAAACCTCCAACTGCTGCGTGCCCCTCCAAAAACACCAGGCATCCTGGGAGAGACAATCTGTCTTCCGCAGACCCTGGCTTTCCCATGTAGACCCTTCCGGGTTTCCTCTCCTTTTTCCCATTCTGATTTTTAATGCTGGACTCACCCAAGCTGTCCTAAAACAGCAACAGGAAGTGCACGACGCACCACCTCTTCCTCACCGCTTCCTCCGGCAGGCAAAGGCTCCCTGTGCTGTCGGCATTAGTCAGGATACGTCACAGTAGCCATGGTACTAAAAAAAAACAAAAAACCCTGAACCTCAGGGGCTCACAGAAGAGGTTTCCTGCTTGCTCGTGCAACGTCCACTGGGAAGTGGAGTCCTCTTGAGGCTTGTCTCCACGTGGTGACTCAGGGCCATGCTGCCTGCATGTTGTGATGTATCATGTCCCCGACGTGGCCTTTGCTCCTGCTGCAGAGGGAAGAGAGGGCTGAGAGGCTGGTGGGATGTTTTAGGGCCAGGCCTGGACACAGGTCACACAGGAGGCCCCAGCGGACTCCAGAGAAGGTGGGACAGTGCAGTCTTCCTGTGCTCAGGAGAGGACCCAGCATGGTGAACTAAGCTGCCCCTGACACACCAGCTGGCTCAATGCTCAGCTGAGAAAACTCTTCCTTCTCACAGGGGTTTCCTGGGCAAGTCCTCCGCAACCACTCCACCCCCTCCCTCTTCTGCCTCTGGCCTCTGCTCTCCAGGGAAGTCTCCGCAGATGCCTGTCTCTCTCCCTTCCTCTGTTTCCCTGTTTCCCCTCCTTGTAAATTAAAAACTTCTCTGATTACTTCTGAAAATCATAAGAATAAGGCTAATATTCAATTTTTACAAAACAAAGTTAAGCCATAAATCTCGAAGTGCAGCTAGACATATTAATGAAACAGCACCTTTTATCTCGAACGCCCTTGGACGGATCCCGGCTTCCCTTCGGAATATCGACGGCTCACCTTCCATGGCCTCCCATGATCATGTTTTTCATTTGACCACCAGGGATCAAAATAACTTTTAAAAAAGCAATTGTATTCTGTTCTGTCTAATTACTGGTGTTTCCCCCTATGGTTTTCTACTATTAAGGGTTTCTAGGAGCCGGCCTGGGAATCTCAACGGCATTTATGACGTTGTCATTGTGGAAAACACGTTCTGAATTTGAAACAACCGGTGCACCCACACACTTCATATTTGGAAGTAAGGCCCCTTCTGTATTTTAACTCTTTGGAAAGTTGTAAAGTATATATGGTAAATGGAGTAACTTGCAACTATCTAAAATATTAACTAGAGCAATGGTTTTCTGACCATTTCGCTCAATAGAAGCTGCTGTCGTAAAGAAACTCAGACCCCTCACGTGTTCAGAAATGACGTCCCTTCCAGCAAGAGCTGGAACGTTTTCAGACCTGTCTTCAATGCCCCGCCCACAGCGGAACGATGTGGCTGGGTGTCTCAGACGCCACGGCTCACCCTGAAGCCACAAAAGCTAATAAGCGACTGAAACACGTGGAAATCCCCATACAACGCTGGAAACTGGAAACGCTGGAAACGTGCAGGCTGTTAGTGATCAGAGAAACAAACGTGCACAATGGCTCTGAGCGAACGGCAGTGCACGCAGTAATTCTCCAAACGACGGCAAAAGCTGTGTGCCAGGTTCTACCGGTAAATTTGGAGGTTTCGCAGTTGCAAGGTGTCTTCCCATCACCTCGGCAAACTTGCCTTCCTTTACCTTAAAAGCCAGTTTCTCCTTGGCTTCCAAGAGCTGGATCTCTAAATATTTTCATGTGGAAAACGAAATCCAAATAATGACTGAAAGCGCAGCCTCCCGCACGCAGAGCATCTGCCCAGGGCCACCTTCTGCTCCTCAGGCCCCGAGCCCCGGAGGGTGGAGTACGTGCCAGCCGAGGTGCCCGTCATGCCCCGAGCCCCGGAGGGTGGAGTGCGTGCCAGCCGAGGTGCCCGTCATGCCCCGAGCCCCGGAGGGTGGAGTACGTGCCAGCCGAGGTGCCCGTCATGCCCCGAGCCCCGGAGGGTGGAGTACGTGCCAGCCGAGGTGCCCGTCATGCCCCGAGCCCCGGAGGGAGTACGTGCCAGCCGAGGTGCCCGTCATGCCCCGAGCCCCGGAGGGTGGAGTACGTGCCAGCCGAGGTGCCCGTCATGCCCCGAGCCCCGGAGGGTGGAGTACGTGCCAGCCGAGGTGCCCGTCATGCCCCGAGCCCCGGAGGGTGGAGTACGTGCCAGCCGAGGTGCCCGTCATGCCCCGAGCCCTGGAGGGTGGAGTACGTGCCAGCCGAGGTGCCCGTCATGCCCCGAGCCCTGGAGGGTGGAGTACGTGCCAGCCGAGGTGCCTGAGCTCAAGTGGCCTCTGGTCACCGTCATGTGAGGATTGGCTGCGTGGGCGTGGGGCCTTTGAGCCCGCACTGGCAGAGGGCCGAACCCGGGGTGCTGGCCACTGGCCGGTGGCTGAAGGCGGGCAGCTCCCGACAATCCAAGTGCTTCATGTCCCTGGGGCTGGCGGGGAGAACAAGGGGAGGGAGGAGGCAATGGTGGAGTTAAGAGAAGGAGAAAGTGTGGGAGCGGGTGGAGAAGGGCACAGCTCCTGGCTCCTAGAACAGCGCCTGGTACAGAGGCACTCAAGTATTTGCTTATTTTAAATTAACATAATAATAGGCCGGGCGCGGTGGCTCACGCCTGTAATCCCAACACTTTGGGAGGCTAGGTGGGTGAATCACTTGAGCCCAGGAGTTAAAGACCAGCCTGGCCAACATGGTGAAAAGCCATCTCTACAAAAAAAAATACAAAAATTACCCAGGTGTGGTGGCGTGCGCCTATAATTCCAGCTACTCAGGAGGCTGAGGCTGGAGAATCGCTTGAGCCCAGTAGGCAGCAGTTGCAGTGAGCCGAGCGCGTGCCACCGCACTCCAGCCTGGGTGACGTGAGTGAAACCGTGTCTCAAAATAAATAAATAAAAATAAATGTTACATAATAAAAGAATTTTAAGTCTGGGAGATCTTTTAAAGATTATCAGTTTCCAGCCCCACACACATTCCGCCTCTCCGATGCATGCACACACACACGTGCACATTTGCACTCCCACAGATGCACACGAGGCACACACACGTGCACGGGCACACACACACACACACACACACACACAGATGTGTGCACAGACAGGGATGAGGAAGCCGTGGCCCAAAAAGCCCACCTAATTCTCCCAAGCGGACACGTAGGTGGCATCCAGGAGAAGGGGGGAATGCTCACCCAGAACCCATCAGAGCCCCACACACCATGGATGTGTGAGGAGACTCCGCTGGCCAGCGGGCACCTTTCCCAGAACAGCAGTTCCCCTGGTAGAGTGCTGGTCATCCAGTGACATGCTCAGAAGAGAGAATTCAGCCGTAAATCTGGAGGCCACGCGAACCACATTAAGGAGCCAGTGCGAGGTCCCTGCAGAACTGCTGGCCGCACCAGCCCAGGGGAGCCCTCCTCTGCTCACCTGTGCTTCTCCTAGGGACCCAACAGTGCCCAGGGATAAGAGAAGCCCCCCCAACCCAGAAGGAAGTCGCCTCCCACACGTGACAGTGCTTAACAAACGAGTCTGTCAGTCATGTCAGGCAGCTACTGTCACCCCACTTTACAGACGAGGATGCTGGGGCTCGGAGAGGTGGGTGGCTGTTCAGGTCACAGGGTCAGCAAAGCACCAAAGCTTCCAGTGAGCACTGTGTGGCTGGCTCAGACACCCCGCTTGACCCCGCCGCCTTGCTGGCTGAGGCCTCAGCCTCAGAGGAGCAGGATGACAGCCCTCGTCCTCTGCAAACAGCAGATCAGGGCAGAAGTGTTCCTTCTGCGGGGTCACCTCCTGTGGGGTGAGCAGGCCACACCTCTGTGCTCACAGATAAACCGGAGTCAGCCCACCACACGCGCTCTGTCGTGGGAAAAGCATTTTTATCCGTGCCCCTCCAGCTCGTGGACCCTGTGGACAGAGCCAGCCACGAGGCTGCGAGACACCTGGGCCAACCAGGGCTCCCGGCTCCTCCAGACGGAAGCACAGACATGCTCGGCTCACTCACGTCCTCAGAACAGGGTCTTATTTTTGTGCAGGAGCAAAACTCCACTATTTCCGAGGGACTCCTGCCATACCCCCACTCTCCTATGAAATGGAAAACTCACTTCCAACCTGATACACTCTTTTGTTGGCAGGAAGACTGGGCATGATGTCACCACAAATTCTGCCTCATTTCCAGAGGCACACAGGGCACCGCCCTGCGCAGAGGCCTCTTGAGAGCCTCCCTCCCTGCCCGGCGCAGGTCACACATGCATTGCCACCTCCTGATCGTCCTTTGTGCAGCGTTAAAGCTCCCACAATGACGCCCCATCCTTCTTTGTCTCCCACGAAGGGCCTCCTCCGTTGAATTCTGAAGGTCATTTCCAGCTGAGGCCCCAGGCCTGAGTAGTGACTAATTCGATTCACTTTGTGTTTCACTGCTGCTGTTTTGTGCCCGTCTTCACCAGGCCCAGAGCTGGAGGCTGAGCGCTGGGAAGAAGGTACTTTTCATCTTCCTGTCCAGGGTTATGTGGCTGGTGGATCCGAAGTGATGGGTTTTCAATGGCCGCTTAGCTTTCCTAGTTTTATAGGCTGTTCCCACATGTAGACGCCAAGCGCTTGTTGACACAGTCAATGAGATGCAAGTCAATACCATAAACGTTGCTGATGAGGGATTCTCCCTGCCTCCCGCCTCCTGGCATTTCGATTTTTCCAACAGCATAAAGAGGGTGTCAGTGCAAGATTAATGCAGAGCGGGAGGGGACAGGGCGTGCGGGGAGCTGCAGCCGATGTCTCCAGGCTGAGAGTGTTTCCGAGCGTGGGCCGGGGCCTCGGCTCCTCTGGCTTTTACGCCCCCCAGAAGCCAGGACTCTGAGGGTGGGAGGATGGACGTGGTCCACTCTCGGGCCACCAAAAACCGGGTCAGGGTCAAAGGGAGATGCAGCAGCTTGTTGAGTGGATGAGGGTTGTGCGGGGTCAGGGGGCAAGGGTCATGCGGGGTCAGGAGTGAGGGGGAAACCCCCTCCCAGCCCGTGGCCAGCAAGCCAACACTCATTAACACTCCATTTCTCACCCGAGCACCTGGGTGTGGGAAAGAATGAGGTTTAGCGAGTTGAGTGAGGGAGAGGGAGTTTGGAAATGGCACCGCAGATGATCGATGCTCCTAATAAGCCCTGAGCTATGAGGCCCCATGCGGACACAGCACCTCCATCGCTGGCACACCTGCCCCAACCAAGCCCTGCTTTCATTCACAAAATGCCAGGCTGGAGGGGTGGGTGGCAAGGCCCAGAGACAGACAGTGTCGCCTCTTACGGGTGCCACCCCCAGCCCTGGCACAGCCTGGGTGATGGGCACCAGGCCGCATGCGGTGAGCCGGAGCTCAAAGAGGGGTGCCAATGGGAGGGTTTCAGGCCTGGCCAAGAGTGGGTCCGCCTCAGTCCTCCCTCCCCAGCCCCCAAAATACACACATACCCCCTACATCAAAGCAAAAAGAATATGGCTGGCACCCCTCATCCGTCAGGAAGGTCTAGATGTGGCAGCAGGGCCCGGCCTCTGTCTGCAGGGGGTTTCTCCATGTTTCCTTTAATCTCCTTCAAACCACAGAGCGCACATCCTTTAGGGTGTGGGCCTGGCGGCTGCGGGACAGCCCCAGCTAGAGGTGATCCGAGGTGCCAAACATGCCTCCGCACTGCGGTGACAGTTGGACACAGCCTCCCTGTCACCATCCTCCTGTGAGCATCTGTAAACTAAATCCACTTTCAGACCCATTCCCATTAAAACAGAGCTCCTTCTGGGAGAAAAAAATTTCAAACAGCTGAGGGGTTTTTTCTTTTAATAAATAATTATGTAAATACCTTCATGGAACAAAATTCTCTACTCCATATTCAGAAATGCAAAATAAACAGCCCCCCAACCTTCAGAAACAGAGGTCAGACAGCAAGTCACCCCAAAGTGTCCTAGAAATGAAGGCAGAAAACGCATTGCTGAAGCTACAGGAATCCAGAAAAGGGGACGTCCACGCTGGTGGGAAGGTGCAGGGAGAGCAGAGGGAGGGCTGGGTCTCGGGCAGCACCCGTGAGCGGGGAGGAGGAGAGAACTCGGGGCTCTCCAGGGTGGGCAGGGAGGGGCAGGAGCTTGGCTTCACAAACCTGCCCCCGGGCTGGGCAGGGGCCACAAGCTCCGAAGTGGAGCCTGAACCCCGGTGTAGACGGGTTTGGATGTCGGGCCAAGGATTTGGAGTTTTTTCCTGGAGGCCACTGGGAGCTGTTAAATGGATTTAAACAGAGACTGGGACAGAAATAAATCAAACGTGGTGGGACTGAAACGTCTTGGCAAACAAGAGCCTGAGCTAGTGCCCAGCGGGCTGGACGGCCGGGGGTGCTCCTCTTGGCAGCCCCCGGCCCACCCCAAGCATCGCGGTATTGCCCCAACTGCCCTGCTACGGACCAATATGCCCTAGGCCTTAAACCTTTTCACCATGACTGGGGCTGCCCTGAACCTGTAGTAATGGGCCTGGAGACGTCTGTTCCTCAACTTTCATACGGTTAAAGACGACAAGGGCTGAATTCTTTCACTGCCAATAAGCACTGCCGTCACTCATACAGCGGGGAGGGTTGTCGATCGCGTGTGTTGTCTATTTCACCCATCCTGTAAGTTCACAGTTCTGCCTCAGTGCACATGCTTGGCTTTGGGAAGGACAAACAAGTTCCCAGTGACAGTGGCTGAGTCCTAGGAAGATGTATGAACGCCTGGGCTGGGAAGGAGACGCCCCCTTCCCCCTTCCCCTGTTGGAAGCCCCTCTGGTGTGCACGTGCCATGCCTTAATACAAGAAGAAGAGTTCATTAAAACGTAGTGAACTACACTGTGAGAAGGACAAACACATCTGTCTATTGCATTAGAAATAACGTGCAAGGAAGCCCCTAGAAAAAGTGTGATATAAATGTAAGGGGTTGGCCAGGCACGATGGCTCACGCCTG
This sequence comes from Homo sapiens, assembly GCF_000001405.40. Classification (NCBI taxonomy): domain Eukaryota; kingdom Metazoa; phylum Chordata; class Mammalia; order Primates; family Hominidae; genus Homo; species Homo sapiens. The sequence continues at coordinate 157,496,223 of NC_000007.14, read as the reverse complement.
TAATCCCAGCACTTTGGGAGGCCAAGGCAGGTGGATCACTTGAGGTCAGGAGTTGGAGACCAGCCTGACCAACATAGTGAAACCCTGTCTCTACTAAAAACACAGAATCAGCTGGGCATGGTGGTGCACCTGTAATCCCAGCTACTTGGGAAGCTGAGGCAGGAGAATCGCTTGAACCCGGGAGGCGGAGGTTGCATTGAACTGAGATCACGCCACTGCACTCCAGCCTGGGCAACAGAGCAAGACTCCATCTCAGATAAATAAATAAATACATAAATACATAAATGTAAGAGGCTACGCTTGTGTGGCTGGAGATTCTTGGACTTACCCAGGGGGTTTCCCACCTGCCACGTTTTTTCCCTTTCTCAATCTGCTGCACTAAAACCCCAGTCACAGCACAGCGTCCTGAGAGTGTGTTCACACCCTCTCTCCTCCACTCGGCTGGGAACAGTTTTACGGCAGGGATTCGCTTCTCGTCCCACTTGGCCTCCCGCAGCCATGCCCGTAGCAGGCAGTGGTCGGGTGCCTGCTGAATGTGGGAAACAGCACTTCCCGTCCTTCCCCGGCACTGGTGGCCCACCTTTAAAATTATTATTATTTCTATCCATCCTTGTTCCGGAGGGATCTAAGGCCTCTTTGATCAAAACTTCACAGAGACTGATTTCCCCGGACTCCTGGATTAGCTAAGAGAGCCAGAAGCTTAAAATTATAAATTTATCCACTCAATCAACAACTATTTATTCAACTCTAAGTGCTGGGAATGGATTCAGTTCCATGAAGGTCGTGAGTTTCTACATCCAACTTCACCCTTGACTTTCTGAGGAAGCCCGAATTTTGCTCATCAATCACAGGTGGTTTTGATATGAGCAAAAGCCACCCACTGTTTTCTGTATGATCAGAGGAGGATGGTGGTCAAGAAACCTTTTACTCATTCTTTGGAAAAGAGCTGCTGAAAATGCAAGTTGTATTTATCTCATCTTATCATCTCCCCAATGCTAACCCCAATAACATTTTCCAAAGGAGATATTCCATCCTAGACTTTCAGTTTCTCCATAGTATTTAAGAAAATCCATCCAACCCACCAGGGGATGCTGAGGGGGCATGCTCTACCTCCCACCAGCAGTCTGTCCTGGCAGGTCAGTTTCCAGCCCCGGGACTCAGATTGGTCAGCATTAAAATGAAGAGGTGGATGTGGCCAAAGCCCCTCCCAGCTCTGGAGCTCTGGAGCTCCGATTGTCTGTTTCATAGGAGAGGGCCGAGTGAAGCCATTTGGCCTAGGCAAATGCCCTTCTCAGTGATGCCTCTTAAAGAAACTCCCCAAGAGTGATGGGCTAGGGATTCAGTGCCACAGCCCCCAGGCCTTATCAGGCCGCTCTTCGGAGGTGGGAGGCAGACAGGACCACTTAGGCAAGGCCATGCCCCAACATGCCAGCCGTGCGGGAGCTGCATGAGTGGACAGGCTCAGGTGGCTGCTGTGGTCTGGGTATTTGGCCCTCCAAGCCTCGTGTTGAAACTGAATCCCAGTGCTGGAGGTGGGGCCTGGTGGGAGGTGTTTGGGTCATGGGGACAGATACCTCATGCATGGCTCGGTGCTGGCCTGGCCCTCGTGGTAACGAGTCAGTGAGTCTCACTCTAGTCGTCCCTGTGAAACCTGTTTATTAAAGAAACCTGGTGCCTCCCTGACTCTTGCTTCCCTCTCACCATGAGAACTCTGCACACGCAGGCTCCCCTTCACCTTCTGCCAAGAGTGAAGCTTCCCAAGGCCCTCATCAGAAGCCAGTGCTGGCACCATGCTTCCTGTACAGTCTGCAGAACCATGAGCCACATAAACCTCTTTTCTGTGTAAGTTTCCCAGCCTCAGGTGTTCCTTCATAGCAACGCAAATGGACTAAGACAGTGCCCTTGTCAACAGTTTTTCCTTCTAGTATTATTAATCCATTCATTCAGCAATTGCCTATTGGAATATGCAAGACTCTTTTATAAATGATGGGGATACGCCAGTTATGATCAGGATGAACAAAATTCCTACCCACATCCCATCATAGTATAGAGGAGAGAAAACGGGTCATGTATAAGGTCACATTGTGAAAAGGCAATGGAGAAAAATGAAGCAGGATGATACAGGGGTGCAGGGGGCAGAGAAGGCCTCTCTGAGATGGAGGGATTCGGGGAGGACTGGCTGTGGAGACAGGAACACCTTCCCAGTCAAGGAGCCCGCGAGTGTGAGGTCTGAGATGTGGATGAGAGACAGTTCCTGGAGCATAGGGGGCCTGGGCTGGGGAGGGAGTAGTCAAGATGCTGAAAAGAGATCATGCTCTGAGCAGCTCTGGGCATGAAGCAGGCAGCAGCTACTGCTGATTTGGCAAGCAAAGGTGTGGTTTGGATGTGGGAGAGGGAAGAAAGGAGAGGAGTCAAGGATGATTCTTAATATTTGGGCTCAAGCAACTCTGTGAATGACAATGTCACTGAGATGGAATTCTGGCATAAATGCCTTGTTCTAGAACAGTCTATAATTCTATTTTTTTTTTCAGAGGCAGAAAGCTTCCCTGGGCTCTTTCCCACTAAGTGGCTGTCGTTGGCACCCCCAGCTTTGACTGCTTCCCGCAGGAATGGCCCTCGAGGAGGAAATGGAGACCACTTCTGTCTGTGGTGTCTGCCTCCTCCCTCCCTCTAGGAGACGTTCTCCTCCCTGGTTTACAGACGGCACAAACGGAAGAAGAAGAAGATAAAAAGCCCAAAGGTGGGAACAAGGTGTGTGTGGCCTGGCCCCACTTGCCTTTCTCTTGTCCTCAGCTTGCACTGTGGCTCCTGAATGTTTGCCTCTTTCCTTCATCATCAGTAGCTCTGAGGCTTCAGGCTCCAATTTGTCCCTGGAGATGTTCAGCATCTTCCTAGAAGGGATATGGTAATGTCCAGAAGCATGTCTGGGACTGGCCCTCACAGGAAAGACACAGCAGAAACGTGAATTTCAGCACCAGCGAGAAGACAGCACCTCACACTGTGTGCCCAAGACAAGCCTTTAGGAACTCTCAGTGCCAGGCAGAACCCAAGCTCCCACACCGGGTGTCTGCCTGTCTGACTGGTTCTACCCGAGATGCCAATGCTGACATCAGTGCTGAGGGCAGCTGATCGTTGTCTTAACACACTTAAAGGGCACCTCCCAGCTATCTGCTGCCCCTGTTCCTCTGGACTGGAGATTTTAGTAACTGCAAGAGTATCAAATTTTATGTTGATCCCTGGAAAAATGTATTAAATGACAGCTTGGGGGTTTGTTTTTTGTAAAGAATGTGCAGCATTTAATAAGACCAGTATTATACAATTCCAAAACAAGACAAAGATGTCACAAGAAAACAAAACTACAAAGCAATATCTCTTATTAATATGGATGCAAAAATCCTCAACAAAATACTAGCAGATTGAATTTAGCAGCTATAATAAGAATTACATTCTATGACCAAGTGGGATTTATCTTAGGAATACAAGATTGGTTGAGCATTTTAAAATCAATTAAGGTAATACCTCATATCAACAGAACAAAAATCACATGATCATCTCAATACATGCAGAAAAAAAGCATCTGACAAAATCCTAACCTCATTCCATGATAGAAATGCTCAACAAACTACTAATAGGAAGTTCTCAACCAGAGAAAGGGCATCTATGGAAAACCCACAGCTAAAATTATACTTCATGGTGAAATACTGAATACTTCCCCACAAAGGTCACAAAAAAAGACAGATATGTCCACTCTCACCTTGCTGTTCACCAATGTATTGGAGTTTCCGGGGCAATTAGGCAAGAAAAAGAAAAGGCATTCGGTTTGAAAAGGAAGACGTAAAACTATCTATGTTTGCAAATAACATGGTCCTATATACAGAAAATCCTAAGGAATTCACTTAAAAACTATTAGAACTAGCAAATGAGTTTGGAAATATAGCATAATACAAGATGGATATTGTAAAAACCAATTTTATTGCTATATACTTGCAATGAGTGATCCAAAAACTAAATTAAGAAAATAATTCCTAGTAAACTATCGCAAGAACAAAAAACCAAACACCGCATATTCTCACTCATAGGTGGGAATTGAACAATGAGAACACATGGACACAGGAAGGGGAACATCACACTCTGGGGACTGTTGTGGGGTGGGGGGAGCCGGGAGGGATAGTGTTAGGAGATATACCTAATGCTAAATGACGAGTTAATGGGTGCAGCACACCAGCATGGCACATGTATACATATGTAACTAACCTGCACATTGTGCACATGTACCCTAAAACTTAAAGTATAATAATAATAAAATAAAATAAAAAGAAAATAATTCCATTTGCAATGGCATCAAAATGAATAAAATACTTGGGAATACATATGACAAAACAAATGTAAAACTTATACTTGGAACCCTACAAAACATTGTTGAAAAACTTTAAAGAAGTTTTAAATAAATTGAAAGACATCCCATGTTCATGGATTGAAAGACTTGACATTGTTACAACGGCAGTGATCCCTAAAATGATCTACCAATTCAACACAATTCCTTTCCGAATCCCAACTGATGTCTTTGTAGAAATCAAAAAGCTGATTCTGAAGGTCATATGGAATTGCAGGAAACCCAGAATAGCCAAAACAATCTTGGAAAAGGAGAACAGAGTTGAAAGACCCACACTTCCTGATTTCAAAACTTACTAAAAAGCAACAGTAATCAAAATAGTGTGGTACTGGCTTCATTATGGATTAGAACTGAAAGTCTAGAAATAAACTGTCCCATCTATGGTCAACTGATTTCCAACAAGGGTGTCAAGACTTCTCAGTGGGGAAAGAATAGTCTTTCAACAAATGATGCTGGGACAACTGGATTCCAGTGGAGCCACCTATAAAACAAGAGAAAAAAATAAAACTGAACCCTTACCTCACACCATATAAAAAAATTAACTCAAAATGGATGAAAGACATAAATGTAAAAGTTAAAGCTATAACATCTTAGAAGAAAACAGGGGGAATCTTCATGACCTTAGATTTGACAAAGAATTCTTTGATATGACACCAATTGCAAAAGCAAAAAAAGAAAATACTGAAACACAATATTTCAAAAAAATTAAAAACCTTTATGCTTCAAGGGATATCATTAAGAAAGTGAAAAGACAGCCCAAAGAATGAAATAAAATATTTTCAAATCTTGTATCTGAAAAGGGACTCATTTCTGGAATACATAAGAAATTCTTACAACTCAATAATAAAAGAGACAAATAATCCAACTTTTTAAATGGCCAATGAATCTGAATAGACATTTCTCCAAGAAAGATATTCATATGGCCAATAAGCACATACAAAGATGCTCCACTTCACTAGTCATCAGGGAAATGCAAATCAAAACCACAATGAGATACCACTTTCCACTTCCTACCCACTAGGATGGCTAGAGTCGAAAAAGTCAGATAACAGGAAGTATTGGTGAGGATGTGAAGAAATCAGAACCCTCACGCCTTGCTGGTGGGAATGTAAACTGGTGTTGCTGCTTTGGAGAACAGTCTGACAGTTCCTCAAATGATTAAACATAGAGATACCATGACTCAGCATGTCAGCTCCTAAGCACACACCCAGAGAAACGCAAAACCTATGTCCACACAAAAATTTAAACATGGCCAGGCGCGGTGACTCACGCCTGTAATCCCAGCACTTTGGGAGGGCAAGACGGGTGGATCACGAGGTCAGGAGTTCAAGACCAGCCTGATCAACATGGTGAAACCCCCTCTCTACTAAAAATACAAAAATTTGCCAGGCACAGTGGCGGGTGCCTATAATCCCAGCTACTCAGGAGGCTGAGGCAGGAAAATTGCTTGAACCTGGGAGGCGGAGGTTGTACTGAGCCAAGATCATGCCACTGCACTTTAGCCTGGGCAACAGAGCAAGGCTCTGTCTCAAAAAAAAATTAAATAAAATGTAAACATGAATGTTAACAGCAACATTACTCATAATAGTCAAAATATGGAAACAACCCACATGTCCGTTGACAGACAGATCAATAAAATGTGGTAGCTTCATACACTGGAATAGTATCAAACCATAAAAAGGAATGACACACACTACAACGTGGATGAAGCTTGGAAACATGATGCTACCTGAAGGATGCCAGACATGAAGGGCCACATATTAAAAACCATCTAATGGTACACTTTTCTTTTTTCTTTTTTTTGAGATGGAGTCTCACTCTGTTGCCCAGGTTGAGTGCAGTGGCGCAATCTCAGCTCACTGCAGCCTCCACCTCCCAGGTTCAAGCAATTCTCCTGCCTCAGCCTCCCTAGTAGCTGGTATTACAGGCACCTGCCACCACACCCACCTAATTTTTGTATTTTTAGTAGAGCTGGGTTTTGCCATGTTGACCAGGCTGGTCTCAAACTCCTGACCTCATGTGATCTGCCTGCCTCAGCCTCCCAAAATGCTGAGATTACAGGCGTGAGCCACCATGCCAGGCCTAATTATACATTTTAAATGTGTGAATTGCATGCACAAGATTTATATCTCAATAAAGCTGTTTTTTAATGTTAGATACAAACTTTTTTTTTTTTTGAGATGGAATCTCACTCTGTCGCCAGGCTGGGGTGCAGTGGCACCATCTTGGCTCTCTGCAACCTCTGCCTCCTGGGTTCAAGCGATTCTCCTGCCTCAGCCTCCCGAGTAGCTGGGACTACAGGTGTGTGCCACTACGCCCAGCTAATTTTTGTATTTTTAGTAGAGACGGGGTTTCACCATGTTGGCCAGGATGGTCTCGACCTCTTGACCTCGTGATCTGCCCGCCTCGGCCTCCCAAAGTGCTGGGATTACAGGCATGAGCCACCATGCCTGGCCCTAAATACAAACTTTTAGCATGTTAAAATCCACCAAACCAGCCCAGTCGGGCTATGTATCAATTTCCCACGGCGGCCATAACAAATTGCCACAAACTGGATGGCTTAAAATGATAGAAATTTACTGTCTCACGGTTCTGGAGGCTGGAAGTCTAAAACCAAAGCCCCTGGAGGGCCAGGTCCCTGCTGGAGTCGCTGGGGGAGGGTAATTCCTGCCTCTCCCGGCCTCTGCTGCTGCAGGCCAGCCCTGGTGTCCCCTGGCTCGCAGATGTGTCGCTCCAGCCTCTGCCTCCATTGTCTCCCGGTGTTCTCAGAACCCTCCTGGGTCTGTGTCTTCACGTGACCTTCAAATAAGGACACCAGTCATTGAGGCAGGGCCCACCCTAACCTAGTATCACCTCATCTTCACCTGAGCACATCTTGTAATGGCCCTATTTCCAAATAAGGTCACACCCACAGGTACTGGGGGTTAGGCCTTGATTATACCTTTTTTTTTTTTTTTTTTTAGTGTAGAGTGCAGTGGTGCTCTCTACACCCTCAGGCACGAGCCACCACACCCAGCTTGCTTATTTATTTATTTATTTATTTATTTATTATTTATTTATTTTGGTAGAGAAGGGGGTCTCGCTATGTTTCCCAGGCTGGTCTTGAACTCCTGGGCTCAAGTGATCCTCCTGCCTTGGCCTCCCAATGAACATATCTTTTAGGAGTACATGATTCAACCCACCACAGGCCGCGAGAATTTGACTGCACGGGTTTCGTCAGTGCCTCCCTCTTTGGCTGGAGGAGCGCCGCTGCTGGAGCACGACGCTGGTGACGGGGCGTGCAGTGAGGTGACGCGGGGAACAAAGAGCCGCCGCCGGAGGGGCTTCGGCGTGCCCAGTGCACAGGCTGCCTCCCTCGCGGGGCCGCTGATTGCGAGCTGAGTCATGTGCCTCTCTGCATTATTTTCTTTGTTTTCATTGATGTGTTTTATGTTCAACGTCAGGCTTGTTTGTTTGCTTGCTTGTTTGAATTAAGGCTTTGGCTCCAGAAACACTGAGCATTCCCGGTGCATTTTCCAAGAACTGTTGAAGGGACTCGACTTTACTTTCTGTTCTCATAACTTAGACTTGGGAATTGGCCCTAGGAAGGGTTTTTTTTTTGGAATGAAGCACTATCCTAACATAGGGGGAAGATTCCATTTCTCAAACCGTGGCCTGGGAGACGTGGGCTTGGGAATTGCTGCTGTTCATACAAACTCTGGCTTCAGATTCCGGGGGCTGCAGCCCCTCCTCTAGGGAAATCTTCACACAGAATCCACACCCCCGAGCTGGGCCACTGCATGTATTACCTTCATCTGCTCTCCCGTGTGCCGCCCCGGCTCTCCCGTGTGCTCTCCCCGGCTCTCCCGTGTTCCCTCCCCGGCTCTCCCGTGTGCCCTCCCCGGCTCTCCCGTGTGCCCTCCCCGGCTCTCCCGTGTGCCCTCCCCGGCTCTCCCGTGTGCCGTCCCCGGCTCTCCCGTGTGCCCTCCCCGGCTCTCCCGTGTGCCCTCCCCGGCTCTCCCGTGTGCTGTCCCTGGCTCTCCCATATGCCGTTTCTGGCTCAAGTCCTCAAGGCAGGAACACGGCTGAGCCTTCTTTGCCTCTCAGCACATGATGGGAACTTTTTTGGATGCTCCGTGAAAGTATCTGTTGGATAAAAGACTCAGCTCATGAACACGTGATGGGGACAGCCGAGTCCACGCCTCGTCACGGCCGCATAGACACTCTGGTTAACGACTCTGGGTCACTCTCATCCACCGTGATATCCGAGAAGCACCCCTTGCTTCTCCAGAACCTGGGCCAGGCCCCTGCCCGCCCTGGTCTTCATCTCCCCTGCGTGGGAACTCGGGCTCCCTCTTAGACCTCTCTTCTTTTCGTGGGTAGCCATGGGCTGCAGGCTCCCTGGGCTGCATCTAGAATGGCCCTCCCCTGGCCCCTCTCCCAAGGCTCTGGGGCCACTGCTGACCTCAAACCTCCCCCCTCCTAAAAGGCCAGGTGTCTCGTGCCTGGTCCGAGGCCAAACTGACCCCAGGGGTGAGGACTGGACCTGGCACTGCAAACCTCCTGATCAGCCTTCCCAGCCCCACCAGTGCAGCCTCATCCTAAAGGAGGTGCTGGGCCACACGGGAAAAGGGGACTTTGACAAAGGGCAGAACATCGGCCCAGTGGCGGAGGACACGTCAGCCCCCCAACTTAACGCGGTGCGGGAATAACAGGGGCTCTAACAGTGGAGAGGGTTGAGAAGGTCAGGAGGCATCATCAGGAGAAAAGCAATATGAATTTCTAAGCAGCAACATCTGGGAGATCAAAAAAATCCTACTTCAATCACCACAAAAATCTCTGCTCATTACACACAATCATATTTAGTTATTAATAGACAGCGGCTAGACACTGACATTTTGCACACTCCACCCGAGATGTGCCGGGGACGCTTCTGGCATGAGGTTTGTCATTTTCATCAGTGTCTTCCACGGATTGACCGATCCAACCCCAAAATCTCACACTGTCACTCATCATAAGTGAATTTATCAACACGTACGTAATCAGAATACACATGAGAGTTTAACTGTTTGCATACGAAATTACTTCATTCTTCACGCTTCAAAAAAATTCAATTTTGCATAATAAATAATGATAAGGGCCAGTTGACAATTATATAGGTGGGAATAGTATGTGGAAATGATTGGAATTTCAATGGGCTGTGTGGATCTATCTGGAGGTTGCCTAAGTAATCAGCCGCCAAGACGGCTTCTCTCCATTGTTGGGGGTTAATACAAAGCTCTCAACTCCTATTAGAGGCAGCCTTACTTAAACTGCAAATTGGCACATATCCTATTAGTATTTTCCTCCTGTGACACATTCTCCAGCTGACTTAGACGCACAGTCAGGCGAATATTAAAATTAGGCTATTATATTTATGCAGAGAAACAGCAGCTTGTCTCAAAAAAATCTTATGGGGACACCACACATACACACACACACACACACCCCTCCAAACAAATGCCACAACCAGGCCTGCCCCACACAAAGGAACCCATCATGCGCTGACCAGCCAACTCCGAGGCAGTGTTTCCCCAGCCCAGAATGCTGTTGAGTGACCCCAGTGTGGATAATCACACCCAAGAGCGAATGAGGGCGAAGCTTGTCCTCACTTCTTCCAAGGACAGCTGTCTCCACGACAGCATGATATGATTTCACTTCTGATTACAATGGTTTAATAGGGGTGTTGTCATTTGGTTCATTAATTAGCTGCATCCCTGCATATTCTAGCCTGGTTATTGCACCCGTGGTTACTGCACAAAAATGACCCTGTCCCCTGCAGCTCTGCAACTCCCTCTGACCATGAGGGCGGGTGGAGGTCCCACGGCATCCACACTATTTTAAAGGGGCGAGGAGTCAGAGGGCTTTGGAAAAAATTAACCTTATTAGTAATTAAAAGACAAACCCACACACTTTTAAGTCATGGTAAGAGCTCTTGTCTGCTGAAGGTGTATTATCTGCAAAATTTCTCCACGGACGTGTTTTCACATTGCTGCCCCCTGAAAATGTGAGACACTTTCTAGTCTGTGATGTGGTGGCCCCTGAGCCCACCCATGGTCAGCGGGCTCGTCCATCTGGGGGTCACGTGCTGCATTCTGGACACTGTTCACCGCCCACCACTTTGAGTCCTCCTGTGCATGCTGCTTGGAGGCTGATGCCACTCTCCACTGATGGGGGGAAGGAAATCAAGACCCTAAGAGAGTAAGATCACCACGGCTTCCGCTGGGTGGAGCTGCCCGAGTACATCATCCCAGCACAGGACCTCATGCCTCCTTTAACCCTCCCATCTCAGGACACCACAGCATCCTGCCAGAGGCTCGTTACCAAAAGGGCGTGCCCGCGTAGGGTCTACACCCCACACTGGGTTCAAAAAGGAAAAACAGGACTCAGCACCTGGGTTTCCACAGATGTGTGCAGAAGTGAATGTTGCCTGCTCCAGACCTCTGCCGGGGGCAGGAGAGGAACGTGCCTGCCTTCAAAACCCGGCCCACACTCAACAAAAAGGGAGATGCCACCACTTAACCCCAAAGAACAAACTGGCAGTCAGTGGAAATAGGAGTGACCTCATAGGAACTGGGCTGTTCATCCAGGAGCGACAGAGGAGGCATTGGGAAGACACAACAGAACATGGTTTCTTAGCACGTTCACTAAAATCCGGCCTGAGACAGGACGGCCCTCGAGTAGCCATGATCCCAGGTGCTAAGACACTCCGGGCTGACCCTCAGCGGCTTCTTCTCTTCCTACACACTTGCACAGGAGAAGGAGAGGCCTGGCTGCATGTGTGGACTCAGCAGAGAGCCCCCGGTGAACCCACCCTTCTGCTCAGAGGGAGGCTACACCCCAGCAGGGCTGGGTCAGCTGTGCACCCCCAGGCACAGGTCTCACGTCCGGGGACTGCATCTCCAACACGACAGCCACAATCAGAGCTCACAAGCGCTCAAGTCACAACATCGGGACGCTGGAGACGTCGCGGCGACAGACAGAGAGCTCCACCTTTCTGCTGGGCGATGCTGCTCTGGTGTTTTGCAGAGCCTGCCACACTCAGCTACCTGGGGTGAATTTCAGTGAAACGTGGTGCCCTGGTCCACGGCTCCAAAACATCACTAACGTGACCACAAGGGAGAAACCCGATGGGGAGAAGACAGCAGGTGCCGGAGGTCAAGAGAGCTCGGGCTGGTAGAAAGCTGAGCAACTCATCGTGGCAGTGACGATCCCCAGGGAGCTGCCGCGGGAGGTGCAGTGAGGCACAGCAGGAGCGCCATGGGTGCTGCGGGGATGCGGAGGTGCATAGGGGTGCAGTGGGCACAAGGGATGCCCTGGAGGTCAAAGTGGGGCGCAGTGGCGATGTAGGAGGGGTGCAGTAAGGGGTGCAGTGGGGATGTGGGGGTGCAGTGGGCTGTCGAGGACCAGTGAGGTGGCCGCCCAGCCACCCACCCCACCTAGAGGGGTGTTCCGTGGGTGTTTTCAGTTCACCCATGCTGGAGAAGCCTGAGGCCGAAAGGCAGGGCGTGGGGAGGGATGAAAGCCTGGGGTGCGGGTGAGGCTGCAGCCTCTGGGAAGCCAACTTGGCTGGAGGTGAGCAGGAGGGCGCTGCTGCCCTGGCTGTGGGATGGGCACCTCCGCAGTGGGTCTCACTGAAGGCCCCGCCAGCCCAGCAGAAAGCCCCGAGGTCAGGTGACCCCTCAGAGCTGCCTGGGTGGGGCCTGGACATGGTGTGCCCACAGTCACGGGACCAGAGGGAGTGGCCCCAACGGGCAGGTCTCTGGAGTTGAGACAATTCCCAAAAGGGGTCAGTAAGTCCTTTACCCTGGGGGGTCTGGGCCTGTAGCACAGCAAGAGATGGGGCCAACCCCTGGACCCCGAGACCCCAAGGACAGCTGTGGGCAGGGAGAGAAGCCTCATGACCAGGGCCACCAGCAAAAGTACACGGGGCTGGGACCCCCCCTCACCCGCACGCGGGGTCGGGAAAACCCCTCGCCTGCACGCAGGGCCGGGAGCCCCCTCACCTGCACGCGGGGCCGGGAGACCCCTCACCTGCACACCGGGCCGGGAGCCTCCCCTTGGCTGCACAGGGTTCCGCACAGGGAGCCGGGAGCCCTCGCCATTGCGTGCAGACGCCAAGCAGCACGGCCCAGGCCGCACAAGGCATCGCAGGCCCCTGCAAGGACGCTGGACTCCCGGGGAGCAGGTCCCTGGATCTGAACCGTGAGGTTCCCAAGTGGGTGTCCGCAAGGGGCCCATGAGCCCTGCCCACGGACTTCAGAGAGCCCCGGCATCAAACCCCAGGAGATCCCTGGGTGCCTGAGCTTCAGGACACAGATCAGTGTACTATTTGCTCTGTGGAACAAAACCACGGGGAGAAGGAAACTAATGGAAAATATCAGCAGAATGTTCAGAGAAATCAGAGAAAATGTGACATCCATGAAACAAAGGCAAGATGCCATCTTACACACCCAAAAGAACGCTCGGGAATTAAAAACAGCCCCGTGGCAGTAGAAGCAAAATCTTTCTGTGGGGGGAGCGGGGAGGGACAGCATTAGGAGAAATACCTACTGTAAATGACGAATTAACGGGCGCAGCACACCAACATGGCACGTGTATACATATGTAACAAACCTGCACGTTGTGCACATGTACCCTAGAACTTAAAGTATAATAAAAAAAATAAAAATTAAAAATAAAAAAAAGAAAGTTTGGAAGACAAAGCTGAGGAAATCTCCAAGTACCAAGAAAAACTGAAAACAGGAGAAAAGGGATAAGAAAAATGCAGAAATCCGTCGAGGCAGCCCCACGAGTTAAATAAACTAGGAGATCAGAGTCAGAGGAAGGGACCAGAGGTGCTCAGAGAAACACCCCGAGAAACTCCCCAAGCCAGGGGTGAGCAGGAGCCCCAAAGGGAGAGAGAGGCTCAATATCCATCCAATGAATGAAACCCACACCACACACACAACACACACACAACACACACACCACACACACACAACACACGACAAACACACACCACACACACCACACACACCACACACACACCACATGACACACACACCACACACACCACACACACACACCACACACCACACACACCACATGACACACACACCACACACACACACCACACACACACCACACGACACACACCACACACACCACACACACCACACACACACCACACACACCACACACATGACACACACCACACACACACCACACAGACTACACACCACACACACCACACACACCACACACACACCACACACACGACACACACCACACACCACACATACCACACACACCACATGACACACACCACACACACCACACACCACACATACCACACACACCACACACCTCACACACACCACACGACACACACCACACACACCACACACACCACACCACACACCACACACACGACACCACACACACACCACACACACCACACACACCACACACCACACGACACACACCACACATATGACACACATCACACACAGCACACGACACATCACACACGACACACAACACACAATACACATAACAGGCACACCACACATACACCACAAGACACACATAACTTCCTACACATAACACACCAGATGACACACATCACACCACACACAACACAACACACAACACACATGACACACACAGCACACAACAGATGACACACCACACATGACACGACACACGACGCACATAACACACATCACATACATGACACAACACACAACACACACACAACACAACACACGACACAATACAACAGGCACACCACACATACACAACAGGCACACCACACATACACCACACAATACACATCACACACTACACACAACAGACACCATAGGACACATCATACACAACACACAACACACACCACACGACACATATAACACACAACACACACGACACAACACATGACACACCACACAACACATGTGACACAACACATGACAACACACTACACACACAACAGACACACCACACACACACACAGATGCGCCACACACAACACATGACCCAACACACAGGACACACGACACACACAACACACACACAACACACGACACAACAGGCACACCACATATACACAACACACACCATGCACACTGCACACAACACACCACATGACATTGCACACAACACACACCACACGACACACAACACAAACCACACACACACCACACATCATCACACACAACACACACACCAGTCACACCACACATACACTACACGACACACACAGGACACACACCACACACACTACACACAACACATACACCACACGACACACACCACACACAACACGACACACAACACACAATAGGCACACAAGCACACCACATACCACACACACCACTCACATACCACAAACACACACACTACAAACAACACATATCATAACACATACCAACACCACACACACACGACACACACCACACACACAGCACACACTATATACCACACACCCCACACACACTTACACACGCATTCACATTACACACCCAGAGTGGTCTACACATGAGTGCTCCACGTAGGGAGCTGTCTACACAGCATGTAGTCTCACAGCTGAAGGATCTGGAATGGGGCAGGTGCCTCTTCCAGTTTTGCTTATTGGGTGGCTCATGGACATCATGTTAGGAATAAGGCGGCCCTGGAGGGACCCTGAGGCTAGGCACTGGGTCTTTTCTGGAAGCCCCTCTTGACACAGGCAGCAGGATTATGGGAATGCCGGACAGCTCATGGTGCCCACTGACCTCCCAGAGTCAGCACTGGCCACGCTTTGCCTCACTGTACTCTCGGGGGCTCAGCATTTCCTGGGTCCCACATCAAATACTGTGTCTCAGTGCCCAGATCCCAGCAGAGCACACAGTGGACAAGACGCTCACTCACGATGCTCTTGGCTCCCTCCCTGAGCTGGGGCAGGACAATCTGGGGACAGGCGTCCTCCCCAGGCAGCAGCGGGCGGTGGTTCTCCCGGGAGTGCTTGGGCTGGACCTGGGTGCAGACCCAGCTCCCCTTGTCAGAGCCCGGTGCCTGGGACAAGAACTCAGCCTCTCTGGGCTTTGCTTCAGTGGCCATTCAGAGCAGACAATCAGCATCTACTCAGGGGACGAGGACCCCCCGCACCCTCAACATGGACCACGCCGGGGATGCGCAGGGGGCTTGGTGCCGACCAACCACACCTCTCCCTCTCTGTGACCGCTGCCGCACACAAGCTGATGTGGCCGTGAGCACACGACCCCAGGGAGCCCGTCCCAAGGCTGATGCTCACAGAGTGTTCACAGACAGAGTGCTCACCCAGACAGAGTGCTCACCCAGAGTGCTCACCCACAGAGTGCTCAGAGTGCTCACCCACAGAGAATGCTCACATACAGTGCTCACATACAGAGTGCTCACAGGAGTGCTCACACACAGAGAGTGCTCACCCACAGAGTGTTCACACAGAGTGCTCACATACAGAGTGCTCACAGAGGAGTGCTCACACACAGAGTGCTCACCCAGAGTGCTCACATACAGAGTGCTCACATACAGAGTGCTCAGAGTGCTCACCCAGAGTGCTCACCCAGAGTGCTCACCCACAGAATGCTAACCCACAGAGTGCTCAGAATGCTCACCCACAGAGTGCTCAGAGTGCTCACCCACAGAGTGCTCAGAGTGCTCACCCAGAGAATGCTCACATACAGTGCTCACATACAGAGTGCTCACAGGAGTGCTCACACACAGAGAGTGCTCACCCACAGAGTGCTCACACAGAGTGCTCACATACAGAGTGCTCACAGAGGAGTGCTCACACACAGAGTGCTCACACACAGAGGCGTGCTCACACAGAGAGAGTGCTCAAATACTGCTGATGTATGAATAAAGTGAGAACAGTTCCCAGAAGTATGGCCGGGCATGGTGGCTCCAAGTTGGGTGGATCGCTTACGGCCAGGAGATGGAGGCCAGCCTGGCCAACATGGTGAAACCCTGTCTCTACTAAAAATACAAAGAAATAAAAATAAAAATTAGCCAGGCATGGTGGCGGGTACCTGTAGTCCCAACTACTCAGGGAGGCTGAGGTACAAGAATCGCTTAAACCTGGGAGGTGGAGGTTGCCATGAGCCTAGATCGCACCACTGCACTCCAGCCCGGGCGACAGAGCAAGCCCTGTCTCAAAAAAAAAAAAAAAAGAAAAAGAAAAAGAAAAGTTCCCCGAAGTGAAGAGAGAGAGGAGCTAAAAGCCACAGTGTTCCTGGACACCGCACTGCCCGAGCACTGCAGGGCTCCCTGCCAGAGCCACGGGTCTTGCTGACCTGTCCAGGAGCAGAGAACGAGGCCTTGGGGCCCTGCAAAGATGAGGAGGCTGAATGTCAGCGCGGTCAGACAAACGTGAGCGGAGGGACCACTCTGCAAAACAATGGACTCAGACTCTTCAAAAATGTCACCGTCACGAAAAGCAGAAAATAAAAGGCTAAGGAATTGTCGTAGAACAAGAAAGGACACCAGGAAAGCTAAATGCAGGTGGATTGAATGTTTGATTTTTAAAAAGAGCTACGAGGGAAATTACGGAAATAGTGAAGAATGTTGAATGTGGCTGATATCAAATCGTAGACATGTAGCAGCGGAAAATTTCCGGCACATGGAGCCTGTCTTTGTTCTCAGGAGAAACAACTCAAGTGCAGTTGGCCTGTGAACAGCACAGGTGTGAGCTGGGCAGGTCCACTGATACACGGGTTTTCTTCCACCAAGACAGCACAGCCAGCCTCTCCTCCTCTTCCCCTCCTCAGCCTGCTCCACCGGCAGACGGCCAGAATGAAGACCTTTATGAGGATCCACTCCCATTTTAAGAACTGTAAACGTGTCTTCTCTTCCTTAAGATTTGCTTAATAGCATTTGCTTTCCTCTAGCTTACTTGTAAGAACACAGCATACGATACACATAACATAAAAAACGGCCAGGTGCGGTGGCTCAGGCCGGGCGCGGTGGTTCACGCCCGTAATCCCAGCACTTTGGGAGGCCAAGGCGGGTGGATCACTTAAGGTCAGGAGTTTGAGACCAACCTGGCCAACATGGTGAAACCCTATCTCCACTAAAAATACAAAAATTAGCCGGGTGTGGTGGCACGCGCCTGTAATCCCAGCTACTCAGGAGGCTGAGGCAGGGGAATCACTTGAACCCAGGAAGCAGAGGTTGCAGTGAGTTGAGATTGAGCCACTGCACTCCAGCCTGGGCAACAGAGTAAAACTGTCTCAAAAAAAAAAAAGAAAGAAAGAAAGAAAGAAAGAGAGAGAGAGAGAGAGAGAAAGAAAGGAAAGAAAAAAAGAAGGAAAGAAAGAAAGAAGGAAGGAAGGAAAGAAGGAAGGAAGGAAGGAAGGAAGGAAAGAAAGAAAGAAAGAAAGAAAGAAAGAAAGAAAGAAAGAAAGAAAGAAAGAAAGAAAGAAAGAAAGAAAGAAAAAAAGAAATATCAGGTATGTAAGGACGTGTGGCCTCTTTTTCATCTTTATTTCAAAGTCCTTGAACAGGTATTTTCTTCATGTCGAACTGCCCCACAGAAAAGCTGTTAACTCCAATTCCTGATCATTTCTTCTTCAACCGCTCTCTGAAAGTGAAAGTGAGATTGCTCAAAATAACAAAAGTTATGCAGGAAAGAAACTAAGTTGTTCACCACCAGCAAATGCCTCAATGTCACGGCATCCCTGTTGTGAGGAAAACCAGTTAACTCGCAGTCTCTGGTCCCCGTGAGACGGTCCAGGCTTCACGGGGTGTGCGGAGCTCATGGCAGACGGCACAGGATGAGTGTGACTTGTGCCCCGAGGAGCACCCGTCAGGGGCGGTCCTGCAAGCCTCCTCTGCTCAGGTCCTGTGAAGGCACTGACGGAGCTGCCCCAAGTTTGCAGCGTCCCCAGAGGCCCAGCCTTTGCCACCCACTCCCACCAGGATGCAGCCCTGCCTCTCGCCAAGCTCCGCGTGGTCCACACTCCTGCCTCCCCTCCTTTCCCACACCTCTCTCCGAGGCTTTCTCGGCTGGGGACATGGGCAAGGGGAGAGAGCTGAGAGCTGAGCCTCTGGGAAACCCGGTGCCTGCCAGGGGCACATGAGTTGTGAATATGGCCCCAAGGCCATGTGGGGTGTCCCAGAATTAACAAAGGCTTCCCAGCCCCTCCAGCAGCTGGGTGTGGAGGACTCAGTTCTCCCAACAGGAACAGAAATGAACAAAATGTCAACAGGAGCCTTGCCGCTTTCAGTTCTGGGGGCTTTCCCCGAGGGGTAGTAGACTCCTGGCTTCTCCATCTTCTTCTTCCTCTCTCCAGCCTGCTGCTGGGACACAGGAGCCCTGTCCCACACTGTGAGCACAAGGCCACACCATGCCTTCTCCTCCACCCTCCGCATGTCTCGGCCCTTCTTTCTATTTGTTTGGAAAGGAGAGCTGCAGGGGCCATCCTGACAGGCTGGGATGTGTAGCCTCTGACCAGAAGCCAGAAACAGGCACGTCCAGGGAGGGGTAAAGGGAAGGGAACTGATGCTGAGCCAGTGGCTGAGTATACATTCTCAACACGCTATAGGAGGAGTCACCAATATTCACGAGAGGAGACATACGTATGTGCAAAACAGCTGCTTGCCCCTCATGGGTCCCATGTGCAAAAGTGGTGGTGTTATCACGGCCCGAGGGTGGAGTTTCCAGCCCTCTGAGGTCTAAAGGTGAAGCAGCAGACACAAAAACCCTCCCTGCGCATCCTCCGCAGCCTGTCCGGAACCAGCCTGTGGTCATCCGGAACCAGCCTGTGGTCATCCGGAACCAGCCTCTGGTCAGTGGTCTCTTACCAGGCAGGAAAGGAGGGGTGGCATCAGGCAGGTGGTTGGTGCCAGCGGTGGAGTCTTTTGGAGGAGCCAGTTTCTGTTAGGCCCCCAGGAAGAAATCCTAATGGGGTTATAACAAGGTGCTTCTGACCTCCTATCCTATCAAGGTCGAGAACTCAGATTTCAAAGTTAGCCTGGGCATCCCTGGCCTTCTTGCCCTGCGCTCTGCCCCCAAAGCCCAGGCCAAGGACAGCTTCGACCAGCTCCATGCCTGCTCACCTTTGGTTGAGTTTGGCTGAAGCAGAGCCTTGGGAGAAAAGAAGAGGAAGGGAGACAGAGGCCAGGTTGGAGAGGTCCTCTTGGGCTGGCCATGTCTTCAGCAGAAGACCTCTGATGCTCCCTCTCTCCCCCAGCCCACCGTGCAGGACGCTCCCTCTCTCCCCAGCCCACCGTGCAGGACGCTCCCTCTCTCCCCAGCCCACCGTGCAGGACACTCCCTCTCTCCCCAGCCCACTGTGCAGGACGCTGTCTCACTCTGACTTCCAGACACTTTCTCATCCTCTGTCCCCAGGATCCCGGCTCCTCCACTAGCTCTACTCCTTCTCAAATTCCACTGCCTTCAAGCTGCTCTCTATCCCTGCAGGCGCCTGACCAGTGCCCTAAGGGTGGTAGAGGGGGAGCGGGAGGGGCGTGGGTCAGAGGACACTAAGGCAAAGCCAGCACCCAAGCCTGGGCATCCACCTCCTGCCAGGCACTCAGTGGCTGGTGTGAGGAGCCATCAAATTAACCTTGGGCAAACCATTTTGTTTTGGGGGCTTCTGCTAGTCACAGCCAAATGTAATCCTAACAAACACCTTCAACAAGATGACAGTTTCTAAATTATGCCATCCTGTTTCTCATTCTCCAGGGTAACAGGCACTATACGGAGCCCGCGGATTCACAGTGACCAAAAAAATTACTTTCAGGTGTAAGATAAGCAATAAGTATAAAATGCTTCTGTATAACATGGCTGGTAGAAATGAGTCTCCTCTGAGCCCTGGAGACCTCCCTACCACGCTGCATTTCTCAACACTCTCTCTGTGGGTTCCAGAGACGTGGAGAAAACCAGGGGCCCTTGGCCTTGGCACCACAGTGGACCAAGCTGACAGGGAATCCCGATTTGCTAAAACCACCAAACATGCTGTCAACCCGAGCACACAGCCAACCACACGCTGCAAGGACCACCGTGCGAAAGGTGAAGCTCACAGCCGAGCCCAAATAGATGAGAAGAAAAGGGAAATGCTGAGATGTCAGAAACAAAGAACTTAAAACCTGGGCAGTGGCTGGGCGCAGTGGCTCACACTTGTAATCCCAACACTTTGGGAGGCCAAGGCAGGTGAATCACCTGAAGCCAGGAGTTTGAGACCAGCCTGGTCAACATGGCGAAACCCCGTCTCTACTAAAAATACAAAAAAATTAGCCGGGCGTGGCAGTGTGCACCTGTAATCCCAGCTACTAGGGAGGCTGAGGCAGGAGAACTGCCTGAACCTGGGATCCGCAGCTTGCAGTAAGCCGAGATTGCACCACTGCACTCCAGCCTGGGGAACAGGCTGAGACCCCGTCTCAATAAAACAAACAAACAAAACAAAACCCGGGCAGTGAGGGGGATTTTCAGTAAGAAGGAGTGAGCATACCCAGTCTCTCCCCACAGACACAGCCATCAGACTTCTGTGGAATGCATGGGTCTCTGGAAAACAAGGCACATGGATTCGGCAGGAAGACTAGATTTCTGAATAACCCCTGACTAGCAATGAGTTCACCATGTTTTTCCAACAAGCCCAGAACCCACCAATAGGTATTGGTGTGGAAGGAAGAGCTTCTGTCGTGGACAAGCACCAGGAGAGGGTCTGCCAACCCTCCGAGACTAGATGAGCCTCTTGCTTCAGTCACAGGAGCTGTCGTCCTAAGAAGGTGGTGCACACCCTACTGCTGTCTCTGCATCCTCCTGCCATGTGGCCTCAGACACCTGCAGGTGTGTGACAGGCACAACAGAGCTGACCAAGCTCCAGCTTTCTGGAAGGAGACTGAGAAGGGGAGGTCCAATGGGAAGAGCAGAGAGGCCTAGGACGTGCCCCAGTGAAGTTGCTTCTGAACGCCTGGGCCGCCCTGAGCTGCACGTGTGTGGGTCTGACCCTGAGCAACGTGCCACAAATGTAGAACTATGGAACAGACCCCACCCAGAGCTCAGACCGTCCACCAGGTGGCGCACACACGGAACTGACCCAGATAGCACTGCAAAGGCTTTTAAAAATGGAGCTGACTGCGCCGGACGAGGTCATCCCAGCACTTTGGGAGGCCAAGGTGGGCGGATCACGAGGTCAAGAGATTGAGACCATCCTGGCCAACATGGTGAAACCCCGTCTCTACTAAAAATACAAAAATTAGCTGGGCATGGTGGTGCGTGCCTGTAGTCCCAGCTACTCCAGAGGCTGAGGCAGGAGAATCGCTTGAAGCCAGGAGGTGAAGGTTGCAGTGAGACAAGAGATCTGTGCCACTTCGCCACTGCACTCCAGCCTGGACAACAGAGCGAGACTCCATCTCAAAAAAAAAAAAAAATGGAGCTGACTTTTAAACTACAACAACAGAAGGTTGGTTGGAACTTGTGTTCTGAACCCAGTTAGCTTGGTTGTAGAGTCAATTGGTTGCTAAATCAAAAATATTCACATTCTTCATAAGATAGAAACAAAACTCACACTTTTATAATATAATATTCAAAATGCCGAGCATATAATCCAAAATTATTTGCCATACAAAGACCTGGGAAACAGGAAAATCTCCATGTACATGGGAAAACAGACATCAGCCTTGAGATGGCGCAGATATTGGGATTCTCTGATAAAGACTTCCAAGCAGTTATTGCAAAAATATTCCAAGAAGTAGGAGTGAACACTTTTGAGAAATATGGAAATAAAAAGTCTCAGCAAAGAAATATGTGATATAAAGAAGAAAACAAATCAAAATTTTAGAACCAAAAAAATATGGTAACCAAAATTTTAAAACTCAGTGGATGGGTTCCCTAGCAAAATAAAGGTGACAGAGGAAAGATCTATGAACTTAAAGATCAGTAGAAAGTATTCAATTTGAATGACAAAGAAGAAAAGATTGAAGAAATAAATAAACAGAGCCTCAGAGACCTGTGGGACCATAGCAAATGTCCAAGATTTGTGTCACTGGAATCAAAGTAGGGGAGCGTGACAGTGAATTTTAGCTGTCAGTTTGGCTTGGCTGTGACACCCAGATATTTGGCCAAACATGCCTGAATTTTGCTGGGAAAGTATTTTTTAATGAGATTAACATT
This sequence comes from Homo sapiens, assembly GCF_000001405.40. Classification (NCBI taxonomy): domain Eukaryota; kingdom Metazoa; phylum Chordata; class Mammalia; order Primates; family Hominidae; genus Homo; species Homo sapiens. Next base: position 157,473,694 of record NC_000007.14, on the reverse strand, counting down.
TAAGTGAACATATTTTGAGTAAAATAGATGACACTCCATAATGTGGGTGTGCTTCATTTAATTCGTTGAAGGCCTTAAGGAAAAGATTGCCCTCCCTCAAAGAAGGGGGAGTTCTGCCAGCTCTCAGCCTTCGAACGTGAACCAAGATGCCAGTTCTTTCCTGGGCCTGCCAGCCTCCTCTGCAGATTTGGACTTGCCAACCTCCACAGTGAAAAACAGTGCAATAAAGAAAACAATATTTGAAGAAATAACAGCAAAATCATTCCAAATCTGGCAAAAGACATAAACCCACAAATTCAAGAATCTGAGCAAACACCCCAAGCAAGATAAAACTAAAGAAATCTTTACGCAGCCAGACACATCATAATGAAGACTAAAACTTGAGGGCAAAGGAAAATTCTTTAAAGTAGTTTGAGAAAATGGAGACATTACTCTTTAGGTAACAACTATTCAAAAGACTGCAGATTTCTCCTCAGAAACAATGAAGTCCAGAAGGAAGTGGAACAACATTTTAAACTGCTAAATGTCAACCCAGAATTCTATCTCCAATGAAAAGAGCCTTCAGTAATGAAGTGAAATGACGATATTCTCAGCTGAAGGAAAAGAGTATTGTTTTCCAGCAGACTTCTTCTAAAAATATTGCTAAGGGAAGTTCTTCAGACAGAGGCAAAATGAAACCAGAAGAAAACACAGAGTGTCAGGAATGATAAAGGAGTAACAGAAATGGAAACTGCCTGGGTAAAAAGAATAGACCCCTCTTCCTCTCTTGCATGCTTTAAAACATGTTTCGCAATTTAAGCAAAAATGATGACATCATCACTGACGGTTTTGGTGAATGTGGATTTGGTCCAGAGACAACAGAGAGGGAGTCCCTCTTCTAGACCAGCAGCTGGGGGAGACTGACTCCCCAGTGAAACAAGCATAATTGGTGAAATTTATTTTTCAAACAAATTTTAAAGTTCCAGAATTTAAGGGCATACAGCTTGTGAAGAAACAGGCATTCCAGGAAATCATGAGAGCCCTGGCACTGAGCCCCGGCCTATGGCCTCACTCCCCTCTGCAGCCCAGTGTGATAGAAACCCTGCTCCCAGCCTAGAGGGCCAGCGCAGGCACAGGCTCCCTCTCCCCAGGCACGGGCTCCCTCCCTCTCCCCAGGCACGGGCTCCCTCTCCCCAGGCATGGGCTCCCTCTCCTGCAGAGGCTGCCATCTCCCAGGAAGGACGTTGCCAGCACTTCCCATCCCTCCCAGCCACGTGCTGCAGAGGTTCACAGATCCAGGCAAGTGCCTTTGAAGCATCCTGGAGAGACGGCAGAGGGACATTCCCCTGCTTTGCCCTCGGGGCAGCCTGGGAGCCTCTGCAACCCAGGTGAGAGGACAGACAAATTCAAGGCTTGCTTCCTCTCTCCTCAGTAAACTTTGTCCCTACAAATCAGCTGGTGCCCACAGCCTCTCCTCCTGGACTTTCCTCCCAGTTGCCACCAGGATATGTACAGTTTGTGCACGTCCTTGCTGGTGGAGACACAGAAGGTTGTAGCCACTCAGAGCCTCAAAGAGTGAACTCCAGTAGCACAAACACAGGGCAATTTTGGCTGTGAGAGAAATGTATTAGGCCTGTTTGCTCTTGAGAAAGACATGTCTAATCTCTCTGCTGCTTCTCAGACAGTCAACAGCAACCCAGCCCATCCTGGAAGTGGAAAAGTTCTGCCCAAAATGCTTGCTTGGCAGGAAATGCCTGGAGTTGTTGTTTTTGAGGGTTTTTTAATGTATAAAGCAAGTAGCATGGGAGATACCACAGAAGGCAGAAACAAAACAGGAAATTGAGAAGAGGGCCAAGCAATAGCATGAGCTTTGAGGTGCAGACAGCAGCCATCGCGGCAAGGCAAGGCCAGGACCTCAGAAGTGGTAGAGAGAGAGCCAGGCTTGAAAAGACAGAAGTCAGAGTGGACCTGCAGTTTGTCTGCAATAGAATGCACTCCTGTTGCCCCTCAGCAGTGGGGTCTCCCCAGTCCAGGGACGGATGCACTCCCTGGCTGCTCAGCCACCCTCCCAGCTGAAGCTCCTCCCACTCTGGATCCAAGTCCTGGCCCTGGAGCAATGGGGATGGAGGCGGCATCATCACCACACTCTGTGCTGCACCCTCAACAACCCTGCACCACTGACACACGGGCAGCCTCAGCCATGCGGGGGCTGGGGGCAGGGACACTCGGCTTGTTGAGAACAGCAGGTTCCTTCCCAACCAGGATGGGTGAGCACAGCGGGTTGGCAGCAGTTGCTTGAAGGAGCCACGTTAAAAGCTGACTGAATTGGAGCATCAGCTGTACCCACCCTCCTTCAACCACCTGGTCTAATTTTGGTCCTCCTGAAAAGGCTTGCAGGAAGATGGTTTAAAAACCCGGCTTCCCTCTGGTCTGAGGTTTGCAGTGCTTTCTGACGCTCTGCACGGCATCTGCCCTTTGCTTCCAGATCTGAGTTTGTGTTCTGCACAGCCAGAAGCAGTGAGAAGATTCCAGATCTGAGTTTGTGTTCTGCACAGCCAGAAGCAGTGAGAAGAGTACATGATTTCCCCAAGTAACAAACTGCATGTAAATACTCACACACAGGCACCAGCACAGCTCCGCAGCTTTGCCTGTAAAACGCTGGCTAACTCCCCACTGGCTGAGCAGCTCCACGGGCACGTCCAAGGCCCTGTGCCTCAATATCCGTCCCAGACCCCCGCTGCTCCGAGAGGCAGCAGGCTTTGGGCCGCTGCGTGTGAGCCCGTCCCCAGCGTCTGGCAGGGTACCTCAGGCGAGTGCCTTCTCCTCTCTGTGTTTTCATTTCCTCATCTGTTAAATGGAAATGGGATGTTGGATGTTGGGAGATTCAATAAAACACAGAAGTGTCAGGCCCAGCTCCCAGCACCTCAGCAACATGCCCCCCACAGACTCCCCGCTGGAGCGCCAGACACACAGACACACCCAACGCAGGCCAGCACCGGGCACACGGACACACCCAACCCAGGCCAGCGCCGGACACACAGACACACCCAATGCAGGCCAGCGCCGGACACACCCAACACAGGCCAACACCGGACACACGGACACACCCAACCCAGGCCAGCGCCGGACACACGGACACACCCAACCCAGGCCAGCGCCGGACACACGGACACACCCAACCCAGGCCAGCGCCGGACACACGGACACACCCAACCCAGGCCAGCGCCGGACACACGGACACACCCAACCCAGGCCAGCGCCGGACACATGGACACACCCAACCCAGGCCAGCGCCGGACACACGGACACACCCAACCCAGGCCAGCGCCGGACACACGGACACACCCAACGCAGGCCAGTGCCGGACACACGGACACACCCAATCCAGGCCAGCGCTGGACACACGGACACACCCAACCCAGGCCAGCGCCAGGGGCAGGTGTGTCCGGGGAGTGGCGCCAGCACCAGGTGTGGGTCTGTGCAGGGAGCAGACCCAGTGCCGGGCACAGATCTGTCCAGGGAGTGGAGCCAGGGCCAGTGTCCCCAGGAGAGCTGCGCGTGCATCCACGGGCACAGACGGCACTCAGCCAGGTCTTGCTGAGGGCGTGTGCCTGCAGCAGAGTCGCCTTGGGAATCAGAGTGTGCAAGTGACTGGCAGATGACAGTGTGAAGAGAGTGACCTGGGCCGAGAGAAGCCGGCGTGGGGGACCTGGGCTGGGCGCTGGGGGCCACTGTGGTGGCCGGCAGGTGGGCCTGGAGAGGGAAGCAGAGGCGGCCAGCACTAGAGGGGCCTGGGCGCCCACTCAGGAGTCCCGGGTTCACCCTGGAGTCAACACACAGGGGCCTTCCAGAGTTGACCCCACCCCGGGTGACTGCTGGGCTATGAACTGCACTGGCACACAAGGTGGAATTAGGCGCCGCCGGCCCCTTGCCCAGGAAACATTTCGACTTTGCGCTTCCCCTTTGCCTGGACACAGCTTCAACCTGAGCCCCTCCCATCCGCAGACCCTACACCCTGGAAGGAGCTGACAGCTCGGGGGGACACTGCGGACTGGCCAGCAGCCCCTTGCCCTTCCCCCAGGACAGCAAGTCCTTTCCAGACAAGCAGAGACCAGCGCCGACACCCGGCCTCATTCTTGCACCCTGGGGACCGGGAGAAGTGTAGACACAAACCCTCCGATGCCGGCATGTCCTTGGTCGGGGGTGGAGGGGGGACAGGCAGGCGGGGGCCGGGTCTGCACCCCCTACTCAGCACGTTAGCTCCGTGCCTTGTGGCTCCATCAGCAGCAGCGAGAACCTCTCAGGTCGGTGACCCTTCGTGGGGACCCCAAAAGCTGCCATGCTTGGTGCAGGGCGTCAGGGGATGGTAGGAACCTGGACAGCATCAGAGATTTCACCTCAGAGGGTCTCTCCCTGTGAACTGCCAACCAGGCTGAGGTGTGTGAGTGGCCAGGCCGAGGGTCCTGCCCCTGCTGCATTTGCCCCTCTCCTTCGATCAGAAATGCCAACAGGCGGTGAAGCTCCTGAAAGGTGGCAGCTGATGCTGCAGCGTCTGCGGTGACGTTTCTGGGACATCGGCAGCCCCTCCTTTGTTAAAAAAAAAAAAAAACCACTACCCTAGAAAGCCCCCAGGCTTCGCTGAGGTCACAGGAAAGACACAGTCACTCTTCCTGGAATCCAAGCACCAAAGCCCGTGTTCTTATGGAGCTGCGCCAAGCTGCCAGCTCAGTGGCGGCCCCTGGGTCATTTCTCTCCCTGCCCACCGGGGTTACCTCTGCAGAGCCTGAACTCGGGGTGAGTGAGGCCGGACTGCAGGAGGACCCCAAATCAAGGCCCAGGGGTCCCTGCACTGAGTGGTTTGACTCAGGCATCGTCCCCATCGTCCAAGTCCCCAGGTCACCCCATCCAGCCACCCCCCAACCGGTGTCCGAAAAGCCTCTCACCCATGGCAGCCCCTCCCCACTCCAGCACCAAAACCCTCACGGGCGTCTCCTGAGGGCCACCAGCAGGGCTGCCAGATCCAGTCCAGAAGCCCAGCTGACGGTGCACTTCCAGCCCACCCCCAGACAGCGTGGGTGTCTTGTGCTGTCCCCGAAGGGTGTCGGGTTAAACAGCTGTCCCCGTGTGAGAACGCGGGCAAACCAAAGGTGAGGGATGGTCCCCACTCACCAGGGGATCAGCTCCAGGGCGGACCTGCCTCTCCCGTGAAGGTGACGGTGGCATCCACACGCTGCCTGTTGAGGCACGAGCCCGCGGGGAACGACGAGGCAGGCTGGCCGGGCGGGCAGATGGGTCTGAGGTGTGGACCCAGGGGGTGTGAGGAGGCTGCTGAGCCTCGGAGACAACGTTCCAGGAGAAGCTGCGGAGAGACGTTCTCCACAGGGACCCCGGAAAACACTCCTGCTGCTGACACCTGCCCGGGCCGTCCCCGGCCTCACACGGGCCCAGAACAGAAGGGAGGTCGGAGCCCGGGTCTCAAACCCTCATTATTTTATTTCCAGTCAATCATGGACCAATGTTTTTGTCAAATGCAATCAAAGGCAGTTAGTTTTAAATGAACACAGACTTGGATGTTGCGGCTGGGCCAAACTCGCCCCAGTTTCTGTTCTGTCCCCCAGAGAAGCGGCCGCATGGGGCCACCTCCCACGCAAGGAGCAGCCGTGGGCGGCCCCAGGCGGGCTGATTCAGGGATCTTCCCCCTCTGGCTCCAGTAACACAGTCTGTGGACATGAGGTTTACACACTTCATTAGGGCTCCAAATTTGAGTATTATCTGAGTCTTTTTAAATTTTTGCAAAGCTAGTTATTTTTCCAGTCATTGGCAAGATTGTGTTACGTTGGCTTGAATGAAAACTTGCCTTGACTCAGGGAGAGAAGTTACAAGTGCGGTTAGTGTGGGCCTGAGTAACCCGCTTGCTCCCGTGCCCCCAGCCTTGGAGGTCCCCCGGGGCGCGGGCCCCATTCCTCACGTTGACCAGCTCTGCGGTCTCTGTCAGTCCACAGCGTCATGGACGTGTTTGTTACTGGGCTGGGAGTCAAAGCTGCCACACAGCGGCAAGTCTAGGTGCGCTGGGAGGAAGATTCTGCAAAGTACCCAAGTCAAGGTGCTTCCTGGCGTGGTCACCCATCGCCCGGCTCCCAGGAGCCCTTTGAACAAAGCAAACTTTCTTGCGCCCTCAGGGCTGCCTGCATTGAGGCCTTCCATGATTCCGCTTTGGTTCGGGTTAAGTGGAAAATAGGGGTCCCATTATGCAAAAACCAAAGCCTCCAACTACTCGGGCCTCACCCAGACACCACCCCCCTCAGCAGATACCAGAAGTCACTCATGACACCCACTTTACAGACCGATAACATGAGATGGGAGAAGGGGAGGCAATGGTGGTAAACACGTGCATAGCACTGGGTATGGCCAGACCACATTTTTCCACAGAGCACCACGTTCAATCTGCCAGCCACCCTATGGGTGGGGCACTGTTTCAATCACGCTGTATCCTTGCGTTAGTGGAAACAGTGTTGTCTTTGAGGACAGCGCAGGGTCTCCTCCAGCAGGTCCGATTTCCCGTGTTAAAGCAACTGGAATCCACGGGCAGTGAGAAACTCAAGAAGTTCAGGCAAATCGGACCAAGTCAATAGTCCTGTCTCCTCCTTAAAGCAGGCAGGGCAGCCTTGTGCCGCTGGGTGGCAGGACCTCCAGTGCCTGCAGCCAGGGGCCTCACAAACCGCCCCTTCTCACAAGTCCCGCTTGTTTCCTTGATGCGGAAGCAATCTGCTCAGCTCTGCAGGTACCTCCAGGTTCCCAGGGCTCAAAAGATCCCGGGAACAGCCTCTGGGTCATTGACAAACCATTTCAGCCTTTATGTGGATGTTTGCTTTCATACATTTAACCAAAAATGGCCCAAAATGCAGGTTACTCTGCAGCCAGCCAGCCGAAGTATCAGTATGAAACTTTCCTCTTCCAATCTCTGTCTCATCAGCTTGGCCAAAAACATCCCTGGCCATTTTGGCCACAGACAGAAACGGACACTGCCTTACAGGGCTGCCTCCATTGCTCCGCGTGGCTTCCCTCCGCTTCGTTCCACCTAGACCGAGCGAGCAGCGTGACACACCTTCTGAGCTCTCTCCCTCGGCAATTACTCCCCCGGTTAATGGATCTGACAAGCAGGCACTTACATAGAATTAATAATGCATTAATAATGGCTACGATCTGGCAAACCAAACAGGCTGTGTTTTAATAACAGAATCAATAGTTCCTCGAAGTGTTGCTTGTTTATTTTACCACGCATAGAAACAGAGGCACGCGTGGCTTTATTTCTATCTCAGCTGGGAGTGTGATCCTTCCACTCACAGACGGGCCGATTCCACGTCCCGGTCGCATTTTCCTTGGCTTTTCTTGTTTGTTTGTCCAATTGTTTTCAGTAAAAGAAATGATATAGCATAAAACATATTTCTTAAAACATCGTTTTCTTACATGCCTCGTCTGTATTCGATGTTCCAACATAGAACACTTTCACGTTAATCTAACACTTCGCATTGTCAGCCCGGCGCGCAATCATTCCGAGAGCTGCAGAATTCCCTGGTGAGCTCTGCGGCTGTGGTTTTTCCATTTTACAGCGGGGGAGGCCAAGGTTGTGTCGACACACACAGCAGAGAGAAAGAAACTGGCTAAATAACTCCAGAAAGGGAAAGTCACCCCGTGGCACCCGGCCTCAATTATCGGGGATTTTGCCTGCTTCGTCCAGTTAATTGTCTCCATCTTCGTCTCACTCTCTACAGGTAGACGCTGGCGGGAAAGCCGCTCCTCCAGGACTTTCCTTCTCTATTTTCTATCTGCTCAATTCAAAGACAAGTGCTATTTCCACTGACTGTTGTCTGTACATGACCCCGAATAGAAGCAGTGACCCATGGCTCTTCATTAAAATGGTCCTGAGACTAAAAACAAAACGTCCAAGGCATGCCCTCAATAAAAAGAAAGAAAGCGAGAATGAAACTGTAGACAGATACACAGTGTCCTGGAAGGAGTTTTAGTGGAGGATTCCACTCATCCATCACTTCGTGTCCTGCGTCTCTTTGAAATTCCTTGAGCTGACCCAGCTGCCGTTCAATAAACACTCCAGTGTGGGGGTGACAAATGTAATTTTCACCTAAACTGCGTTGCCGTCATTCTAATATAAAGGCTTGCCTCTTTGAAATACAGTTCTTTTCCGTCCCTTTCTTTCTGTCTTTGACTCACGTGGTTCCCTCTGTGGTGGTGGGAGGCAACTCTCAACGAGACAGAGGCAACAGCAGGTATTTTTCAGCCCCTCGCAGGCCGAGCTGGCGTCCTTCCAGAACCCCAGCTCCCTGTTTTCGTGCCCTCCGGGTCTCAAAGCCAGCATATTTTGCTTCATTGCATTGTAAAGTTAAAGCCGCTTGTGTCTGCATCTCACGGGGGTCCTGGGTGGCATCTCTGTGTTCCCACCAGCACTGTCGACGTTTCTCCCGTGAGAGGGGGAACCGTGAGGCAATGGGGATGCTGGGTGACAGGCACGAAGCTGGGAGCCTAAGGGACCAGTCGCTTAGGTAAGACTGCCGGGAAGGGGCCGCCTTCAGGCCCGCGCACACATGCCTGTTTCTCCTCTGTGCTGGCCCATGGGAACGACTGGATGCCTTCCTACCTTACAGTCCAACCAGGCTCTGAGCATGCCCACATGGCCGCACCTTGCACAGTTCCCAGACACCCCCACTCACACAGGAAGCACCTGCTCAGGTCACTCCCTGCCAAGGGTGGCCCAGCAAAGACGCCCTTCTGATTCCCACTGTCCGAGGACCTCTGCCACTGGGGAGCTGGACAGGGAGCCCAGCCCTGTCGCCTGTCACCTCTGTCCCCTCCATCTGGCGGTGGGGTGGCCCCAAGCCCACAAGGGCACTTAGTAAACATGAGGGCCCTCTCTGCTCACAGCCCACAAGGGCAGCCAATGGAAGAGGCCCACCTGTGCCTACTCTCAGAACGAAGGTATAAGTCACATTTGGGCAAACGTTTCTCTGCTCTGGGGTGGAGGCTGGAGTGGGAGGGAGAGGGAGAAGGGAGAGCACTCACACCTTTGCCAGCAGAGATCTGAGCCCTCCACGCTCCTGGCACTGCCAGCCCAGAGAAGTGCCTCACGTTTAGAAAATGTCACTTCTAGTGTTTATATCCCATTCTGTCTCTGATCACACACAAAAAAAATGTCCCCAAAGGTCACAAGGTCTGGTGAAAATCCTACAAGCTTTTCCAGAACAAACAACAGACCCTGACCCCGGCCCTCTCTTTGCATAAGAATCAACACCGGGCAGCGGTCACTGCAAGGGGCAGCCAGGACTACACAAATGCCAGCTTCGGATTTAAAACTGATTTTTTTTTCTTAAGAAACCAGAAGAAAAGGGGGACTTGGTGCTCATCTGCATTACAGATCAGGCCTCTCAGAGAAAATCGGACATCCATAATTCATTACATGTTTCCTGCAGGGGCTGGAGACAGCCCTGATCCTAGCAACAGTCATGGCAACGGTAGGAAGCCAATCCCAGGCCATCCCCTCCCGCTCAGCCAGTGGGGAGGGAAGGGAGGGACAGGGATAGGGTGGCTCTGGTTCTACACATGTGCACCAGGCTTCCCATGAACTGTGACATGGATGGGGTGGGGAAGAGGATGGGAGGATGGGGTGAGTGGGGACGGATGGGGATGTGGTGGGGGTGAGGATGGGGTGAGTGTGGACAGATGGGGGTGAGGATGGGGTGAGTGTGGACAGATGGGGGTGAGGATGGGGTGGGGATGGATGGGGGTGAGGATGGGGTGAGTGTGGACAGATGGGGGTGAGGATGGGGTGAGTGTGGACAGATGGGGGTGAGGATGGGGTGGGGACGGATGGGGGTGAGGATGGGGTGGGGACGGATGGGGATGAAGATGGGGTGAGGTGGGGACAGATGGGGTGAGGATGGGGTGGGGACGGATGGGGTGAGGATGGGGTGGGGACACATGAGGTGAGGTGGGGATAGATGGGATGAGGATGCGGTGAATGGGGATGGATGGAGATGAGGATGGGGGGAGGATGGATGGGGATGAAGATGGGGTGAGGTGGGGACAGATGGGGTGAGGATGGGGTGGGGGCGGATGGGGACGGGAATGGGGATTGTGAGGGGGATGGGATGAGGGTGAGGGGTGAGGATGGGGATGGGGGCGAGGTGGGAAAAAAAGAACATGGGCTCAGGCTTGAAGAGGTGAATTCGAACTGTGGTAAAATATTAGCCAAAGTGAGAGGCCAGTCCCAGTATTTATCACGAGCAGCGGGCGGTCACTGGCCTGGCATGCGCAAATGAACTAAGTGCCAGGTTACTACATTCAAATTATCATCTCTCACCAGCAAGTACTTTTTTTAACAAAAGTAGCATAACTTGGAACAATGTCCGCCTGCCGCACATCAGAGCAAGGTCTGTATCGGCACTCAAGGGACCGTTGTGTGAAAAAAAGCAGCTGATTTTAACCCCCACGGCTCGTCTTCCACACCACAACCTGGCTGTGGGCGTCTGCTGGGGGGTGTTCTCAACATGCCTCAGCTATCTGATGCCCTCACCACATCGAGAATCTGCCTCATTCTCACCATCTCATCCTGACCAGGTTTGCGAGCAGCGTGAGGACAATGTGCTCTCACTCCACGCTGCTGCCACAGAGGACACCCTGTCAGAGCCACGTAAACCCCACTAGAAGTCACAATGCTCAGCTGAGAGGCCCCAAGTCTTGCTTTTGAAACCCTGCGTTCATTTGGTCTCTGATGAAGCCTGCTCAGTAACTGTCTCATCTCTAACTTCCTCTTGACAGCTGGAGCTGAACCTGCACCACACGGTCTATGCCAGTTCTACAGAAAGCAAAAAGGGTCTTGTTTCAGACACCACCACCATGAGTGAGGTGTGCACCCACCACCACCAACAACCCTCTGATCCACAGAAGTTTCCAGGCACCAACTCTGCCTGTCGTTGAACTTGGCTGTTGGAGTCTTGCGGCTCTGAACCTCTAACGCAGACACCCCACTCTTTCCTCCTTTAGCCTGCAGGTGTTAAGACGAGTTCTTGTCTGCAGTGGTCAGGGCACCGCAGTCTCCATGCCAAGCAGATTTCCAAACATGCCGTCTCGGCCGCCACAGCGTCAATAAACAGCTGCAGGGACGGGGCCTGTGCCAGGGCTTTGCAGAGAATCTCGCGCGAACCTTCTCGTTCATCTTCCGGGGAAATGAGGAGCTCGCGGGTCTGCGCAGTGCTGAGGGCAGCCCAGGCCGAAACGAGCTGGGTGCTGGATGGCAGCGTCCAGCCTCGCCCCAGACCCCGTGTCCCACTGTCATGCCTATGTGGCTCAGGGGGCAAAAATGAGAACATTTCTTATGGACACTCCAAACTATATTTTGGGGGCAGCTGCCCTATTTTGAACTTTACTGAATACATTAGCAAGCACCTGGGCAAGCTGCCAAGGAGGAAGAGGAAAAGGCAAGCATCCTGGTCCTCTCTGTGTCCCACCCACACCCTCCCCAGCCAGCGGGCTCACCTGTGTCCTACCCACACCCTCCCCAGCCAGCGGGCTCACCTGTGTCCTACCCACACCCTCCCCAGCCAGCGGGCTCACCTGTGTCCCGCCCACACCCTCCGCAGCCAGCGGGCTCACCTGTGTCCCACCCACACCCTCCTCAGCCAGCGGGCTCACCTGTGTCCCGCCCACACCCTCCTCAGCCAGCGGGCTCACCTGGCCAGGATGGTGCTTTCTAAACCTTCCTCAAAGTAAGTTCATGAGAGATGATCCCCTTTCTGCTATTCATACTAATGGTTCTTCTTGTATTACTGGGAAAAAATTATCTCAGCCCTGAGACATTGGTGCAATTTTTTGTCTTTGTTTGAAATGGACCATTTCCCTTAAAGTCAAATGAAAATGTCACTCTTGACAATAATTTAGATTTTAAAACCACTCTTAGGTTTCTGCAGGGATTAAATGGACTCCTCAAAGCTCACTGTGCTTTATCAAACACACACACAGAGAGAGAGAGAGAGAGAGAGAGAGGGAGAGGGAGAGAGAGAGAGAGAGAGAGAGGGAGAGAGGGAGAGAGGGAGAGAGAGAGAGAGAGAGGGAGAGAGGGAGGGAGAGAGAGACAGAGAGAGAGAGACAGAGAGAGAGAGAGAGAGACAGAGAGAGACAGAGAGAGAGACAGAGAGAGAGACAGAGAGAGAGAGAGACAGAGAGAGAGAGAGAGACAGAGAGAGAGAGACAGAGAGAGAGACAGAGAGACAGAGAGACACAGAGAGAGAGACAGAGAGAGAGACAGAGAGAGAGACAGAGAGAGACAGAGAGAGAGACAGAGAGAGACAGAGAGAGAGAGACAGAGAGAGAGAGACAGAGAGAGAGAGACAGAGAGACAGAGAGAGACAGAGAGAGAGAGACAGAGAGAGAGAGAGAGAGACAATCATGAATCCACCCAAACAGCAGCCTTGCGGTGGAAATACAAGAAGCTACAGGAGCGCCAGTAAATTGAGAAAGTAACTATCTGTTTTCCCTGCAATTAGCCACAAAGGAAGAAGATTTTGTACATGAGACCTATGACCTTTTGCTAAAATAATCTAACAATCTCTGAGATCCATGTGGCTGCAATGACATGTCGTCTCGCAGGGTTGAGGTGGCCGTACCGGCTTCATTCCCTTGCCTGGATCCACCTGGCATCCTCTGAGGAAAAGCGCCCATCCTGTCTGGAGCCATTGTGATCACAAAACTCAAGTCAGTGCATGTCTTTTCCTCTCATATTGATAAAAGTTTATAGTAGGAGTCAAAAGATATCTGCTATTTTTGGCCGGGCGCGGGGGCTCAGCCTGGAATCCCAGCGCTGTGAAAGGCCGAGGCAGATGCATCACTTGAGGTCAGGAGTTCAAGACTAGCCTGGCCAACATGGTGAAACCCTGCCTCTACCAAAAATACAAAAAGTTGTCAGGCATGGTGGTGCGTGCCTGTAATCCCACCTACTGTGAGGCTGAGGCAGGAGAATCGCTTGAACCCGAGAGGCGGAGGTTGCAGTGAGCCGAGATTGCACTTCAGCCTGGGCGACAGAGCGAGACTCCATCTCAAAAAACAAACAAAAAAAAATTTGCTCTTTTAAACAACTTTGCAGATTTCTTTATCCTTTATGTGTTCCCTTTAAAAAAAAAAAAAAAAAACTGAAAATCAAGCAAGCAGGAACATAATCCCAGCCACCTGCCAACATCAGACTTGCCAGAGTAAAGGAATGCCCACACGCGGGGCCACACGGCACGGATGGAGCACCTCAGCGTTAGAGGTGGTGGCCACAGCTCCACGGCCACAGTGCTTCTAACTGCTCAAGTCGCCACTGGGCCTTCCACAAAGGGGAGAGAGATCGGGAAGCTACAGGAGAGTTTATGCAGACACAGCTGCTGCCCCACTTGTCTTCCCCACCATCATCTGCGGTCACCCCACAGGCCTCCCTGAAGCCTGTCCCAGGCTGCGGCCCACACCTGGTAGCCTCCATTCTGAGAGGCACTGTGTGGAGTTCCATTTGGGTCCTATCGGTGGACTTTTCGTGACCATGGCAGGGGCTCATGGCAAAGTCAGCCTTCCTGGACCCTCCGCCCAAACCCAGCTTCCAGTCCACCAGGGCCGGCCCACCGCCACTGTGCCTGCAACCAAAAGCCCCAGAGAGAGGCCGGTCACCAATTTCCATATATCCAGTCTATACCTGGGTCTGTTCTCACGCATGCACACACACACTGGTCTACACGCACAGACACAAATACACACATAGACACATGAGCATGAGGGTTTGTTTCTCTACTGACTTTTTTTTTTTTTTTTTTTTTGAGATGGAGTCTCACTCTGTCCCCCAGGCTGGAGTGCAGTGACATGATCTCAGCTCACTGCAACCTCCACCTCCCAAGGTTCAAGCGATTCTCCTGCCTCAGCCTCCCAGTAGGTGGGATTACAGACGCCTGCCACCGTGCCCAGCTAATTTTTGTATTTTTAGTAGAGACAAGGTTTCACCATGCTGGCCAGGCTGGTCTCGAACTCCTGACCTCAAGTGATCTGCCTGCCTCAGCCTCCCAAAGTGCTAGGATTACAGGCATGAGCCACCGCGCCTGGCTTCTCTACCGACTTTCTAGTGCCCAAAGATTCTCCAGCCTCATGGGCCAAAGACCGGACCAACGGAGCCTGTGCTCAGCACCTTCTGTCAGCGGATCATAAAAGAGCCTCATATTGTCCAAACGTGTTTATATAAGATGTAGCCAGGTTCAGAAGCGTTTTCCATGTCAACTTTTAACAATGGAGAAGAACAAGATACATTGTAGTGTCCCCAAACAATGGAAAGCTCTGTAGCTATTTAAATGATGTTCTTGAAAAGGGTTTAATGATGTGAAAAATGTCCATGACACATACCATTAAGTGGAAAGGCAGGATGCAAAACTGTACCTAGGAGCATTCTACTTTTGTTTTTAATGAAATACATACATACACAAAACATGCTAATTAATCAAAGGATGGGAAAAATACTCTAAAGCATTTACAATAATTAACGCTAGGGAATAAGGCTCTCATCTTTTTAAAACTTTTTTGTAACTGTATTTTGCAACTTTTCTTAAATGAGCATTCGTGCTATCAGGGGGAAATGCGCAGTTAGAAAGAGCTGGAATTCAGCTACTTGGGAGGCTGAGGCAGGAGAATCGCTTAAACCCGGAAGGCGGAGGTTGCAGTGAGCTGAGATCACACCGTTGCACTCCAGCCTGGACGACAAGAGTGAGACTCCGTCTCAAAAAAAAAAAAGAGGTGGAATTCAGGAAGGTCACCTCCATCAGAAAGTTCTGAAGGTTAGCACCTGTCGGCAGGAGCCCATGTGGAAGATTCTCAGTGGACGGGGCAGTTTTCAGAGGAAACAGAGCCTGCCACATGGTCAGCAGGTCCACAGAGGCCGCATTGCCATAGAGGGACCCGCACTGCTCCAGGCAGAGGCTGAGGGGCCTAAGTGGCTGGCATGTGCCTCAGTGTCCACATTGGTCTCACCAAAGTGCTGCAAAGCCTTCCCACCTCCTTTTTAAGGATACACAGTCCTTGGGAATTGTCACCGTTGAGGAAGAGGTTGGGGTGCTGCCTTCCCAACACTAGGGGAAAGGAGGGAGTCCCCATCACAACCGTCCTGTGCCCCCACAGCGGGGATGGGGAGCGGCTGCCTGGTGCCTCTCAGAGGGGCCTAGTGACACTGGGGCTGCCCCTGAGCTCAAGGAAGTGACCCTTGGTGGCCTCTGCCTCTGTGAGGCCGAAGGCGTGACCATCCATCCGATGCTGACCTCTCTCCCTAAAAGGCACAAAGAGATCAACCATCCTTAACGGTCCCTGGTTCTTCCTCCTCCTCTCTCCCACCGCTCTCCTCCTTTCTCTGGCTCCCCAGTTCAAAGCTGCTGCTGGAAGAACAGGAGAAAACCTCTGTCACTTCAGGACAGATGACCCCACAAGTCTCTCCCTCAAAGACAGACACACGGCCTTGTGCCTGGAAACCGTTCACAGGGCAGCGACCCCCTGCACACAAAAGGGGAGCAGATCTTTGGTTCTCTCCAGCAGAAGGAAGCTGAGAAAGTGACCCTTAACCTTGGCTCTGTAGGGGGCGAAGGTTCAAGAGAGGTCAAGAAGAATGGCCCTGCAGCCTCGGGGCTGGGAACGCGGACAGTCAGGGAGGGCCGTCAATTGGGGTTTCAGTCCTGGCTGAAGGGCAAGGTTTTCCACCCTCACCCTCCAGGCAGAAACCTCACACCAGACACAAAACCGCCAAGCTGCACTGAAGCAAGAACGAGCCTCAAACTCCCTGACCTAGAAATCTGAAAGAAGAGTGGGAAGAAATTAAATAAAAAAATCAGGGACGAGGCTTGGAGTCAGAGCACCCGCTGGAGAGGCTTAATCAAGACTCCCAGCCGGGAACTGCGATGGTTTTGATTAAGAACAAATTGCCGGAGTGAGTCGAACGGGGTCCTTGAGCCTCGTCCTTTCTGAAGGGACATGATTGTCCTCCCGGCAGCTCAGGCATGAGCAAGGGCAGACAGCAGGGTGGCAGATGCGAGGCAGCAGGAGAAAGGGGCATGGCCACCGCCCCCGC